>NC_000001.11:110462925-110765956 GCF_000001405.40 Homo sapiens | reverse complement strand
CTGAATAGAGCCGTCCCAGTCTCACATCAACCTGTCCCAACACTGGTCCTTGCCCACAAGAGGCAGAGCTGTTGTGTAAGGCTGGGCAGGTTGTGCAAAGCTCAACTTTGGTTGGGGAGGCACCATTCAAATACTCTATAATGGGAATACTGCCCTGGGGGGTTGTGCATTGCACAACTCTCACCATCATATTCAGTAGCCTAGCCAAGTTGTCACCACTTTCAATTCTCTTGGCTATTTGGTCTAGTATTTATCTTCATGATTCTAAATAATAAGCTTGTGCAGCTTTCATTTGATTCCCCAGTATCAGTGAGGTATTGGCTTCCTAATGGATGATTACTTAGCTCTCTCAAACTCGCTCCAATCCCTTCTTGTGACTTCTCTTTTATCCTCTCTAGATAGTAACATCACAATTTTGTTTGATCAATATTTAAAGTTTACCTTATTAAGACCATGTAAACACTATTTATTGCTGAATCAAGTAGTATGCTATCTTTTAATATGTTGTCTTTTATTTCTCCCATCCCTATATCTTTTTTTATTTGTATAAATTTAGTGGGTACAGTGCAGTTTTGTTACATTGATATTTTGCATAGTGGTGAAGACTAAGCTTTTAGTGTAAACACTATTATTATGGCTGCCTTCTTGTTCAGCTTTAGTTTTTTCGTATGGTTAATACTTGCTTTCCTTTTTTTTTCACTTCCTTAATACTTTTAGTTAAGATTAGCCTAAAGCTGCCTCCTTGTAAATTTGGCTTAAAGGTTTCTTCGTACTTAGTAAACTGTAACCTAACTGGATGTTTGAACAGACTATAAACTATATTTGTAATCAATCACCAAGTTTCAGCCAATCACAGATGGTCAGCCATTCAAATGCTGTTCAAATAAGGCAAATGCTGAGCTGTAACCAGTCCTACTGTTACTGTACGTTACTGTACCTCACTTCCATTCTCAATATGTTACTTTCCCTTTTCTGTCCATAATCCTGTCCAACCACAGGACAGTGCCCAGCATGTATAAACCTATTCAGGAGGCTGCCAGCTTCACAAATTATCCTTGGCTCAGGTAAACTCTATTAAATTTAATTTGTCTAAATTTTTTTTAACAGTAGTCTGTGTACCAGTGCCTGGCTCAGACTTCTCTTTTCCTCTAACAGCTTCTCAAACACAGTCTCCTATATACCACATTTATTTTTCCTAGAGACTTCTCTCCTGAGCCTTTCAGCTTCCTGCTCTGTGGACCAGTTACTCTCCAGGCCAATGGAGAATCCCCTTTGCCACCAGCCTGGGCATTCCCTTCACCTCTCTCCTGTGTTGGAGCTGTTCCTTCCTGGCGTTCGTGCGCTCTCTCTCTCCTGGTGTGGTGGAGCATATTGTCGAGTAGCTTCTTAAGACACGATACTTGGAAGTAAGTTTGTTGAAATTTTTGTACGTTTGAAATATATTTATCCTGGCTGGTCCAAATGCAGTGGTTACAACTAACTGATCACAACCAGTTACAGATTTCTTTGTTTCTTCTCCACTCCTACTGCTTCACTGGACTAGCCTGGGGGAAAAAAAAAAAAAACAACTTTTCAAAGTTTCTTAATAAAAAAGAAGAAAAGAAAAAAATAATAAAATATATGTATCTTATCACTACGCATCTTGATAGTTTAGCTAATTGTCTATTCCTAGACTGGAAATACTATTTCTTTATAATCCTGAATGTAGTTCTCCACTGTCTTCTGTCTTCCAAGGTAGTTGCTAGTTACTAAACTTTTGTATGTGACCTTTTTTTACTCTCTGGAAGATCTTTATATTACTTCTTTGTTCCTGGTGTACTGAATTTCCTAAGGATGTATCTTGGTACAGTTTATTTTAGGGGAATGTTTTTTGGGCTTTTACTCTAAATGCTTATGTAGTTTGGTTTTCCAAAATGTTATAAAATTATTCATTTGATAATTCTGTTTTATTCATTTTTCTCTGTTATAGCTTTCTACAACGTCTATTAGTTTGATGTTAGAATTCTCCATTTTCCTTATGTTTTTTCTCTTCTTATTCATATCTTTGTGTTTTACTTTCAGTGAGACTTCATCAACTTCATGTTCCAGTTCTTCTTTTAAATTTTTAATTTTTGCTATATTGTGAATGTATAAGAGTTTTTTCTTATTCTCTTCAGATTCCTTTTTTATAGCATCCTTGACTCTCTGGGGATATTAATTATTGCTTTAAGGTAAGTTTTTTTCTGTTCTTTGTTTGCTTTTTTTTTTTTCTTTTTTTTGGAGAGCTTTTCTTTTCTCTCTGCTTTTTCTGTGATAGACCTTTCTAAAAAATCCAGACTCTGCTTTGCATTCATTTCTAAGAGTAATACACTGAAACTCTCTGTGATTGAGTGAGACTTAATACTGCTGAAATCCAACCCATAGATGTTTTCCTTGGGAAAATACATGTGTGTGTGCATGCGCTTGTATTCCCTTTCCTCTTTCTCCCTGGCCACTGTGATCCCCAGAGGAGGAGGCACCAGTCTTTTCCATTGAGGTTTAAGTGTAGTAGATGGCCTTTGCTAGGGTAGGGAAAGGGAGCTGAGTGCCTTATCATTCAGGATGCAGCCTTTCACGTGACCCCTCTCTTTTGAGTTGGTTACCTCATCCAAGCTCTCTGCCATACCTTGTATCTCTGAATTCAGAAGCACTCTGGTTCAGCTGCTTCATAGAATAAATCTCTCCTCTCCCGCCATAAGAGAGGGACAGTTACCTGGATGTCCAGGGTGGAGGTCTGGAGGTCGAACTGACTGTTTTGTAGACTTTCACCCAATTCCTCTGTTTTCAACTATACCACACTTCCACCTTTGCTATAGACTGAATGTGTGTGTCTGTTCCCTCAAAATTTATTTGTTGAAATTCTAACCCCTAGTATCGATGGTATTAACAGGTAAGGACTTTGAGAGGTAACTAGGTCATGAGTGCTGAACCCTAATGAGTGGGATTAGTGCCCTTATAACGGGGACCTTAGAGAGTTTTCTCATTCCCTTCACACCATGTGAGGATACAGGAGAAGGTGGCAGTCTGCAACCTGGAAGGAGGCCCTCACCAGAACCCAACCATGCTGGCACCCTGATCTCAGACTCCCAGGCTTCGGGACTATGGGAAATAAATTTCTGTTGTTTATAAGACACCCAGTCCATGGAACTTCATTAGAGCAGCCCAAACTGACTGAGACAACCTTCCACAGCACCTGGTGTCCTTAGTTTTTTGGTCTGTCTGTGGCTCTTCAGAATGAATAAAGTTGCTTCTCACTGGTATACTATCCACAAACACTTAGCTTTCATCTTTTTAAGCTTTCTGTGATCTGCTAAATCAATTCCCAACATCTCGTATAGTTTTGTGTGTATATATTGTGGTTTGGGGTTACATATGTTTTCCTAGTTTCACCAGTGTTGGAGTGTATGTCCTGTTCTAGTTCTCCTTATTGCTTTGGGGTGATTTTTTTTTTTTTTTGAGATGGAGTCTCGCTCTGTTGCCCAGGCTGGAGTGCAGTGGCACAATCTCGGCTCACTGCAAGCTCTGCCTCCTGGGTTCATGCCATTCTCCTGCCTCAGCCTCCTGAGTAGCTGGGACTACAGGCGCCTGCCGCCACGCCCGGCTACTTTTTTGTATTTTCAGTAGAGACAGGGTTTCACTGTGTTAGCCAGGATGGTCTCCATCTCCTGACCTCGTGATCCGCCCGCCTCGGCCTCCCAAAGTGTTGGGATTGCGGGCATGAGCCACCACACCTGGCCGGCTTTGGGGTGATTTTTAAAGAGATGTAGGAGAAACGTCAACTCATACCAGAAGTTCCTCATCCCTACTTTGCCCCTTCCACTTCTACTGCTTAATTCACATCCTTATTGACTCTCACCTATACCTTTAAACTATCATCTAGCTGTTTGTCTTATCTCTAGTTATTTCTCCTACAATCCATCCTTCACATATAACCAGGTCTGATTGCACTCCTCCCCAACTCAAGAACTTTCAATGACCACCTACAATAAACAGAACTATGTTCTTTCCAATTTGGTTTCAACCATCTTTTCCAGTCTTATTTACTTCTATACTCACAAACTTTAGTCTCCAACAAGCATCTACTGGAAAATTACCATATATCAGGGTCATGCTAGGCATTCATGGATACAACTATTAAAATACAGTCTGTACATTTGGAAACCTCAGAGTCCTTCATTAAAGTCTGCAGGATGAATGGATGAATAGATAATACATTTAAAAACAAGTAAAGGAAGACAGCATTTTTCTCTTCCTGGCATCTGCTTCCCATCCTCATACATGTCTGTTAAAATTCTACCCATTCAAAGTCAACCTCAAGCTATAAGCCTCCTTTATTTCTGTGTTGGAATTAATCTCTTTCATCCCTCCTACTCCACTGAGCACTGTCTCTGTACTGCTATTAGAACACTGAATCCAGGTAACCTTGAATGTGCTTATGGATATGTCTGTCTCCCTCACCTGATGGAGAACTCCTGAGTGGTAGGGACCACAAAGATCTTATAATATCAGGAAAGTGTTTTGCATAAAGCAGAAACTAAATAAAAATTCATTGAAAATATCACTTTTTCCTGTTGCTGAATTCGAGGAAGAAATGTTCAGTTGGTGTATAAACATTTAAACATTTATTAATCTACTCTGGGCCAGGCCTTGTGCCATACACTGCAGTTACAAAAATGAAAAAGACACAGTCATGCCCTGAAGTGCTGCCCTGTCCAACAAGGAGACATAAGTGCAAACAATTATAAAAACATGTGATAGGTGCAAAGCCAGAGGTGGGAGCAGGGTGGGAAGAACTTAGAACCCTGCCTGAAGAAGAAAGTAAAGTGGGGTAGGGTCAGAGGGGTGGACCAAAAAGAAGGTGATATCCAGCTAAGACATGAAGGATGAAGAGCAGTTCCCCAGAAGGAGAAGGAATAAAAAGCAAATTCTAATGGTTGTTATTTTCACTTATGGCTGTATCGAAGGAAGAAAAACCATGAATCTATTCAAGCAGATTCATTCCTTCAATATTCAAACACTTATTAAGAACCTACCATGGACCAGGCCCCATGCTAGGCAGATATTTTTAATACAGATTGGCTAAAAAGTATGTAAAGAAGCAGCACATGTCAATTCAACAAAGTATTTTATACAGATTAGCAATAATATAGTCCAGGTAAGTTTTCCTCATGATTTCTTAATTCAAATAAAAAGCCTAGAAAAATAATGCATACAGATAACAAATTCATTAGGCAGTTTCTCTCAAATATCAACTGTCCCAGCAAGCATTTGGCAAGAGCTTCATCACAATCAATTCCTGGTTGAATTCTCTGATGAGGGTTGGAAATGCCATTATTCTGAGTTGCTGATTAAAGAGGGATTCACATGCTTTACACACACCAGATGTGCAGGAGGTGGAGCCCACTGCCTCTGCTGAATAATTAGGAGCCTGATTTACATTCTCTGTCAGAGGCAGGGCCCGTATATTTCTCATTGCAGCTGAGGAAGACTGTGTGTGCGTGCATGTTTAAGTGTTTAGTGCTAACCTCTTGCCAGGCACCATGCTAGACACTTTACATTATCTCCTTTATTTTTTGCTGTGATCTTTTTGAGACAGATATGTTATAGAGATGCCTGTGGAAACAGAAGCATTTATTTTCTTCTATATATTATTATTTATTGTATCAGGGATGTTGCCAGTCAATTCTAGTATAGACAGAGAGAATTGCCTTGAAACATTTTTCTGTTCAGGGAAGTTACTTGAGTAGCCTCTCAAGACAAGTAGGTGCTCTGCACCCCGGGAAGGTTATAACAGCACCTGTTTTGTGCTAGACCATGCTTTTCCTTTTTAATTTCTCTGAATCTGTGGGGTTTATAGGTAGAAAGGGACTGTTCACATTTCAACAGGGCGAAGAAGCTCCAGGAAGCTAAGAAATGGAGATCCAATGGTTCCTTTTGAAAGTCATTATTACTAGAATCTCTTTGAATGAATGTTCTCCCAACTTAAATGTCAGCTCTGCAAGAGCAGGGTTCTCTGTATCTAAAAGACTCGGATAGTGGCTCGCACATAGTAAGTGCTCAATAAATATTTGTTGAGTGACCCTTATCCCCCAATTCTTTAGCGCATACACCTGCCCCCAAGTTTTCCAGATTAAATTTTAACTTTTCCTTTCTTATTAATTCTCCACTAATCTTCCTGAAATAACCAAAAGTTTCAGCAGCTTTTAAAGCCTCTTTATATATTCACATCCAATTGAAAATTATAAAAATATGTACTCAAATAAAAGATAATGTCTGTCCTCCTGTTTGTTATAACCAGAGAATGTGCAATCAGATTATCTAATAATACTTATGTCAAGTTGTTTAAATAAATAAGCTAAAAAAAGAGGTGGTAGTTAATAAGAGCACATTTTAAACCGTTTAATGTGGAATTATATACATTATTAGGCAGGTACTACTTCTGATTTTGTAATAATGTTTCTTCACTGGAATCTATGATAAATTCATTGTTTGAGATGACATCTTTGTGAGGCTATCTAAACTTAAGCCTTTGGATTGATTTAGCTAAATTTCATTCAAAGTGTTTTAAAATAAATTTACCATCATTTTGATGTTTTTAGAAATCTTTATAAAATCAACAGATGAAAGAGTTAGAAGAATTTGATTTTAGCCTGCCAATAATCTATTAGTCTATTATTTGAGAGGAAATCTATGTCATTTCAAGTCAATTCAATAAACACACATCGAAAACCAACTCTATGCCAGGCATTAGGATATGAACAAAATACATAAAGATGTGAAACATGGCACCTGCCCTTAAGAAGCTTATAGTCTAGTGGGGAGAAACAAATGACCAAGGAAATGGATATAATGCAGATAAGAAGTGGAATAAGATCTGAGGGGCTGATTTTTTATAGGATAAAGGTAATGTCTGTACACTGTGAAAGGAAGGAAGATAGAGTATGAATTTACAGATATTGGTAGTTTCTGTTTTGAATTATAGAGAGGTTCATTCCATATTAATCTTCTTTATCCACTTAATACCTTTATTACTCTTATATGTACAGTCAGATTTAGGGCAATAATATTTAGGTTTAGAATAAGCTTAAAGATGAAATGCTGACCTTCAGTCTTGTCTAGAATATTTTTCTGAAGAATTGAGATAAACAATGAAGGATGGACAATTAAATGACCAGTAATGCTGGCTCCTTGGTTGAGGCGTATATGAAATTTACTCTCAAATTATTCTACAAGCTATCATAAATATTTTTAAATTGCTATAATAAAAGATCCTAGGTATGTTTCCATCTTTTGGTCACCTTTGAAAAGAGGCCAAGGAAGAACAATCCTCAGATCAGTTATTCCAAAAATCACTGCTATTCTGGAAGGCAACTCCTCTACACTATTGTCAGGCAAAAGATGTCTGAAAACAATATAAAATTCAGGAAGGTGTCTGCATTTTCCCTGACATTATTCCTTTTCAAATATGTTCCAGTGGCACTACACTAAGCATTTTACCTATGTTATCCCAATTAAGCTCCCCACAATCCTATAAAGAAGTCATAAAACCACTGAATGTAAAGCTCATGTGAGCAGAGACTGCAGTCTCTTTCATTACCAGCTGTCTCCCCAGAGCCTAGAACAGAGCCTGGAATTGCACAGATGCTTGTAAATATTTTTGGAATGAATGAAAGGTTGGCTGACTACATGTTAAAGAACTTTCTCAAGGTCACATAGCTAGTAAAGAGTAGAGTCAGGACTCCAACTCAGATCTGTCCGATTGCAAAGCTTCTGCTTCTAACCCCTACGCTCTATTATCTTCCCTGGCTTGAAACTACATTTTCCATCAATTCCAGACAGCTGAAAAATCAGGATGTCCAATATTTCCAGAGGCACCAACTGGAAAACTGCCCTAGTTAGTCTTGACAAGAAACTAGAGTGGGGATTAAGAGAGCAGTCCTTGTTTTAAGGAGACTCAGAGGTGGGACAGTGATGGCTAATTCACCTCTAGGTACCATCTAAGTTGGCATCTTTGAAGATATGTTGTGAGGTTTAAATAATATTCTATATGTAATAGACTTAGCCTGGTACTTAAGACTTAGTAACAATCAATAGTTGCAAGAACAAAGACAGTAACTGTAAATTTTATAGAACATATGATGCTGTTATCCTAAAATGTTGAAAGTAAATGACAGTAGAGCTTTAGAGTGACTTTAGATGGTAAGACTGATGTCCAGCACAGTTGCCTGACTCATGTAGTAATCATTTGAATGGCTTAATGAGCCTCCTATTTGCCTTCCTATTTTAATATAACAGGAGTACTGAGAAATATATTTTTAAATTGTATTCTGAACACTTTACAAATCCCGACTCCTTTAACCCTCATAACAACCTTTGAGGTAGATATCATGATTACCATCCCCACTTTACACATTATTTTACTTAATAGATTTGAATTCAGCCTGTCAGTAATCTGTTAATCTATGATTTGAGAGGAAATGGAGGCACAAAGAGGCTAAGCAATTTGACAAGATCATGTAGCTGGTGAGTGCCAAGGTGGGATTAAACCCAGACAACATGGCTTCAGGTCTATGCTCTTAACCAGTATACTCTAGAAAAGAGCAGTGTAGTCAGTTCTAACTCCTATGGCCTGCTGGCACCCTGAAGCTGGCTGCCTGTATGAACCTACAGTACAGACTATGTAACAAACAGACAACAAAATACAAATTTATAATACTTCAGAAATTGGTAGTTGTCAATGTCTTTATCATAAGAAGAAGGAAGACATAAAATCAGTGATCTAAGTTTACTTCCATCTTAAAAGCTGGAAAAGGAAGAGCAAATTAAATCTAAAGTAAGTAGAAGAAAATAAGTAACAAAAATAAGGACAGAAATCAATTAAATAAAAAATGGACAAACAGATAAAATCAGTGCAAACATTTATTATTAGAAAAGATGAATAAAATTGGTAATCCCCACCTAGACTGCTGTGAAGATTATAAAATGCGATTTAAAATTTTTGATGCTCTTTCCATCAAGAAATGGACTCTATATTTCTTCCTCTTAATTTGGGCTGGCCTCGGTGACTTGCTTGTAACCAGTAAAATTTGGTGAACATGGCAATGTTTTACTTTCAATCTATGTTAGGAAAAGCCAAACAACTTCCAACTGGTTCTCTTGGGATGCTTGCTCTGGAAGAAGACAGCTGCTAAGCTGGAGAGGCCACATGTAAACACTCCATCAACAGCCCCAGCTGAGCTCCCAGCCAACAGCAGGCACCAGCTGCCAGCCATGTAAGGAAGCCATCTTGGGCATCCTGCCTAGTTGAGTCTCACATGACTGGAGCCCCAACTGACAACTGAATTCAATGACATTAAAGGCTCCAAGTGAGAACTGTTCAGCTGAGCTTTTCTCAAATTTCAGCCCCACAAAACCATGAGTAAATTAAATTTGTGGTCTTAAGCTGCTAATGCTAGGGATAATTTGTTAAGCAGCAGTCGTAATCCAGACACTCATCAAGAATAAAAAGAAAATACAAATTTTTGGTATCAGAAATGAAGGAGGGGACAACACTGTAGATACTATACACATTAAAAGGAGAATAAAGCCATATGATGAACAACTTTATGTCAGTATATTTGGCAATTTAGATTAAGTGGACAAATTCCTCAAAAGACACAAATTACCAAAACTGCGACAAGACATAGAAAATCTTAATAGCCATAAATATGTATGATAAAAGAAGAAATTAAGTTTATATTCAAAAATATTCCCACAAAGGAAACTTTAGCCCCAGATAGTTCAACAGTAAATTTAATCAAATATTTAGGGAAGAAATAATACTAATGTTACATAAACTCAGAAAATATAGGAGCTAGGAATACTTCCAAACTCATTTTAGAAAGCCAGCACAATCTTGACATCAAAACCTGACAAAGACATTACAAGAAAACAAAACTTCAGACCATGAGTCCCTTGTGAATACAGACATGAATATCACTAATAAAGTGTTAGAAAATAATATCCACATATCTATAACATAATCTAAGTGAGTTCGTACCAGGAATGCAAAGTTGGTTCAACATTCAAATATAAATCGACTTCTATATGTGAAAATCAATTGAATTTCTACATAGTAGTCAAAAACAAGTAAAAAATCAAATTAAAACAATTATTCATAATAATATCGAAAAGATTTAATATCTAGAAGACTAATGAAAGGTACAAAAGATGCCTACACTGACAATCACAAACATTGCTAAGAGAAATTAGAGACTTAAATAAACAAACATGTCCGTGAATTACAAGACTCAATATTGTTAAGATAGCCAGTCTTTCATATTAACCTATGGATTCAATTTTTTAAAAAACAGTCAAAATGCCACAGGCTTTTGAAAAGAAATATGACAAGCTAATTCTATGATTTTTATGGAAATGTAAAGGGTTTAGAATAGCTAAACTTTAAAAAGATGAGGGAGTTGGAAGGCTTACACTACTTGATTTCAAGAATTTCATTAAAATACAGTTATTAAACTGTGTGGCACTGGAATAAGGATAGACAGATCAATCCAATGGAACAGAACACATAGTCCAAAAATAGTTCCCCATACAAAGTTAACTGGCTTTTAGCCAAAGCCCAAAGTGTTTTATTCCATACAAATTTCTGTATGGAATAAAACAAACCTCAACCTCTGTTTTACACTTTACACAAAAACTAATTTGGGATGGATCACAGACCAAAATGTAAAAGCTAGAACCACAAAATTTCAAAAAGAAAGCATAGAAGAATATCTCTGAAACCTTGAGGAAGGCAAGATTTCTGTGGACACAAAAAGCACTGACTAATAAGAAAAAATGATACATTGTACTTCATAAATATTAAAAAATCATTGTACTTCATAAATATTAAAATTTTTCTGCTAATCAAAAATCAAGAAAATGAATAGGGAACCCGAAGTCTGGGGAAAAAATTTGCAATGCATACATCTGACAAGGATGTATATCTAAAATGTGTAAACAATTCCTACAAATCAACAATAAAAGGTAACATTTTTAAAAAGAGGCCATAGATTTGCACAGACATTTCACAAAAAGAGATATATAAATGGACAATATACACATGAAAAGGGCTCAACATTATGAGTCATCAGGGAAATGTAAATTGAAATCACAATGAAACCATTTAATACCCACTAGAATGGCTAAAAATCACGAAGATCGATAACACCAACCGTTGGGGCAAAGACATGGACCAACTAGAACTCCCTATGGGAATAAAAACCAGAACCCTTTGCCTCCAAGTGGGTGGAGAGACAGAAGGATTGATTGGAAAGAGACAAATAGAAACTCTCTGGAGTAATGAAAATACGTAGTTTGGTTGGCATATACATGGATGTGTGCATACAATTGTCAAAACTCATCAAACTGAGCACTTAAAATCTGTGCATTTTATTATGTGTAAATTATATCTCAAAGACCTGAATGCATGCACACAGACACATACACACATGAGTGTACTGTGCTTCCCACAGAGAGGCTTCCAAACCAAGTCCCTACATTTGGTAGAGGAAATTCAGTTTAAGACTCCAATTAAATGAAGACAAGAGAATTCATCGTTAAACAGAACTAGATCACACTGACACCCCACCACCTCCATGACCACCCCTGGGGCAAGGTCCTGGGTATCCTGCTACCATGGTGAATGACAGGGCAGGTCTGGGCGGGTACACCGTAGGAGATCTGAAGGCCCAGGGCCAGAAGAGCAGCCAACACGCCTCCAAGCTCTGTTAGGCTCCTGTCTCATTGTGCTGGGTGGGTACGCTGCTTTGGTCTGAGCTCACACATTGATGTTTTTTCTGTCAACTCCCTGAGTGAGTCTGCAGCTAAATAAAAGTCCTTCCTCCCTTTCTCCCACCACCTCACCATAGCATTTTTCTAGTTATTTGCATGAGAAAATGTATTCCATTTCACTATATCCTGGTGGGCAGAATATCTTTTAAACATCCTCTGCATCTTTTCTTCCCCACTTCTCCTTTTACTCTCACAAACGTTTTTGAAACTACTCTATGCTTGTGCTTCTCAAATTTTAATATGCATATGAATCACCGGTAGATCTTATTAAAAGCCAGATTCCGATTCAGTAAATCTAGGATGGGAACTTAGATTCTGCATCTTTAAGAAGTTCCTAGCTGGGCGCGGTGGCTCGCGCCTGTAATCCCAGCACTTTGGGAGGCCAAAGCGGGCGGATCACGAGGTCAAGAGATTGAGACCATCCTGACCAACATGGTGAAACCTGTCTCTACTAAAAATACAAAAATTAGCTGGGCGTGGTGGCGCGCGCCTGTAGTCCCAGCTACTAGCGAGGCTGGGCCAGGAGAATCGCTTGAGCCCGGAAGGCGGAGGTTGTAGTGAAGATCGCACCACTGCACTGCGGCCTGGCGACAGAGGCTGGTGCAGGCACTTGCATGCGGGAGGCAGAAGTTGCAGTGAGCCGAGATAGCGCCAGGCGGTGTCAATGTTGTTGGTCTGAGGATCCCACTTTAAATAAAAGTTTCCCGTAATGTGCTAGCTGTGCAGTAAATGCTAGTCTCTCCTCCTATGTGCCCGTTAGGATAATTCCATGTGGAGTGGGTACCAGAGTAAAATTAAGAAAAAAAGATGCAATTCTGATTCTCTCTCTCACTCTCTTTTCTCCTCTCAAGCCCTGCCCTTAGTGCCTGTCACTACATGTGACAAATGGCTCTGTTTTTCTGAGCTACACACACCCACCTCCAGTGACATCTGCCTTCTTCCGAAGATATCAGAGGAGAGAAGGCAGGATTACTCATGATAGTCACGATTTGCTCTGTCCCACAGTGCAGATGGAAAAACTGAGGCATGAAGAGGCCGCTTCATAAACTATGTTGAACTAGAAATGAATACAGCATGAAGCATCACCATTTACCACCAGGATAGTATGACATTAGAATCTAGGTATGTTGGCCAGGGTATTTTTTAGTGGCTTATGCATTGGAATTAGGATGAAGCTGGAAACCATCATTCTGAGCAAACTATCGCAAGGACAGAAAACCAAACACCGCATGTTCTCACTCATAGGTGGGAATTGAACAATGATAAGACTTGGACACAGGGTGGGGAACATCACACACCAGGGCCTGTCCTGGGGTGGGGGAAGGGGGGAGGGATAGCATTAGGAGAAATACCTAATGTAAAAGGCGAGTTAAGGGGGGCAGCACGCCAACATGGCACATGTATACATATGTAACGAACCTGCACTTTGTGCTCATGTACCCTAGAACTTAAAGTAAAATAAAAATAAATAAAAAATAAATAAAATTTAAAAAAAGAAACTGAAAAAAAAAAAGAAAATCTCCTTCCATGCTGTTCTTAGATTAAACATTAGATCAATATAGCATTCCAGGAGGGCTCTGTGTAACAAAGCAAATAATTTCTTTTCGCCTCACCTCTTTCAGGTCACCTTTTCTAACTGATACTTATTGTTTTCATTCAACAGCCATTTACTGAGCACCTACTAGTTGGCTTTCCATACTCATTGAGAATACCAAGAAGAATAAGCTCATTTCTTATGCTGAAGAGGAGACAGACATGCAAATCAAGAAGTGGTGAGCTGAAGGAAGAGAAATTTATCAGGCAACTGAATGAGAATATTTATCAGGCCTACAACGTACCAGAGACCATGCAGCCTTTTTCCAGTGGCCTTAGTAGCAGTGGGCACAGAATGCTTAGTTCTGCCGGGGAAAATGAATGACTCTAGAGCAGTTTCATTTGAGCTCAGCCTTGAGAAATGAGGGAGAATTCACAGGGGGAGAAAGCACAGAGGGCATTCTGGACAGCGGGAGGGCAGCAAGAGCAATGTTATGAGATGATAGGGCATGCTGTCCCCAGCATATGAGCCATGCAGGGATTCAGAGCTAGCCCTTCCACTGTGGTCCTTACAGTCTTTGCAGTGTCTTCATGTGCATTATCTTACTTGATCTGAGAAGTGTGCATCTTTCTCCCAAGCCAGAGCACTAATTACCTGTCAGCTAGAATGAGGGAGGCTTAGGACACACCTAGGAAGGGCTAAAGAGAATGTTACAGCCATTCTGAGAAAGTGATTAAAATTTCCAATGTGTTCTACAAGTCTTCTGCTTCTCCGTAATTTTCAATGCAATTATTATCTCATTCTTTGGGAGCAAGCAGCTCTCCAGAGAGGCTTCCTCAGCAGCCCTGACATTTGTGAATCAGAGCCTGCACTCCCAGCTGTCTGAGATGGCCTGACAGCCCCCTCTGCATTTCCAGCAGTGACCTGGCTGCCTCGCCTGAGGAGGCCTTAGTTTTGAACCTGAGTCCCCAGCACTCCTCCGCTGGAGTTCTCAAATACCTTTGCTGTGGCACACACCCACGCTCAGTTGGATGTCCCTGGGCCCCTCTAATGCCTGAGGAAAGCAGAATTTTCAAGAACAAATGCAAACAAAGAAAAAAAGGATAAAGATAAATACAGCAGCTCCAATACAATGATTCTCAAACTTCCATGTGCATTTCATGCCCTCAAAGGGCTCATTAAAAATTCCTGTGGCCTGTTCTCAACCTGGAGAATCAGATTCAGGGACTCTAAAGCCAACTCTGAAAATTTACTTTAAAAAAAAAAAACCAATCTAGGTGACTGGGATATAGACCAAAGTTTGAGAATATCAGCATTTGGGTTTGGAAATCTCTATAATCAGAGCATATTGACTTCCTCCATGCACTCCGTGGGTTTCCCCATTCACAGGTCTGGGTTCAGTAGCTGATAATTTCTGATATGAGACAAAAGGTGAAGTTGGAGGTTGTAGATTAAACTTCATAAAGTTTCCCAGCCCACACCACCCTACACAGATGGAAGAGAGAATAATCTTTGCTATTATTTCTCCAACCCCACTTGCATGTCATAACCTTCTTTTCTTGCCCTATCTTTCTTAGGACACATTACAAAATGACCCAGGAGACACTGAGGGCCTCTGCTCCATCCTTGCCAATTCTGAGAATAGTGCAGCCACAAGGAGGATTGTTCTGAGGCTTCTCACAGGGCACAAAACCCCCACGCACTGTCCTCTGGCCACCTACAGCCTCTCTGACTCTGCACTGCCTCTGACCCTGCACTGCCTGCTTGAGCAAAGCAGTCTTTGAAAACCATTTCCAGCCTGGCTAATGATGCAGTGCTTTGAAAAGTGCCACCAGGATGAAAAACAGCTCACAAATGGGGACTCCTCGTTATTTTACCAGCACAGCCGGCAAGAAGCTCCTGCCAAGCAAGATCAAACTTCTCAGGAATGTTTTGAAAAGCTGGTGGAAACAAGGGCCTCTGTCACATTTCTGTCACACCTCACCCCAGCATGTGGGGAAAGCTCTCTTGGAACGAATGTTAGTCGGTCTCAGAAACACACAAAATTGATGTCTCCAGCAGCATTGCCATTTCCACTGCAGACTTAAAGCTATATCTTTCTGGATTCTAATGCAGAAAGGGAACAGTTAGAGAATCCATCCAGGCTTTTTCTAAAATGAGAGCCGGTTAAAGATGCTGTTTAAAAAGGTGCCTCTCAAAGCTTCCCTCCTGACCTTCCATACCAAAAGCCTGAGCTTAATTACCTACATAATTTTCCTGGCTCCTGTGCTGTGGTCCAGGGGCCCTCTCTGTCCACCGGAAGCTAAGCCATCTGTCGGACATCTCTCTCTGGACTCCCCAGGGTTCCCTCTCACCTACACATCTCGATTAGCAGATGACAGTTCTGCTATAATGTTTATTTTACCTCTAACAGATTTTCAGCTAAGTAGGTGAAGGGGCGGAGGTTCCCTGCCCAGAGCCAGTTCTGGGCTTCCTTTGGCTCCTCCTTCCAGTCTGCTAGGAAAAGGAACCTGGAGGCCTTTAGGAGGGAGGAGAGATCACATTTTCTTTGCCATTGAGTAGTGAAGGTCAGGCCCTCCTTGCCAGCCACAAAGCAGAGAATTGTTTGTTTATTTCTCCGAGTAGCACTGTTCTGTCTCTGTGAGCAGCAGACAAAACCAGAAAAGGGAATTCATTCTGTGGAGCAGACCAAAGGCAGGGGGAAAACTTGTCCTTTGGAAAGATAAAAGCAAATTCAATGAAGTGATCATCTTAAATCTTCTAGTTATTCTTCCCCTCCACCACCTTTCACCCCCAATCTGAGTTTTCCTGGGATTTAGGTAAGAACCCATGAGAGAAATGAGATATGGCAGATAGAGATGAGAGCAGCAATAGGAACTTGGGGTGGAAAGGTGTGCATTCATCTATAGATCACTCAGCCAAATAAGCCACTTAGAGAGTCCAGGCCCACATTAATTCCTTTGATGACTCAGTGACGAGCAGAATGCATTTGCAATACAGTAAGGCCAGAAACCTGGAAGAAGCATCCTCCATTCCTCCCTCTCTCTTATCCTCCACACCTAAGCCATGATCAATCTTACAGAGTCTGACTCCTAAATATCTGTCAAACTCACGCTCTTCTCTCCATTTCCATGGCTACTGCTGTAATTCAGCACCATCGATTCCTGCCCAAATGATTGACACAGCTTTCTAATTAGGCTGTTTGCCCCTTCCAATCTACTCCCCACATAGCACCCAGAGAAACCTTTCACAGGTGCAAATCTTATGCCATTTTCTGGATAAAACCCTTCAAGATCTTATTTCCTCCTCTCTTCTCCAGGCCCTAGTTTTATGCTGAAAGCCCCAAGTCCTGCATAATTTGGTTCCTGCTTATTTCTCCAGCCTTAACCCTTACAGCTTCCTGCTTCAAACAGTAGGCTCTAGCAAACTTAGCTTTTCTTTTGCAAAATAGACCAAATGCTCTTTCACTTTTGTGCCATCATGCATGCTGTTTTCTCTGCTTGGAACAATCTTTTTGATACTCCCAGCCTTCCTTAATTAGCTATTTCCTACCTGAACTTTAGGTCTCAACTAAAATGTCACTTCCTCTAGAAAGACTTTACTAGCCCTCAAGGCAGTTGAGCTAGAAGTTTCCTCTGTGCTCCCATAGCAACTTATGGATTCACACGGCCCAGTTGTAAGAGCCAAGAGAGCAAGAGCCACAGCTATGAGGGCCACCATTGTATTCCTGGCCCTGGAGAAGAAAACAAAATAGGCTCAATAAAAAATTTTAAAATAAATAAATGGTATCTCTAATTTTTTCCTACTTAATGTTCAAGAGACTACAACTATAGTTTACTTCTGCCTCATAGTTATAAAATTTTTCCTTTTACTTCCCGAGATTCAGGATAAACTAGCGTCTTTCCATCTTTCTTCTTCTTTTCCTCAAAGCCTGTCAAAGGGATTGCCCTCATTATATTTTGGTGGAAATTTTTGTTAGTGCCTTGCTTATACTTATTTACCCCTTGGTATTGGACTGTACCCAGTCCAATTCAATCTCCTGAAATCAATATATAATATCTCAAAACCATGGAATCCTTATCTGCACCACTTATTTGACAATCAGTCAAGTGCTGCCTTGCAATCGCTCTCGTACTTTTGTCTTAAACTATTATTATGACTAAGCACTTCACAGCTTTATAGCATGTCTCCCAACAATACTGTAAGTCCCTCTAGGATTTCATCATTTTGGGGTCCCTTTATAGCTTTCCCACAGGAAAGCAAATAACTAAGAAGGTAAAAAAAATCATTAAAAATTGAATGCATAAATGTGTGTTAGGCATTCAATACAGATTGGATCTGTTTAATTTTTGGCCAGTGTTGAAAGAGTCCATAGCATTTTGCCTGAATTTAAGAATGACCAAGGCAAATAAATAAAATTTTAAACAAAATTATTTAAGGCAGGGGCAAGACTTATCTGGAGTGTCAATAAATTTAAGGCAGGGAGCAAGACTTATCTGGAGTAAATTAAGATCACCAAATAGAATAAAGGCACATACAGATAATTTGGCTGTATCTGTTGGTACCCATGAAAAGAAGAGCACTTATATAACTGGGAGGAAATGATTTCTATCAAGACACTGCCCTGAAAGTGTCTCAAAAACCCAAAGATTCTACGAGCACTGCTAAGAGGAGCACCTAAGATTCTGAGGCCTTTGTCTTAATTTTACCTTGATCTCTATAGAGCAATGAAATGAGCTCTGGATCAGAGATCAAGAGACCTTGATTTTCTTTTCAAGACCAGTTATAACTTACATGTTTTTCTTGGCCAAGACACTAACGTCTCTGAACCTTAGTTTTTCTCATATAATTGAGATTCTACTTCTTAATTCACCTACCTCATATGCATGTTGTAATCAAATTGAGTTGTATATGATGACACTTCAGAAGAGTTTAAAGAAAAACACACTTGTGAAATATTAACATTATTATCTCAGGCTGTTTGGCTAATTTTCTTGAGAATTGGCTTTTCACCTCACTGGCCATCCTCAATGTGATGATAGGGCAGTGATTGGTTGAGCATTTAATAAAACTTTGATGTTATTTACCCTTGTAAAATCATGTCATTTCTTGCTGAAAAAGGCAGTGTAGAGAAAAATAGAATTCTACCCAGTCAATGTTTTTTTTCTCTCCAGACCTTTTCCAAGGATAATCAAGTGTTAACTTCTTATTTTTATATCCAAAAAAATTATTAAGTATCCACCATGTGCCAATATTGTACTAGGTATTGAGATAAGATGAATAAATGTATTATGTGTTAGGAAAGACCCATAAACATGTCAACCTAATTCCTTAAAATGCAAATCACGGTCAAAACAGCAAGGCAGCTGCAAGATGCAAGGAAGAGAGAACAGAACATAGTTTTGAAGTCAGGCCTGATATTTACAGTCCCAATACTATGTGATAAGAACCATTCTTCAGATATGCATATGCAGTGTCAGCGGCATAAAGGAGGATGGAGAGCTGAGGCTGTCTTCCCAGGCCTATCTCAGACATCCATGTCAACCAGGCACACATCTAGGACATTTAGTATTGAACACCACCACCTCCTCCCCCATAAAAGTGGGGTGGAGGGCTATATCCCATCACTCCCCCAACCACAACAACATCTCAGGAAAACCGGCACTTCAAGGGCAGGGACCAACGCGATGGGCTTTGTTTCAGCACCAAGGACAGAGACACGCAGCAGCAGCTTCTCTAGTTTTAGAAGTTGACCACGGCTTGGGGACGGAATTTAAGATTGCATCAGTAAGTTTAACCTAAAGTTTATTTTACTGGTGTTTGTTTAGTCATATACCTTAAGCAGTGTGTCTCACGCTGACATTCTGCGGTCCTACTGACCTGGATCTTGAGATGCAGGAACTATGTGCTTAGTGGCCATTGCCCATGTTAGGACTGACATTCTTGTTCATCTACAGCCCAGTTGCCTGGCTGTATGCCTACTGTTTAAAACCCATCTGTCTGCATCAAAAATTGCCTCTCCATGTCATGGTTTATTACTTTCTCTTCCACTTACAAATCACATTTACAGGGGTTAATCCAGATGAATCTTATCAATACCGTAGAACTCAATTCATCCCTGAGGCCAGGGGATAGATTCGATACCTGGATTATGGTTTACACTGGCCTGACTAGGCAAGGATTAATTAAATCAACAGAGAAAGGTGAGAGAGGGCACAGGGTTGGTGAGCACTCTTCCGTGAGAGGTTTTGTTATAGACTGTGAATTCCTTGAGGACAGGGACTAAATATTTTTACTACTCTGTTTCAAGTATCTGGCACATTGTATCATCATTTAAGTGCCTGTTAAATAAACGAATAGTTATAACATGTACCTTGGAACCTCCATATAATTTTTTTTTTTTTTTTGAGATGGAGTCTTGCTCTGTCGCCCAGGCTGGAGTGCAGTGGCATGATCTCGGCTCACTGCAACTTCTGCCTCCCAGGTTCAAGCGATTCTCCTGCCTCAGCCTCCAGAGTAGCTGGAAATACAGGTATGCACCACCACTCCCGCCTATTTTTTTTTTTTTTTTTTGTATTTTTAGCAGAGATGGGGTTTCACCTTGTTGGCCAGGCTGATATCGACCCCATATAATTTTGATTTGATTAGAATCTGATGTGGCCCTACCTTCAAGGAACTCACAATCTAATAAGATAAACAGAGTCATAATTACATAAGTATAAAACAAGATGGTTGTAAAATACAGAGCTATGCACAGACTGTATGGAGTATAGTATACACCCAGAATGGGGGTACCAGACAAAGGAGAATTTAAATTAAGTGGGAAAAACACTGACTT
This sequence comes from Homo sapiens, assembly GCF_000001405.40. NCBI lineage: Eukaryota > Metazoa > Chordata > Mammalia > Primates > Hominidae > Homo > Homo sapiens. Next base: position 110,745,737 of record NC_000001.11, on the reverse strand, counting down.
TGAAATCAGGCAAATTCCTACCTATGTGGCTTAGAAAAAGTAAATTAATTTCTGGTTTCCATTATATTTAAGATGGTCATTTACCATCATCTTGATGGTCAAACCATTTCCTAATCCCTGTGTTCCCAAAGGAATCAGATCACTTCATTCTCTTCAAACCAATAAAACTGACAAGTGTTTTCTGGTTCCCAGCTTATATCTGCCCTGGGTCACTGGGATTTAACCAGATGAAGAAGAGTCTCTAACTCAGCTTCTTCATCATGCCCCATGACTGCTGTTCTGATTATTGACTCTGCTTCCTGGTATGGTCCAGGAGTCAGGAAACTTGCATTCTGCTTCTGGTTCTACCAATGCTTGCTGTGAACCCTTGGACAATGCAGTCTCCACTCCACTTTCCTGCGTATTCTCCATTACTCCTTAGGTGCTCTGGGAACCATACAAACCAGACCAGCTATTCTTTGTTCATGCCCCATGCTTTCTCACCTTCGTGTCCTACTCATGTGGTTCTTCCCAACTGTGGAAGACTTCCCCATCCCAAGCCCCACATGTGGGAATCCAAACCATTCTTCAAAACTCATTGAAAACAGCCTTAAATTTTCCTCACTCACCTCCCTTGGCCCTTACTCTTTGCTCCTCTCTGCTCCATAACATAGTGATTCTCAATCCTGGCTGCCCATCAGAATTTCATGAGGAAATTATAAAAACACCAGTGCCTGGATCTCATCTCATACTAGTTAAATCTGCACCTCTGGTAGTGGGATCAGTATTTCGCTGAAGCATCCCAAGGTGATTCTAACGGGCAGCCAGGGCTGAAGACTTTGCTGCACTTCTTACTATAGCTGCATTTCTCCTATAGTGTTTGACAGCAAATCATACGCTCCTTCATGACAGAGACCTCTCACTCATTTCCTGATTCTACAACAGTGCCTTGCCCAGAGTGAGTGCTTAATAAGTAATTGTTGAATTGAATTATACTGGGGTGAGTTGATCACCATTGGAATAAAAACATTTCAGCACGGGGCCCAAATCAGCAACTAATCAGCAAGACAGATATGGACAACCCACTTCTTTTGTCCTCATGGCAAGGAGGAGAACACTTGGCTTTCTTTCCCCACAACCACTTTTCTCTCTTCCTCTCTGCTCACTTATACCCCTTGCTTCTCTCCAAAAGGAGGGAAAGCTATTATCCTAATCCATCAAGTAGAATGCTTTTTCCCATGGGCAGAGACACTGTGTGTTTAAAGGCCAAACCCCATGTTCTGCTCCCCTTTTGCTTGCCTTTCCTTCATGCACCTAGGAGACATGTTGCAGCCAGATCTGGCACCTTAGGCAGGTCAGATGTCCTCTCTCTTTCTTTCTCTCTCTCTCTCTCTCTCTCTCCACCTTCTGACATTTCTTTCTTTAAAGAGCTGGCCAGAGGGTAGAGCTATCCTAAGGTTTAGATTCACAGTTTAAGAAGATATTGGAGGCTCATTTGAGGCAAAAGTCACATTCTCGATTTCAGATTTACAAGAAAGACCCATACTGACTCTAACCATCTTGTGACACTTTGAGTCCTATATGGCTACTATTTCTTGGGTATTTCTCCCTGCATACTGTCAGAGGGAAAGATGATTGGAAAAACTCACAATGCTCAGCACAAGAATGCTTACATATTACTATGATGTGTTAATTTCCTAGGGCTACCATAAGAAAGTACCACAAACTGGGTGCCTTAGAACAACATAAATCTATTGTCTCATAGTTCTGGAGGCTAGAAGTCTGAAATCAATGTGTTGACAGAGCCATGCTCTCTTTGAAGGTGCTAGGGAAGGATCTGTATCAGGCTTCTCTCTTAGCTTCTGGTAGCCTCAGGCATTCCTTGGCTTGTAAATGCATCATTCTGGTTCTCCTCCATCTGCACATGGTGTGCTCCCTTTGTCTTCACATCCCCTTCCTTCTGTGCATGTCTCTCTCTGTCCAAATCTCTCATTTTCATAAAATACCACTCATGGTGGACTAGGATCCACTATCATAACCTCATTTTAACTTGATTGCCTCTGTTGAGATCCTGTTAACAAATAAGATCACAATCTGAGGAAGGTACTGGCATATTTTTTGTGGAGGAACACAATTCAACCCATAACAAAGGCCAGTTACCCACTTCCTTATATTAGTACAGAAATGACCAAAATACCTTTAGTAATTGGCTGAAGAATGATTTCAAAGCTCTTTCCTTCTATGCATTTGTGTCATTGTTAGTAAACATGCATTTGCTTCTTTCTCTTGTATCCATCCACAGTGTTCCTGAATATCAAAATCTCAGGGTTCCTCAGAGACCATCTGTCCCAACCACCTATCCCTGGCTGGTTTATCTCCCTCATGACATCCAAGGCCTGTAGCCAGGCTCTGCATACACTCCCATACCAGGAAACTTGATGAGGCCTATTCTTTCTATAATCAGATCTGCCCACGAAAAAGTTATCCAAATACTGAATCAAATTCTCCCAAATTTTCCCCCAAAGACTCAGGTGGAACTAGTCTTGGGTTACACAGAAGGCCTTCAGGTATTTCAAGGGCAGGAGGGTGGCCACATGTCCTATATGTTCTCTACCTAGTTTCCTCTGCTCAGCCTAGCACATGAGACCTGAAACATGACCTGTGCATCGTGGAGTGGAACTGAAACCACATTTACAAAATTATAACTGAGGAAATTATGACAGTGAAAGAAATCAGACCTAACAAGCTCTATCTTCTAACTGTTAAGCTGTCCTTGCTCATTCCTGGGTGTAGACGGAACTAACTTTGGGGATGGATTCAGTTCACAGCTTGACTTAGAAACAACATTGATAACAGCCCTTTCCTGAAAAGGCCATCTTCTTGCCTCAGGACCAGTCTGCCTTTGCAGGACTAACAAATTAGCTACAAGATTAGAAATTACAGTTTACGGGTTGTGCAGCCCCTGGCTGCAAGACTCTGAACCTCCCCAAGTTGCTTTTGGGAATAACATCACTATTGTAAAACCTAAGATCAGTGCTTGAGATATTTTGCAGACCCTACATTCATGGATCAGCTGACACCACCCAGAACGGTAATCTGGCTCAACCAGTTCTGCCAACCCACTCAGGAACAGAAGACACCAAGAAAAACTCACTTCAACCCCCTATGATTCCATCTCCAACCTGACCAATCAGCATTCCCCACTTCCCAAGCCTCTGCCCGCCAAATTATCTTTAAAAACTCTGATCCCCGAAAGCTCAGGGAGACTGATTTGAGTAATAATAAAATTCACATCTCCCACACAGCCGGTTCTGCATGAATTACTCTTTCTTCATTGCAATTCCCCTGTCTTGATAAATTGGTTCTGTCTAGGTAGCTGGCAAGGTGAACCCATTGGGCAGTTACAGAACAGCCACATCATATCAACAAGTTTCTGTGAACATAGTCTGAGATTATATTACTCTCACTTGCCTAGTCTGACTTTTCTTCTGCACAGTTATCTTCTCTTCCTATTTGAGTACACTTGATTAATTATGTATCATGATTAATTCATGTACTCAACATTTACTGATCTCAATAAGAACTTTTTTAGGTGCTTTTATTATCTTAATACTCACAGAAGGTCTGGGAGGTAGACTCATTTTTTGGTCCTACTTTACTGATCGGAAAACTGAGGTATAGGAAGACTGTTCGGTCACAGACCTGTGGGCAGCAGAGCCCAGCTTTGAGTCTATGTCTTTTGATTCCAAGCCAAGTGCACTTTTCATTACATTGTGCCACTACATCAAAATTACTCTTTATAAACCCTCAGTTTGTTATGTCAATGAATTGGGCGCAGTACAAAGCAAGCAGCCAGCCCTATTACACTTTTGGCTATGTCTACAATGCATAAGTGAGAAATACAGTCAACACTTGGACACAGGAAGGGGAACATCACACACTGGGGCCTGTCATGGGGTGGGGGGAGGGGGGAGGGATAGCATTAGGAGATATACCTAATGTAAATGATGATTTAATGGGTGCAGCACACCAACATGGCACATGTATACATATGTAACAAACCTGCACGTTGTGCACATGTACCCTAGAACTTAAAGTATAATAATAAAAAAAAAGGTTAAAAAAAAAAAAAGATTCAGGGCCCAAGTGATCTTTACCTTTCAGCTATATCTTGTCCATTGTTTAGATTCAGTGAATAGTGTTCACATCTGGAAACTTAAGATGCTAGGCCACTTTGCAGTGATATGAGCATTTACAGGTCATCCATTCCTTCTATGTTTGTGTTTCATTTGTATACTTAACTCCATGAGTTGGTAGGATGTGTGAATTTTAAGCCCTTGGGATGCAGATACAAGACATAAATGATATATTACTACCATTAATTGTTTAAAATATGGCGGGCACTATACTCAATCCTTTTCAATTAAAAACTTATTTAATCCAGCCAGGCGTGGTGGCTCACGCCTGTAATCCCAGCACTTTGGGAGGCCGAGGTGGGCGGATCACCTGAGGTCGGGAGTTCGAGACCAGCCTGACCCACATGGAGCAACCTCATCTCTACTAAAAATACAAAATTAGCTGGGGTTTGGTGGCACATGCCTATAATCCCAGCTACTTGGGAAGGCTGAGGCAGGAGAATTGCTTAAATCTGGGAGGCTGAGATTGCGGTGAGCTGAGACTGTGCCGTTGCAATCCAGCCTGGGCAATAAGAGCAAAACTCCGTCTCAAAAAAAAAAAATAAATAAACAAAATAAACAAACAAACAAAAAAAGCTTATTTAATCCTTACAACAACCCTATGAAATGGTACTGTTATCATTCTTATTGAAACTATGAGGAAACTGGGACTTAATGGGGCTAAACAAATGTCATGTCCTAAACTGATTAAATTATGGCACAGCAGTATCCCATATGCTAGTTAAAAAGAAAAAATATCTTCATGTACTGACACTGAAAGATATATAGGATATAGTAATAGGAAAAAGCAAGTTCAGTAATAATAGTAATAGTAACAATAGACAGCATATGACCACTTGAGAAAAATGTTTTTTATTTTACAGTATTCATTTTTTTAAATACTGGATGAATATATATATCAAGCCATCAACAGTGGCTATCCTGGGATGGGAATAGAAATTTTAGGTAGGGAACTTTTTAACTTTTATGTTAAATATTTTTATAATTTTTTAATATTTTCATTCTAAGGTGTGTTACATTTTTAGTCAAAAAAGGAGTTTTAAATTTATTTTTTAATTTACCTAAAAAATTTTAATTGACACATTGTAATTGTGCATATTTATGGGGTAAAATTTGATGTTTTTATATTATACATATATATGTTGTATGATGATCAAATTAGGGTATTTAACATGATAAATCACATATTTATCATTTCTTTGTGGTGAGGATATTCAAAAACCTGTCTTCTATTTGTAATATATCATGTCTCACTGTTAATCATTGTCACCCTACTGTGCACTAGAACCTCAGAACTTATTCCTCCCATCTAATTGTGACTTTGTGCCTGTTGATCAATCTTTCCCTATGTACTCCTCTTTTATCCCCTCCCCAGTCTCTGGTAACCACTGTTCTACTCTCAGTCAGAGAAAATGTGGTCTACATAAGTTGCCCACACAGCTAGCTAAGTGGCACAGTGAAACTTAGGGAAACTTAGGTTTGACTGTCTTTAAAATCTGAACTCCTAATCATAATGCTGCATTGATAAATGACATTAAATAACAGCATTAATGCCCCATTTTTCTGAGTTGAGTCAACTTCCCCCTGGAAAAGAACAAGAAGTCACGAATTAATTCCTCTCCACGATGATCTATTTAGGACAAGCAGGCCTGGGACAGGGCAATGTGGAAGTCTTCTGGAAGTGTGTGCAGGTGTCTGGGTTCAGGGGATGGTCATAATCAGGGTTCTAGATCCCCACACAGACTATAATCTTTCATTCTTCCCTCTCCTCCCAATACTGGGAAAGATCCAAGAAAAAAAAATTAATGAAAGCAGGTCAGGTTCCTTTGGGTCATTTAACATAAATCAGCCTCAAGGAAGAACTTTCCCAGACTGAAGAAAAAATATAAATGCCACTGAAAAATTTATAGGTCAAAATTTCCATCTTCATTGAGTCTCCCCCAGGCCTTTTGTGATAAAAATAAGTGCAACTGGTTCCCTGTAACCCAGAGGGTCCCATGCTTCTGCAGATGCCTGTAGTACCCTCTGCAGGGAAATGGCTCTTCTGGGGTCCTCTCCACAAAAGTCTAATAGTCTTCAGCTGGCTGAACCTTCCCATGCCTCACTACTCAAAGTGAGGACCATGAGCCAGCAATGTCCATATCATCTAGAATGAGTTCAGAGCCAAATCCAGCCTGCCATAGCCACTGCCCATTTTTGTCAGTAAAATTTTATTGGAACACAGCCACATCCATTGGTTTATGAATTATCAAGGGCTGCTTTTGCCCTAGCGTAACAGAGTTCAGTAGTCGCAACAGGGACCATATGACTTACAAAGCTGAAAATATTTGCTATTTGGCCCTTTACAGAAATTTTTTTTTTTTTGCCAACTTCTGGCTAGGAGCTCATTAAAAGTGCATAGTCTCAGACCCCACTCAGATCCCTAAGGAATTCCTACACACATGGAAGTTTGAAAAGCAATAGCACGGCCAGGCGCAGTGGCTCGCGCCTGTAATCCCAGCACTTTGGGAGGCAGAGGCAGGCAGATCATGAGTTCAGGAGATCGAGACCATCCTGGCTAACATGGTGAAACCCCATCTCTATTAAAAATAAAAAAAAATTAGCCGGGCGTGGTGGCGGGCGCCTGTAGTCCCAGCTACTCAGGAGGCTGAGGCCAGAGAATGGTGTGAACCCGGGAGGTGGAGCTTGCAGTAAGCCAAGATTGCGCCACTGCACTCCAGCCTGGGTGACAGAGCGAGATTCCGTCTCAAAAAAAAGAAAAGAAAAGCAATAGCACTGCTCTAGCAGTCATTAGGCCATTGCTCCGTTTCCATGTAATCCTTAGGTGGTGACAGGCCTGAAAATGATGTTCTGAGAGTTTAGAGGTCTAACAGCACCCTGAAGCCAGAAGACAAGGAAATGTATATATCAATAAAAATTGGGTGGTGAGAACAGACCAAAGGCTCCAAAGGCTGCAGAGTTGAGCTGACCTTTAAGAATGATTAAGATCCTCAAAAACCAAAAGGACTTGGACAATGAAGAACCCGTCCCAATTCCCCCACCCCCCCCACCCCCACCCTGCAACCCCTCGCCCCCTTAACTGACCTCACAGCTTCTGCTTCTGGTTACAATTGTTCTCTGGGAAGAAAACTTGCCTTAGAAAGAGGCTTTATGTCACCCTTCAGAGGCTGCCAGGTGCCCTCTGGGCAGGATGAGGCAAGCCCAACCCTAAGAGAGCACAAACAGGCTTCCAACAGCATCCTTAGAGATAAGGGAGTTGGGTTTGGAGTCAGTTCCATGCAGCGACTCAGAGTCAAGGGGTAGAAACATGCTTGGGGTCAAAGAGGCCCATTGCATTCTCTCTTCCACTTAGCTCCTTTCTGCCCACTGGCACCTGGCCCTGTGGGGAAACTGCAGAGCAGAGGTAAAGACAAGGCCTCACCTGCAGGAGATGGGAGGGAGGCTCTGCTGGGGGATGTGTCCCAGGATCCCCTGGCCAAGCTTCTCTAAGCAGCGCCCACTTGGACAGCCATGCTGTCAGTGACCCCTCATGGGTGAACTTTCTTTGTCCTGCTCAGGGAACTCTTAGGAGCCTTTACCGAAGGCAGGTTTTCTTCCTCCAAAGCAATCATATCATACTGAAAAATATTAGGAGTTTTGTGGTCAGTTAAAAGGCAGTTTCCTAAGTTCTTCAGACTCTGCCTGTGGCCCGTATTCCTATTCCTGGACAGAGCCCCAGCTAACCAGACCCCATGTGCCCATCCCCAACCCCCTCACTATTTGCCTCTGCACTCCTTGGATATCCAATTCTGGCCTAGCTTTACCCTTCAGTTCAGATGTGCCCCAATGCCTGCCTGGGCATGAGGTGCTGTTTCTGACAATGATGTTGCCTCCTGCCCTGGCAATGCACCCTCACTGGGCCTAGGGTAATTCCCCTGATGGCTTGGCAGGCCCCAAAGAACCCCTCACTTCACCGTCTGGCACCAGCTTCCCAATATTCCCACCACCCCTAGAAGACAGAGAAACATGGTTGGAGGTATTTTCAGGTAGTTATCAACAAGGCACAACCTCTATCTCCATTTCTCATCTTCAAAACCAGACCATCTTGTTCTGTATCCTCTCTTCTCCCCTGTGGAATTTCCCAGTGCTGGCCCAGCCAGGGGGAATGTAAGAAACAGCACGAGTCTCTTCCCAGGAACCTGGATGCCCTTTAAAGGCATCAGAGAGACACGTGCAGAACTCCAGGGAGGGTTTATCATGAAGTGGCAAAATTATCCTGTTCTTTCAGATATTAGAGAAATGAATGGCCTCTTAGCCAGGACCTCCTCATGACTCCACGTCTCTGGCATCTGCTGGTCATTTTGTGGGTTGGGAGCAGGGCATTTCCTTTAATTTGGCCATTTCTGCTTTTCTCTGGCCTCTCACCAATTATCCCAACTCTAGAAAATTGCACTCCTGGTCAGCTTTTATGTGTGCTCATCTGCGTGCATCCTGCTAATCACCTGCAGCAAATGCTCTTGTGTAAGCATTTTGGCCAGCTGTCTACCATATCGTTGGCCTTCTGCCTACTTTTGAGTAATTTTTAAATCTTGTATTCTTGCAGTAACTATTCTCACAGGTCCTCCTTTCTCCTCTACATCCTCTACCCATCCCTGTTAAGACCCTCAGATGGAGTCCAGGAGCCTGAAGTGAGCCTGACCGGATGCTGAGATTCCAGTGGAAAGCCAAGCATAGTGAGGACTGCAGGGCAGCGGGACAAGGAGAGAATGGGCCAGCACCTCTTCTCTTAGCTCTAAGCACCTCTTCTCTTAGCTCTAAGCATCCCTGATTTATAGATAACAAAAACCATCTGAGGTAAAGAGCTGGCTTTGCACTTATTCTTTGTCTGATTCTGGGGATGTTAATTACTCTCTCTATTACCCTCTGGAAAATGGTAAGAATAGCATCCACCTTGTAGGATTGCTGTGAGAATTGAGTAAGGATGCATGTTAAGACAAGGATGAGAATGAGGAGGGTCAGACTTCTTTTGTCCTGAGGATTGTCTACTTTTCTCCAGTGCTTTCTCAGCATTTAGTCTTCCCAAAGAACAAAATAGTTGAATCTATTTATACCAGGGCCCTCACTCTTCCCAGATTAACTCCTGGGTCAGTTAAGGCATGGGAAGCAAGGAAGGTGTGAGGAGCAGGAAGTGGTTGGAAGTGAGTAATGCTAAGAGCAATCATTTGTTGATGCCTATTATTTATCCTCAAAGAAACCCCAACAGTAAAAATGTTGAGGATGCTGAGCTTCTGCTAAGTGAGTAACTTTTCCCAAATCACACAGCCTGACCCCAAAGCCCATGTTTGTTAAAATTATATTTTGGTGCATCATAAGAGGATGGGGAAATAAGTTAGAAAGGGGCTTCGGAGGATATGGGGGTGTGCATGGGGAAAAAAATGAATGAGTAAGGTAGAAAAGTTCAGGAAGAGCTTTAGGGAGGAAAGAGTATGGGGAATGAGGCTCTAAAGCTATAGGAAAGCAGGGAGGCCGGTGCACATGTGCACCCTCACACATAGGTTCAGTGCACCCCCAGGCTCCCCAGCATGGCTGCAGCAAGATTGCCTATGGCTGCCGTTAATGCAGCAGTCCAGGACTCTCAGTGCCCTGCAGCTACGAGGAACTGAGTGGGTGGACAGAAAGCAATAAGTGACTCCTCTTTATTCCCTGTCAGAAGCAGGTGGAAGAAACAAGGACAAACCATTGTGGAGGGTGGGGGTAGGGAGAGGGCACACCCAAGCCAACAGGACTGTAGAATGGAGGAATCAGATTTGAAGACTTTTCTTTTATCTCTGCTTTCCTTTAAGTTTTGAATCTAGCAAGAGGTCCTCCTGTCTTTCCTGCTTTTCTTCTCACACCACTACTTAAGAACTGTTCTGGCCACACAGGAGCTTTCCTGACTAAAGCCAGAAAAGGGAAAGGTAGCTGGGCAGAGTCAGCTTTCCACAGCCAGCCTAGACCACTGCTCCCTGCCTGTCATCCTCAGTTGAAGCCAACGAACATCCTTTGAGACCCAGCTCTGCAGTGACCACTCTCCAAAGCCCCTCCTCAGCCCAGGACAGAGTTGGGGCCCCACTGTACTTCGTTTGCATTACAATCTCTCAGCTGCACTGTTTGTTTTTGTTCTCATGTTTGTGTCCCCCTGGTACTCTGGGCATCTTGAGGGCAGAGAATGGGGCTCCATTTATGCCTGAACTCCCGGCACCCAGCACTGTCAGTCTCAGAGCAGAAGCTTGGTGAGTGTAGAAATGGGATTTACTGACCACCTTTTTAGGATTAGGCACTGAGGACACAGAGATGGAGACCACATCCTGATTTCAAGTTGCTAATGGTCCAATGAAGAGCTGTTTTAAAGTACACAGTAGGTATACATACGGTAGGCCCCTGGAAGGAAGATTTTGTTATCATCATTATCATCACCATCATCAGCAGCAATGTCTGCTTAGCCCTCAAGAAGTCCTCCAGGATGTTTTCAAGAGACTTCAGCTCCTTCTCCTGGAGATAGTACCCAGCTACTTCCTACTTTAAGTGCTAACAGTTCTGCAGTCCCCCGCACCAATAACACCTTGCTTGTCAAAGTACCCTGGAACACATGCCCATACATTCCCCACGCCCTCTGAAAATGCTTCCTGATCTCCCATTGCCACCCCAGCCACTTGCCCTTTGTTAAGCCAAAGGACAAACCATCATTTTGCCTGGTCAATAACTGCCCTTCTCTTTCCTTCCCACAAGAGAAGGGGCCATCTCACCATCTCTGCAGCCCTCAGCTGCAAACAAACATTACCCAGGAGCAGGACTTGACTAAGGAAAACAAGGCGCTAAAGACAGCTGGAAGGAGGGCTGCAGGGTCCTATGCAGGGAACCGTAGGTCACAGCACAGAAATGTGGAACCTACGAAGAGCATCAAAACATTATTCATGGGAAGGGGGAGATGGAGGACGGACCAGGGACTGGCTCTAGCTCTGCAGGGGACTGGAGCATCACTCCCCCAGAGCCACTGTTTTCAGTAGCCTAAAGCCAATTGCTTGGCACTGCCCACCCACTCAGTGTCCTCCTCTGCTCCTTTTGGATATGATCTGGGGTGGCGAGATGAAGGGTGATCAAATGACTGTGTATTTCTACCCTTTTCCGTAGTCATGGAAATGGATGAGGAGAACTGGCAGAGAGAGGGGTGGGAGGTAACTTTGGCCCTGAGCCAATCCTTCCCTGAAAAGGCTTGGCAGGGCATTCTCACTCTGACTTACATCATGGAGCTCCAGGCAGCCTCACAGGCATAGAGGGCTCTGGCTCCCACAGCTCCAGCCTACAAATCTAGCTTTGATTTTAGAACTGACTGGCCCTTTCCCTACAGGATAGTGGCTTCCCATGGGGGCATCGCTCAGGGCTACTGCTGTATCAGTCACAAGCCCAGCTGTCAGCTCTTTAGCCTGAGCCCTTATTTCTCTGAATGTCCCTGATTCTTCCCATGCCTCTGAGCATGGCCAGACCAGCCCTAGAGAATCAGGGGCCAGTAACCTAGTCCTTCTCCTCTCCACCTCCCCATCCACACCCAATAGTGATGCTCTCAAAACGGAACAGCCAGGCCAAAAAAAAGGGGGGGTGGTGGGGACAGAATCAGGATTTTAAGGATAGAGGTCATGTTGATAAACATAACATCCTTTCTAGCCCCATTGCGGTTCATGAGCCAAAGATGAGCTAACTACTTGTCTGGTATCTGGGATGTATCCACCTTGGGAGGAAAAGGAAAGAAAGGAGGTCAAACTCTTGCTGGAAGTCATAACTCTCCTCTTAAAAGCCCTCACACATGTTTATATAAAGATCTACAGAAGAATTATTTTGAAGCTTTGTCTCCATTACCTTTCAAAGAGAGACTGTTCTGGGCATGGAAGTAGAAGCTGACAGAGAGGCCAGAGAGATGCCATGAAGGGTCTCACTCTAGGAGGTAGCCCAGCGGCTCGATAAAATACTTGGAAAGAACAATTTGGGGTTAGAAAGGAGACTGAAGCAAAATTAACTATCTCTGCCTATCCTACCTTTCTCTTTGACTTATGCAAGTGATTCCAAGATCCTGGGAAGATGAAGCAATGACAGCTCTTGCTCTGCATTTATTCATCAGGCTGGAAAGAGAAAAGGGGAAGGAGGTGTCTAGAGAATAACTGAGGAAAGAACTGGAAGAACTTCATGAAGTAGAGCCTTGTAGAGAGGTGTGGATTCAAATCTTGGTTATGCTACATATGAATTATGTGACCTTAGGAACATTAACCTCTGTAAGCTTCTACTTCCTCATCTGTAAAATGGATTATCTACTTTGTAGAATGCCTTGAGGGTCAGCTGAGATAATATACTTAAGACAGCACATGCCAACAATGAGTATTTTTTATTATTATCAGAGATAGTATGCCTGGTCTAGATGGGACTCTAGATGAGAGGGCATCAATAGGTTTACTGGGAAGCTGGGCCAGGTGTGACAGGCACTCTGGGGCACTATGCAAGGATTCCCTGCTTTCCCAGCTACCAATTCTGCTGTCACTTTGGAAGCCTTAAGGAAGCAAGAAGAGTCTCCTCTTTGTGCTATGGCTTGGGGTCATAGCTCCAACTCCAGACCATCACAAATGAACTCACATAAACCTTTCAGTAAAAAGGATCTTCTAAAGATGGCTTCTGTCTCCAGCTAAATAGAGAAGGTGCTGTCTATGCATTCAGTTGTATGCAAAATGTAAGAGAACTTTCCTGGCAAGGGGCATAGAAGACAACTGTATGAAGGAAGAGTTGCTATGGAAGAGAAGTTTGATGACAGAAAGACAGGGGTAGCTTGTCTGGAGTGCTTAACCTCTAGGGAGTATGGTGCTCAAACCTGTTACTGAGAAGAGTCAGAGTTGTTTGAGACTTTGCCTGCTCTCTTTCTTCTTCCTCCTCAAAACTTGCTTCAATGACAATTGTTGACACTTAAGTCAGAATTTAAGCTAATATGTTATTGGCCTCAGGTCACTTGCATATGAACTCCTTGGTGTTTTGTTTTGGTTTTGGTTTTTCCATGCAAATTGGTCAACTATTAAAAACAGATTAAGGTAGCAAGTGGGGAAAGTATTTAAAGACAGGAAGTGCTCCCTCATTGAATCATACTCTATGGTGATAGGGTGTCTATGACCTGAGACCAAAGGAAGGTAGATCCAGATGCCTAAAATCAGAGGAGGCCCTTCCATTACCTCATCAAAGGCTATAAAGAGAGGAAATAGTGAGGTGGCCCTGGGGTAAGATTGGAGAACTCAGGCAGTCTCCATCCCCATTCCTAATCATCACTGCTCTCTTAACATAGCATATTCTCTCTTTCTTTGTGCTTCTTACCCAATTTTCTAATAACTAGCTTTAAAGTTACCTTATAAATACAGTCGTCTCTAGGTATACATTGGGGATTGTTTCCAGGACCCCAAACCCCACCATAAGACACCAAAATATTCAGATTTTAAGTCCTCGACATAAAATGGCATAGTATTTTCATATTATGATGCACATCCACCCATTTACTTTAAATCATCTCGATTACTTATAATAACTAATACAATGTAAACGACATGTAAATAGTCGTTATGCTGTATTGTTTAGACAACAATGACAAGGAAAACAATCTATACATGTTCAGATGAAATTTTTAAAAAAATATTTCTGACCCATGGCTGGTTGAATCCACAGATGCAGAACCTGTGTATACAAAGAGCCGACTGTATTTTTCAAAGCTCATTAGGCAGCAGAACATTCTCCCTACCCCCTGAGAGAGCATCATGCTGACATTTTTCAGCGCTTCTGCGCTCGCTGCAGTGCCCACCTGCACCCTCCTCACCCCTAAGCTCAGAACAGACATCTATCTCAGCAAGCATGGAGCTGGCCTCTGCAGACTCGGATCTGCAGGGCAGCCCAATGTGAGACAAAAAAAAGAAGAAACAGAGCCTGCTAGATTTCTTTTGGAGCTTCCCATCTAATTAATGAACTCTACAGGTAGCCTAGAGAAGTAGGGAATTGAAAGAAAAATAATCATAGGAAAGAAAAAACACCACTTTGTATTTATATAGCACTTTATAGTTCCCACATTTCTTTTCTTGTTTTTATATTTGTATTGGTTCCCTAAAGCTGCTGTAACAAAGTACCACAAACTGGGTGGCTTAAAACAACAGGAATTTATTCTCATACAATTCTGGAGGCTAGAAATCCAAGGTCAAGGTGTTAGCAGGGCCATGCTCCCTTTGAGGACTCCAGGGAAGAATCCTTCCTGGCTTCTTCCTAGTTTCTGGTGGCCCCCAGCAATCTTTAGCACTCCTCTGCTTGTAGCTGCATCACTCCAGTCTCTGACTCTGTTATCACATGGCTTTCTTCACCATGTGAAACTCTGTGTGTTCAACTCTGTTCTTATAAAGTCACCAGACATTGAATTTAGGGCCTACCATAATCCAATATGACTTCACTTTAACTAATTACATGTGCAAAAACCCTATTTCCAAACAAGGTTACATTCTGAGGTTCGGGGTAATCATATATGTTGAAGAACACTTATCAACCCACTACAATATTACTGCCAGCAGTCTTGTCCTCTAAGTAGCCCTTCTTGGGCAGGTATTCAGCTGTGATCATAAAGGTTTACCAACCATTCATCTCCCTCCTCCCACCTCTGCTGCCAACTGCTTAATGGTAGAAATTTCCTCCCATTCTTACTGATCCTGTTTAATTATACTTACTATAGATTGTGTCTTTTAAGCTAAGCTTTCCCGAAAGCAGACCCTAAAACAAAGATTCAACTACAAGTAGTTTATTTGGAAGGAGATCTCAGGAAGCACCAATATGGGACTGAGGAATGGAGGACAGGAAGTCAACATAGGTTTGCTGTGGGAAACTGGGGCTCAATTCCACTGGGATCCTCTGGGAGACTGTGCAAAACAGCCTCAGAGTTGTTCCAGTGGAGGGATAAGGAAGTCAGGGTATTTATCCCCCAACTCCCATCTGTCATTAGTTGAAGACTTCTCCCAGGAGCATCAACTCCCTGCACTTCAAACCTGAACTGTGCACAGGCTGAGCATGCTCCTGCCTCCAAAGAAATCCACAAGACAAAGAGAGCCACAGATGCTTCTGAAACAGGAAATTTTCCTTGACCCCTTTACGGGCCCCCCAGCAGGGGTGTCTCACTTACTCAGTCCACAGCTCTCAACCCCTCAGGGGATGGGGAGCACACAGGTGAGCGGGTACAGGAGCCAAAGCAAGTGCTTTTGGGTGCTGGCAGAAGCAAAACTCCATGCTGCCCCACGGGCACATCTAGGAGGTGCTTGCAACCCCTGAAGCCCCAGAAGGTGTATGTTACAGTGCTCTTTTAGCTTTCCTGTCCATGGACAGATTAAATGTTTAACAGCTCAGTGGACCCTCCACCTTTTCACAGGGGCAGAGGGTCAGTGTGACAGCTTTCTATACCCTGAGCTCTTGTCTGGCATCTGGGAAAAATTGGTCACACAAACCAATTGAAGGATAGTAAATGTAGGGGATTTTATTGCTAATGGAAGTGGCTCTCAGTGGGAGGGAGAGTGGGAAAGGGGATGGGGTGGAAAGGTATTCTTACCCTGAAGTCTGGCCATCTGCAGCTGGACTCCAAAGTCCCACAGTCAAGCCATCCCTCTGAAGTCAAGCTGCTTCCCTCTGACGTCAAACTGCAGTCTCCAACATCCAGATGCTTCTCCTCTTCTCTTCTTGTCTGCTCTTTTCCAGTGGAGGGTGGGGTTTTTATGGGTACAGGATGGGGGGCAGGATGGGCCATGGGTGGTTTTGGCAAAGGCAACATTCAAGCAGGAAAACAGGAATGCATGTTCTCACTTTGGGCCGCAGTTCTAGGCTTAAGGGTGGGGATTCACCAGGGACCCCATCTTTTTCTGCCTAGAATTTATCTGCCTCTTGTCCCTATCACTTTCAGTGAGTAGCTAGCAGCTTATATCATGAGTGTCAAGGGAATATGGACACAGGTGAAACTGCCATTGCAAAATTGTAACTAAGACAGTGACAGAGATCTGACCTAACCAACTCCATCTTGCTTCTAACCTCCTAGCTGTTCTTGTTCATTCCTGGGTGTAGGCTGAACTAACTATAGGAGGAAAGTTTATAGTTAAAACAAAGGTGATAACAGGCCTTTCCCAAAGCAAACTCCTTTTTTTTTTTTTTTTTTTTTTTTTTTTTTGTGAGACAGAGCCTTACTCTGTCACCCAGGCTCTAGTGCAGTTGTGTGATCTCAGTTCGCTGAAACCTCTGCCTCCCGGATTCAAGCAATTCTCCTGACTCAGCCTCCTAAGTAGCTGGGACTACAGGTGTGCACCACCATGCCTGGCTACTTTTTCCAAGCTGGTCTCAAGCTCCTGACCTCACGTGATCTGCCTGCCTCAGCCTCCCAAAGTGCTGGGATTACAGATGTGAGCCACCACCACCGGCCAAATCCCCTTCTTGCCTGGGGACTAGATTGCCTTTGTAGGATGAATGAATTAGCCAAAAGATTAGAAATTATGGTTTAAGAATCATACAGCTGGAGGCTACAAGATTCTGACTCTTCTCAAATTGCTCCCGGGGATAATATCACTATTGTAAGCCTAAGATCAGTGCTTGAGATCCTGCACTTGATGGATCAGCTGGCACCACCCAGATGGATAAACTGGCTCATCCGATCTTGTGACCCCCACCCAGGAACTGACTCAGCACAAGAAGACAGTTTTGCCTTCCTATGATTTCATCTTTGACCTGACCAATCAGCACTCCTGACTCATTGGCTGCCCCCCACCCACCACGTTATCCTTAAAAATTCTGATCCCCGAATGCTCAGGGAGACTGATTTGAGTAATAATAAAACTCCAGTCTCCCACACAGCCAGCTCTGCATGAATTACTCTTTCCCTGTTGCAATTCTCCTGTCTTGATAAATGGGCTCTGTCTAGGCAGCAGGCAAGGTGAACCCATTGGGTGGTTACACAGGTACTGACAATATCTGCTACAACTAGGATGACACTTGCCTCCCTAGGGCTTACTAGGTTCTTCTTATATAGTAGGTGCTCAATAAATATTTGTTGAATTGAATTGGCATAGGTCACTTGAATAAAGGAATAAGAAACCAAGATTATTTATTCACTCATTTAACAAAGATTTATTAAGAATTTACCAAATCCATGCACAGTGCAAGAACTTGAAGATGCCAGCCCTGTATAATTTTGGGCTTGGTACAAAATTATTACCCTTAACAACCAATCAACCAATCCTGGCCTTTACCCATTACACCATTACAGTCAGCCAATAACCCTGAGGTCTTCCCAAGAACTGACTTTGGCTGAATTAGCAAGTACAAACCTCTGTGTGATTCTGATGGTGAGCATTTATTGCAGTACTTGGGGATAAGATTAACCTCCTATGCACCCTTATTAAGCTCTTATTCTTCCAAGTTCTCAGATTATAGAGAAGATAAGTCCCTTATAGGGTCATCTGGACCAGCTGAAGCAAACAATTCCCAAATGTTTGCTGGCCTTTGCTCTGGATTTTCACCACTTTATGAAATTAACTTGGAGAATCAGAGCCTCACTACTGAATAGAGACTAAAAAAAATATTGGTACTCTTGACATTGAGACCCTTTCCTTCCATCTTTCCTACACCCAAACCATCTGAGACCAGTGGGACTTACTGCTCTTTTTAGGTCAGATGTCCCATTACAGAAACTCTTCCCCCACACTTTGGTTTCTACATCATAATAAATTATTCTCTCAAAGTCTCAGAAATAGTTTCTTTCTTTCTGTTGTCATTCTAGAGTCAGCCAAGCCCACAGTGCAGACAATTCCAGAAACAACCCTTTCCCAATACCAGAGCAACTCTAGTGAGCAACATTTCCCAAGGGCAGGCTTGTCAGACACCGGAGCAGACTCCAGGGCAATGGTTCCTGTCTCACATCAAACTCCTGCTTCTGTCCCTGCATACTGAAGAGCTCCCTGTCTCCCTGGCTGGCTCAGTCCCTTGATGTGCGCTTTTAATATTCATCTCCTTCTCCCTCTCTTGATGTGAATTAAAAGAGCAACTTGCAAGGCAAACAAGAGGAAAATAACAGATTGCTGCTGCTCATTAAAGCTTCAGCTCAATACAGTCTGATAAGAGCTACAAGACTGGCTTCCCCTCCCAGTCGAGGGTGGGGGAGTTGGGGGCATGATGATCATAGTACCTTGGATATGCTCTGGGCTCAAGGGATTTTACAGATGGAAATGCATTTTTCTTCCTGAATCTTTACTGTCTGTTGGAACCCCAGAGTTTAAGCTTATCACTTTCATTTTCCTGACATACAATCTTAGAGAATTCACTTCATTGTTTTGGGTTTCATTTAGTTTTTCTGCCTGAAAATGGAAAAAAGATTAATAGCCTCCTAAGTGAACTGTGTAATGCTAAACAAATGAATAAATATGAAAGCATTTTGGAAGAATTATCTTCTCTCTCTCTCTTTCACTTTCTCTTTCTTCCCATCAGTATTTCAATCTGCTTGAACAGCTTTTCTAAATCTTAAAATAATGAAGTCTTCCTCCAATCACAGGTCTTACTTTAGCTACTGCACTATTTCTTTTCTCCCCTTTGAAGTGAAACCTCATAAAATGTTGTCTATATTTGTTACCTTCATTTCCTCTTTCCACCCCCACTCTTCAACCCACTACAATCTGGCTTCCACCCCATCACTCCCCTGAAACTGTTCTCACTATGACCACCAATGACCCTGTTGTCAAATTCAAGTAATATCATTTTAGTTATTATCTAACTTGACCCTTTTTTCCCCAGCTGGTGATTCTTTCCTCCTGTATCTACACAATTCTCTTTCCTTGGTACCCAAACATTACTATCTCTAGGTTATTCTCCTACCTCTCTGGCTAATCCTTCTCAGGCAACTTCCTCTGTTTCTCATTAAATGTCAGTGTTTCCAGCCACTCTTCTCATTATAGATTTCTTTAGGGATTTGATTTACACCCCAAACTTCATCTCCCATCTGTATATAAATAACTCCTAAGTCTACATCTCCAGCTTAAATCTGTCTCCAGAAGTATAGACCCATTTACCCAGCTGTTTACATTCAACCCCACAAATAATGACACCCCCTTTTTCAAAGAATTCAGTGGCTCCCCTTAACCATCAGGACAAAGTTTAAACTCATGAGCGTGGTATCCAAGGCCTTTCTCACTCTTATCTCTCTGCACTTCACCCCTCCAACTCCATGCTCCTCCCACTCTGCACCTGCAGTCCCCACACAGAGTTTTGCCTCCGAGTCATTGCACATGTTCTTCCCTCTCCAAGGAATTATTTTTTTCTCTACCCCTTATTTTCATGGCCTGACAAACTATGACCTTCCCTGGAAGACTCAGCATAGATACCACCTTTTCTGGGAATTCTTCACAGTTGGGTTTGGTCCCCCCACCTTGAATGCTCCTCAGCATCCTGTGGTTCCCACCTCCTAACATTTATCACATGGCACTGTGGTAACCTATTTACTTTTCTTACCCCCAAATGAAGTCACTTTTGCTGTTTCTTCTTATTAAAAATAATGCATACTCGATATAAAAATAAAAAGACAAGCAAAAAGAGTATTAAAAAATCTGATAATCTTGCCCACCTATTTACTGCCAGCCACAAGATGTTGTTCTAGGTGCTGCAAGGAATAAAGGCATGAATAAGGCATGGTGCCCAACCACGGCAGAGGGAGAAAAGTGTTGGGGGGAGCTTTTATTGAGTGCTGGGACATGCCAGGCAGCACCCAGGGGCTTTGCCTGTGCTATTTCTCATGTGTGTCCCCCACCAGACTGAAAACTCACTGAGAGCAGTAACCGTATCCTTGTTTTTAGTGCCAACTCCAGCGTCTGGCATGAAATAGATCCTTAATAAACACCCAAATAAAGAGTGTGCAGTATGCTGATGAATGATAATTATCGCTACATTAAAAAATACGTAAAGACTCATTTTTTCCTCTTTGGATGAAAGAAAGATTATGGCACTAGAAATTTAAAAAGCATTTCCAGCAAGACTCCCACCCTACTGAATCTAAGTAGACACCAGTGGTTATTTTCACACTCACAGAGCACAGGCTTGCTGAATTTTTTCTATTCTAAAGCCCACATCCCTCTCTTAATATGCTATTTCCACCTTCCTCCCTCAGCAAAATATTATACATACATGTATACATGCACACACATAGATATAATAGCTGCATTGCATTGAAAAGCTAATGGAGAGATGTTAATACTAGCTATGTCTGTGTGGGTAGAATTATCAGACTTTTTAATACTCTTTTTGCTTGTATTTTTATTTATATATTGAGCATGTATTATTTTTAATAAGAAGGAACAGCAAAAGTTACTTCATTTGGGGGTCACAATCTGCAGTAACATGAAGTAGAACTTATAAGCTGAGCAATGATACTTTTTTTTGTTTGTTTTTGACACGGAGTCTCACTCTGTTGCCCATGCTGGAGTGCAGTGGCGCGATCTCGGCTCACTGCAAGCTCCCCCTCCCGGGTTCATGCCATTCTTCTGCCTCAGCCTCCCGAGTAGCTGGGACTACAGGCGCCCACCACCACGCCCAGCTAATTTTTTTTTTTTTTTTTGTATTTTTAGTACAGACGGGGTTTCACCGTGTTAGCCAGGATGGTCTCGATCTCCTGACCTTGTAATCCACCCGCCTCAGCCTCCCAAAGTGCTGGGATTACAGGCATGAGCCACCGTGCCCAGCCAAGCGATGATACTTTTAAGAGGATATTACAACTGGGGACATGGAGAGAACAGTGTAACACAAGGAAAGTTTTAATTTAATTCAATCCACAGGCATTGATCATCTGCCAGCCACAAGATGTTACTCTAGGTGCTGCAAGGAATAAAGGCATGAATAAGGCATGGTGCCCAACCCCAGCAGGGGGAGAAAAGTGTTGGGGGAGCTTTTACTGAGTGCTGGGACATGCCAGGCAGCACCTAGGTGCTTTGCCTGTGCTATTTCTCATAATCCTCACAATGATCCTATGAGGTAAGTATCACAATCCTGTTTTTGTAGATGGGGAAATTGAGGCACAGAGAGGTTTATTGACAGACTCAAAAATCAGTTAGTTAACCAGGATTTAAACCTATGTTATTTCTGATTTCATCCCCTTTGCACCGCACAAAACTGGGTTTGTGAAGTATCTCTTAAGGAAGGTGTGAGTATAGTAGGGTTTCTATTAGTGGTTCGGGGAAGGCTTTCTGGAAACCCTATGTGGGCCAGGCTTCAAGACGGGGGTATGAATATGGGAGAAGAGCTATACCATGAGCCTCAGGGAGGGGCAGCATCCTTTGGGAAGATGGTGCTGGCACATACCACAGCCTGGATGGGGTCCAGGAGTCAAGTGGGGTTGGCGGCTCTCCCGACCCTATCACAGGAGGTGGGAGCAGAGCAGTGGGCCCACTAAGACTGGAAACCAGGAGTTACCAGGCTGAGAAATGGGTGGAAAACAGGAGCCAGAGGCAAGCACTCCAAGAGTGCGGTCACTGATGAAGGACACAACAGGACAAGCAGGAAGTAGCTCGGACGCCAGCAGTGATCTGCTGTGGTGAGGGCCTTTCGGAAGGTGTGTGTTCCCACCAGCCTGCTCTCACCAGGCCGTTCCAATCAGAAGAAAGACAGTGAGAAAGGGTATGACAACTTGAAGCAGTTCATGGTTTGTTAACAAAAGCAGAGATATTGGGTGTGGTGAGATGTTGAAGAGTTATCAGCAGAAAAAGCATAGTTTTCTGGGAGTTATCATCTTCTTAACTCTCCACCCATGGCCATTGTTACCAATGTTGAGGGGCCAGTGAGTGTGTGTGGGTAATGATGAAGACTTGTGTTCATCAATTTATTGGTGAATCTTCCCTGCTCCTGTGGTTCCAAGACTGTTTTTTGACCCTGGTCATACAAATATAAACAACCATCTCACCCAGGGCCAGTAACATAATTTTCAGGGCCCAGTACAAAATGAAAATATCGAGCTCCTTGTTCAAAAACCAGAGGGAAATAAGGCCATTAAGGGTCACCAAAGCATAAAACTTTTTCTTTCTTCCACAATTTTTTTTTACTAGTCATGATGTTTTTAATTTGATATTTAATGTCATTTTAAGTAAAGAAAAATTTAAAATTTAATTATTAGTATGAATTTTACTATTCTTTATGTTGTGTAGTGTTAGTTGTAAATGAAAATAAGTGCATTTGACTCATACGTGGAATCATTGAAATTACACAGTTCATATTTCCTAGCTCTTACTTGCGTATATATTTTGTCCTTACCAGAGCAGCGGGAACACTGCACAAAACTAACTCAACTGTTTTAATTTTACTTCTTGATAACGTGCATGTTCCATCAATACTCTTGACCTTCAGCTTACTGATGAGTAAGGAAGGGCTGAAAGGAAAAGGAACTATGGGTTGTCCTGTCTTTCCCTTTCTTCTGTGTCATCATTTTCAGCGTAAGTGGTTGGTTAACACAGGGAAGAAATGAGTAAGAAGGATATGATAGGGTTCCTCACTTGTCCACATTCCTTAGAAAGCCATTGCTTTCTTTCTATGTGAAGCAAGCTCTGGTTCGAATGGAAGGCATGGCCTGTCGGGCTGTCAGCACCCCTGATTACTCAATTACATATGTAACACACTTAACCTTGCACCACTTTCAGTCTCCTGGAACTTCCACGCACTGTGGTTCCACCAGAATTCTGCATTTGTGGGACATGGCAAATGCTATATGTGAACAGGCCATCAAGGAACAACTGCATGAGTCCATCTGTTCCAGTCTGGTGTCCCCTTGCTTCTGCGCCTGTCCCTCTTCCTGGAGCATGTTGTTGGTTCTCATCTCTGGCTCCCTCCTCAACCTCTGCCTCACAGGACCCATCAGCTGGGTCAGCCTTCCCCTCACCTCAGACACACCACCTCCCAGGCAGGGCAGGAGAGCTCAAGCACCAGTGCTCAGCATTCAGTCAGAATACACACACACTGCCCACATGTACAGCGCACCCTACAAACACCCCATACACATTGCACTCTACACACACATCTCACTCTCCACACACACCGCATCCTACATACACACACACCCTGCACCCCCCACACCATGTACACATACACATATACCACAACACTGCACCCTACACACACATCACACACACACACACACAGCTCACACACCTCATATCCTACACACACACATCTCACTCTCCACACACACCTCATCCTAAACATACATATGCACATGCATCTCATGCCACACTCTCCACACATACATCCCCCCCCACACACACCACAACCTCCACACACACACACACACACCACGTGCCATTTGATTGTCCTCCCATTCTTACCACTTTACTGAAACTGCACTTTTAAAATCATATTATAAATCCAACAATTGTTTACATCTTATTCCTTGATCACCTTGACACAATTGCTACTGTTGGCTAGTCTTTTGCTCCTCAAAACCCTCTCCTTTGGCTTCCATTATACTGAACAATCCTTGTTCTCCCACGTCTGTAGGAGCATTTCTGAATGAATCTTAACTCCTCTGCTCCTGGCCATGGGTTTCTCTCAAGACTCAGGCCTTAACCATCAATTCCCTTCCCACCTTCTTAATTCACATCCTTCTCAGCCCTTGGCTGACAGCCCCCAGATCTGTGTCTTCCAGCTCAACTGCCTTCCAAAATCAGTCTATTAGCATCAAGCCGAAGCACTGTGCCTCTCTGGGTCTAGTTTCCTAACTGTGAAATGAAAGTTTGAACTGAATGGTCTCATGCTAGACCCCAAAATTAAACTCTTCCTTCTGATTGTCCTAATTCATTGGAACCTCAAGCTGAAAACACCAATATTCACCCAGTTCATTTTCATAGCTCTTGCTGTCCAGGAAAATTAAGTTGAGGCAGGCTTCTTTTACATTAGGATCTGGGCCCACAGTCTTCTATCTTGGGTCCTTGGCAAATTTTTTACTGTTTCTCCTCTTCAGAACAAGGAACACCTGACAATGAAAGGAAACCTCAGGTCACAACACACATTCTAGTAGGCAAATTACAGGTTTGTAGGTTAACCAATTTGTCTTGACTACAGCTTAAACAATGAGTCTATGTTTATATATTTGTTTGTTACCATTCTCATACATTTGTTCCCCAAGGATTAGCTGATTTACTCAGCCCCAGTCTTCAAAAGACTTAATTCTTCCCTGATGAGCACCACACTTCAGCCCAATAAGTCCTGTCTGCAGCCACCTGTCCCTCAGCCTGGGAATTCTCTGGCTTCCCCGCCCCCGCATCCAATTTCCCCAAGAATCTGTTTTCCAGAACTGTTCTGTGGTGCACTACATTTTCCTAAACCTGAATTAATCACCCGCTTTTTATCCGTCAGAACCTACAACAACCCAAACAGCTTTCCTGGTTTGTGGAGTTGTCAACAGGCTGACAAACCATCCAGATCATAAAACCAACAAGTAGGAATCTCAGCTTTTTATTTAATTACCACAAAATATTTTTTAATCTAGAGGAAAGGCAGGGGGAATGTGTTTGACATTTAGTTCTAAATTGGGGAGGGTAGTTTTTTGTTTTTGTTTTTTTTTCAAAATTATAGTCGGGTTCAAATTATGAATCATCAAGGTTTAATTAATTATCTCAATCCCTCTCTTTTACCTTCTGTATCCAGTTGGAAACACAGGCCTACCTGGTGACCCTCACTTCAAACTGTCTCTCATATATACCTCTTCTTTTCCATTCTCAGAGCATCCCACTGGGTCGCTGTCACAGTCCCCTGACTGGTCTCCTGTCTCTGTCCCTCCTCTGACTCATGGTGCAGACCCCTGCCAGACAATTTTCCTCAGACATTGCTTGCCTGGGGTCCCATCCCCATTCCAGCATCCTCACTGGTTGACTCCCCAGTTGTCCAGAATCTGAGTCTAGTCTCTGTCACTGGCCATAGTAGGGACAGAGTGAAGTGGCGGGGAAAGCATGAGTTTGGCATTTCTCAAGCTCCCACCTGCCAGTTATGTGACTTTGGAATACTTCAACTCCTGGAGTCTGTTTTCTAAATGAGAATCATGATATATAACCCCTAGGTCTAGGGGAGTCATTACACGGGATAATATACAGAATGTGTATATACATTAGTGCACAGTGCTTCTAAAGCGTTTAGTTGGAGTTCCACCAGTGTAAGTTCTTCCTGTTGTCTGCCTCTCCATGCTCTCATACTGATACTGGACGGTGATTTGCCTTGTATGGCTCTTAAAATCTTTCATATAGATGCACCTCATCTCTGCAGCCAGGATGGACTTTTGAAAGTTGGAACCATGATTCATAGTTCTTTGAAGTCTCTGTTAAAGTACACACCAGAAGTCCAACAAATAATCATGCAATCAAAACAAAGGCTGCAGTTGTGGTATCATTGCGTTGAGGCATGAGGGTGTGTCTGGGGAGCTTCCCTCTTTGGAAAATGTTTTTTTGAGGCTGGTGTTAGAATGAGTTTCCACTTCCTAAGTACTTTCTGACCAGCCTTGGGTGGCAGAAGCATGGGATGGGGCTGTGAGGAGGGAATGTGAGCCAAGGATGAAACACTAGTTACTTACTGCATCTCTGTTGTCTTTCTCTTGATTTCAGGGCCCTTGTCTGATTGGGAGATCCCAAACTGAGCCACATCTCTTTTTTGCTCCCTCCTCTCAGTTCCTCACCAACACCCAGGAAGCACTTTGGCCATGCATTGTTTGGGAAGAAGAGTCTATGCTCTACAACATGATATATGTTTAACAGGAACCCTGGAGTAATAGTAACCCTCCCATTCATAACCTACATACGTGCCTATCTTTCAGAAGGTGGTGTGGAATGGTAGAAGCATACTGACTACTAGTCAGGGCAACAGTTCTAATTCCCACTTTCACTGCATGGCTGGCTTCAAGTTTGATCCCACTTAGCTATTGTGTCAGGCCACTGTTGAAGAGATAAGATCCAATCAGTAAAAAACAGCATCCATGCCACAAGGTTCAAAAGAGGCAACTTATAGAGGAGTCAATATCACCGGTTGTAGAAGATCTGAAAGAGCAAATAGGAGGGTGAAGCAACTCCAAGACTAGCAACTCCAGGAAGCTGCTCCTAACTCTAGAGCTGGAGATAGAGGGAAGGGTGGTGTTTCTTTAGCCCTGGGCAATGCCACACAAGGGGAGCTGGAACCAAGGCAAAGATGGCCCAGTGTGGGCTGGGGCCACAGAAGAGACGCTCTTAAGATGCTGCTCCCTGGCTTCCCCAGTTCTCTTCATCTCCATTCTTCTTCCACTGCCTCTCATTCACCTAGAAGCCAGGGGAAAAGGGAGCCTGAGAAATGTCATTTTCAGGGATGATCCCTGGGATACAGAGCAAAGCAGGGGAAGGGCATTGAAAGATAAATACCAATGACTTGCACATCTGTACAAATCATTGGTGCTTGCTCACGTCCCACCCTATTATTTCCAGCAGACCCTACAAGCCACCCCAATAAGTAATCTAACTTTAAAGAATGCTTTCTGCTCAAGTTTATCGTTAAAACAAGTCTGCTAACTCCTTTTTCCAATCAAAGCGTCACCCTTAAGTTCCTCCATAGAAATTCTTGAGCTGGTGCCATCGCTGCCATCTCCAGCCTCACTCTACGGTCTATAAAGTAAGGAGGGCGGTGATGCCTCGGGATTGTGATTTGACCTCCTCCCCAGACTTCTGCTGGCTCAGCTGTCACAGCCTGGCTCTGACAAAGCCTCAGAACTCAATTGCCATGTGAAGCTGGACTTGGCCAGTCAATCATTTTTCTTGCAACTCTTGAAGGTCACAGAAGTTGGAGGTTTTCAATTATGAGCAGGATGGGTGTGAGGATACGCGGGAGCTGCCAGGAAATGACAAGTGGTTGGCACAGCCTTTCCAGGCTGGGGCACGTCCCAGTTGCAGTGATAAATGCACTCAGCCTCTTTGGTTGGCACCAACGTGTCAGCCCTTGATAAAGAGCTCACCAAACATTTTGCTAATATGAACAACGATAAACAGGATAGGATTTCAACTCCATTTAAAACACACGCCTGGGAGTAATCTGAACAGACAAGGTGAGAAGGGAGGCCCTGAAGGACTTGCATCGCCCATGTGTCCTTCCTGCTGTCTCATTTGAGTTTTCCCTCCTGTTCACTCAATTTCCCTAAAGTAATCAGTCCTATTTGTCTCAGGTAGAAGGGATTCCATAGGGAATGAATGACAGGGAGAAGACTGATGAATTTATTGTCCTCAAACCCAGAACAGACGCAAGGGAGTGATTCAACTGGAAACAGACTGTGGTAGTTTTGAAAGCCATTTGGAGAAGTTTGGGCAAGTTTCTGAGAAGAGAGGAGCCATTGGGTGCTTTTAAAGAGGGGAGTCACATAATAATAGTAGTAGTATATTAAGAAGAGAAACCTAGCGGCACTGTGTTACTGGGTAGACTGGAGGTGCTGGAGGTAGAGAGGGCAGAGGCAGAAGGACCCTCAGGAAGGCACTTTGGAAATCCATCCAGGTGGTGAGGAAGCACGGGATAGGGACGGGGTGGGGAGAAAATGTCTGATGGGAGGACTTGGTTGTTTTAGATTGATCATAAGCTCTTGGGAGATGCTCACACAAGGCACTAGACTAGAGTAAGAAGACTGTACTAAAGCAAGACTTGCTAGTCTCAAAAGGGACAGCTGATGTGATTAGCTTCTTAATGAAGGGATAATAGAGATATTAACCTGGTCCAGGACGCAGCAAGAGAGTAGGAAGTATTCCCATGCTCTGTAG
Source organism: Homo sapiens (assembly GCF_000001405.40). NCBI lineage: Eukaryota > Metazoa > Chordata > Mammalia > Primates > Hominidae > Homo > Homo sapiens. The sequence continues at coordinate 110,717,743 of NC_000001.11, read as the reverse complement.
TTCCCATGTTGATAACTTCAAGTTCTAAACGATCTCTAAAGATCATTTTCACCCCCAGTCTCTTCCGCTTTGCCATTCACCTCAAGATTTGAGCCAAACCAATACTTGGGACAGGCATTTTTGTTTATGGGGAGAGATACTGGACAGAGTGAGATACTCTACTTGCTCCTCGCAGGATTAAGAAGAGGATTCTCTTTGGAGCAGTCCACCTAACTGGCCAAGTGATTGAAGGGAGTAGGAAAGCCAGTTGCCTGAGAAGCCGCAAAGTAGAATGGACACCCATGAGGGTGACTTGCCCTCACGGCGTTTCTCTGAGGGGAGAGGGAGGTGCTGTGCAGGTGCTAACAGCCATGAGGGCGATGGCCACCAGGGCAACCAACTGCATCCTCCCTTTCCCCAGCTGAAATGTTGTGAGTCACTGGTCACATCTCTGAGTAATCTGAGATTTTAAGAATAAGAGAGAGAGAATTGTAATCTTATGGGAGAAGAAAAAATCAAACAGATTAAAACCCTAATCCCTCCAGAGGGAACAGCACGTAAAGGGATCAAACAGCACTTGAGACTCAAGGCTGCTGCGGCTCTTGGGCAGGGGAAAGGATCCACTCAAAACATTGGGTTTCATATTTCTATTTAGGGTGGTTTTCCATGTTATCACAGAGTGGATCACAGTGTGGATTTAGAGTGTACAGAAACAGGAGACCTTGCCAGGATTTTGTGGAAGAAAGGAGAACAGTGCTGATCTATTGGTACAGATGAGTGCTGCCCACACTAAGCAATCTGCAGACACCCCTGCCTGATCTGGCCTCTCTGTTTTTCTAGAATATCCTTCCCCTTCATTCTTTTTTCTCATGGGCCAATTCCCATTCATCATTCAGTATCCCTCTCTGGAGTCAGAATGCCTAATTTCAGACCCAAGCTCCATTTGTTTACATGTCTTGACTCCCAAGCCAGACTTCAAGCCCCTTAAAAGGAGAGAACTACATCATGTTCTTTAAATCCCTGTACCCAGCACAGGGCCTGACACCTAGGACTTTCTCAGGGAACACCTGATAAATGTGTAACTAGGAAGCTAACAGCGTTAATTCTGCAAATGAGCTGTACTGATCCTACCACATACTGACTGTGTGACCTTGGGCAACTTTCTTAACTTCTTCGTGCCTCAATTTCTTCATCTTGAAAAAGGGGATAATAACAACATGTCACATGGTTGATGTGAGGATGAAAGAAGTTCACATATATGTAATGTCTACAACATTACACATTGGCACAGAGATAGTACTCAATAAAAGTTAGCTATTATTATTATCAGCACTATCACTGGCACCTCAGATGAATTATTAGCCATCTTTTTTTAAAGAGCTACACATTAAACATAATGGGTTGGTTAATAATTCCTCTTCAGTGCTACGAATTGTGAGGAATGTGTGATTAAATGAATTAATGATAACACAAACAAATTATAATTCAGGATTTCCTGCACTAATTTGGCCTAGACATAAGATGAACCCTAGAGAGCCAAATTGGCTCATTTATCTCTGCTCTAAGAAGGCCCCATAGTGAAGGGGAATCATTCACCAAGAAGTGCCATCAACAAGAGAATTTGTTTTTAAACAACAATGATTGGGCTATTTTTCAACCTCAGCTTCAGGTGATACATTTTTATTTTGTCTCAGTCTGAAGAAAAGAAAGATTTTAGTAAAAAAAATCATGCAGGAAGTGGCAGAAAACAAACATTATAGGATATATGGAAAGTCAGTGCCCACTGGAACAGAGGGGTAAAGCACCAGACCTAGTTTATGGCCAAGTCACCACAACTAACAGTCTTTTGTTCTGGGAGTTTAGAGCCAAGGTTTCAAGGAAACCTCACTTACTCCAGAATAAGATAACCTGACCTATGCCAAGCTTCCAACTATGCACATGTATAAAAAGCATCTCAAGGTCAGGGAGTGGAATTTTAACTTCTCTGTGTCTTCTGTTGAAATAATAATAATAACTACCATTTATAGAGTGTTTAGGACATGCCAAACATTATGCTAAGCACTGAACATTGATTGCTTCATTTTCTCCTCACAAAAAAACATATAAGGAAGATTCCAAGCTCTGTTTTACAGATGAGCCAACAGATGCACAGTGACTTACCCTTGGACACACTGCCAATGAGGCTCTGAACTCAGAGAGTATACCCTATACAATAGTAGGCATGCTTACATCTTATATTTGATACCTTCTATAAAACATACTATATAAGCAACAGCATTTGCAAATTGCTCTGCTGGCTGGCTGGGTGAGTGGGTGGATGGATGGATGGATGGATGGGTGGACAAGGCTTCCATAGAAGAAAATCTGGAATTTATCCCTAGAATCTTTCCTCACTTGGATCTGGACTCCATGAAAAGCCACCTATAGTGAGACAAGTCTCTGCCTTTTCCAAGTCTTATTTTAGATGACTAAAACAGTACTTCAGCTTACAGAATCCTTGGGCCTGCCCTGGAATCTACCCCTGGGTTCACTAGCACAGGGATGGGGCACCCAGAAAGCCAGGTAAAAGCTGCTCGCCTGTCATCCAGAGTTTTTACAGTAACACCAGCTTTAGACTGTGTAAATCCATCTAGCAGTCATGGAGTCCTTCAAATTACAGGCTTCTGAGTCTCTTTTCTCATTGTTAATGCAGCTGTCATGTTTAAGAAAGCCACAGAACCTTTAGCTAGCTCTGAGAAGCTATGTTTTTCCTTTGCTTGCTGGGAACAAAAACAATGACTTTCAAATTCTTTCAAGCTAATCTTTAAAGACAGAATCATAGAGAGTCTGAGGGGACCAGATAGAAAGTGGGTCATTAGGACCCAGAAGCCTTGGCTGGAGCTGGCTGCACTGACAGATAACCTAATGAGCAAAAGCCATAGGATTCCTGATGAAAAATGAGGACTCACTCCAGTTCCCCTGCCTCCTGCATCATCAGCTGCTGCCAATGGCCCTGTGTGAGGGATGTCCCGCTCCCTTCCCCCTACTCATGGTGAATAAGCATTTGGTCCATCCACCGTATTGGAGAGGGGTGGGCAAGCCCCCATCTTGCACTGGAAATTCACCAGCTGAAGAATCACAGCTTTGTATCAGCCACATCTTCCAGCACTGGGCAGATCTGTTGCTGATTAGATTCCAGCAGCTGGGCACAATCTCTTTCCTCAACACTGAAAATGATTTTGGGGGAGTGTGGGGGGAATAAACAATGGAATTTGCCATGTTAATATTCTCTGCAGCCTGCCAGGCGTGGGATGCATACTAAGCACTGTGGAAAGCTCATCCACCCACAGTCAGGAGGTAAACTTGGGCTTCAAAGGGTGAGAGTGAGCTGGTCTAAAAGAGAAAGCCCCTCAGCTGACAGTCACTGAATCTCCTCCTTCCACTCTGGTTTCTGAAGCTGGCCTGAGAGGAGGAACATGTCTTTCCAGCTGGGGTCGGGTAGTGACTGAGCCCCAAACCTCAGACTGGGGCATAAGGCAATAGACCAGTGCCACAGAGGAAGGAGGCCGTTTTGGGCTTATTGAACAGTTTAGTAGTATTAACATTGGCTGTTTATTAAATACCTACTGTGCATCAGGGACTGTATTAAATCCTTCACAAATATTGTTTAATTTTAAATTTACACTGATTACAAAATAAATCCACGTTCATTATCTTAAAAGTAATATACATGAGAACAACATGAAAAAATAAATCCTCTGTAATCCCATCTCCCAAAGATAATCACCATTAACATTTTGGCATGTATATTATACAATACTCCCATGAAGTACAGATATTCTTGCTCATTTTGTGGCTGGGGAAATTCAGGCCTACAGAGGTCAAGCATCTAGATAAAAACCACTGAACTAGTAGAATCAGAATTTGAACTCTGGTTCTTTCATTTGATGACTGTTTATTGAGAAGGTAATAGATATTAGCATTGTTCTGAGAAATGGGATGGCAGGTCCTAAAGGAATAAGACAGATGAGGTTTTTGTCGCCATGAACCTTCAGTCTAGTGAGAAAGCCGATCAATACATAGGTAAGTGATCTCTGAAAGTGACAAGAGCCATGTAGAAAATAAAAATAAGTAAATGATCTCCAAAAATGAAAAGAACTATGTAGAAAATAAAAATAAGGCACTTGCATGTTAAGTGACTGTCACTGGGGAAGGTAGTAACTTGGAATGGGTCAGAGAAGGGTTATTTGAGGAAATAACATTTTCATTTCTTAAACACTTAAGTGGTGTTTACTGTATGCTGATCACTATTTTTTTAAACAACTGTTAATGTATTGAAACCTCAAAAAACCCTATGATGTAGGGATTGTTACCATTCTTATTACAGATGAGGAAACCGGGACTGAGTAACTTTTCTAAGAAGTGGTGAGGTGGTGAAACCCAAGATTTAGATCCAAGGCAGTTTGGCTCCCAAAGACGTGCTTGTGGCCATTACTCTCCACTGCCTCTGTTTGGGCTGAGATCTGAATGACAAGGTGCCATCCATGTAAAGATCGGCAGAGAATGCTCAAACAGAAGGGACAGCAGGGGCCAAACCTCAAGTTTGCTCAGCATGCCTGAGGATCAGAAGGAATGCCATTGGCTCTTCGAGCCAGCTTGCAGAGGGCCTTTGGATTTTATCTTAAGTGTAGTAGGAAGAAATTGGAGGTTTTCATCAGAAAAGTAACTCAATCAAATTTGCATTTTAAAGTGATCCCTTTGCCTATTGAATAGAGAATAGATTTAGGGGCACAAGTCAGAAAGGATCCATGGACCAGATAGGGGTTCAGATTGATAATGAAGGTGATTTGTGCTAGGACAGTAGCCAAGGAGATGGAAAGAAATGGAAAATAAAATTGATCTAAAGTTACACTTGTTCCATTTAAAGCTCACTACCTTAGAGAAAAGCATTTTGGTAAAAATTCTTTGCTAAGCAAGGCAAGATCACCTTGTGGGGTTGGGTGGGAGGCATAAAATGGATAGGGCTGGTCTTTTACAAGTCATGAGCTAGAATCAGTGAGAGAGTTTATCACAAAGGCACAGAAAGTAATAACATCAAATACTGAGTGAATAGCTAAGGTTTCCCTACCTCTCTTCTAAGCTCTTTGCATATACTAACTCCCGGAGTCCTCAAACAGTCCTATGAGTAAGGGGTTTTCATTAATCTCACTTTACAGACAGGTTGAGTAGTCAAGGCCATAAAGCTGTTAAGGGGCAGAGCTAAGCCTTCCACCCAGGCAGGCTGGCTCAAAACCATGGCTGTTAGCCACTATGCTGACCTGCTTTTGAGAGATGTCTACCAATCCAACCAACAGTCTAGACAGAAACCGGGTGGCTGGTAAACACATACCCAGCAATGGCAGCAAGGGCCTTTTATTGTTTTCTAACAAGAGTAATTTTTGTTTTAAAAAGAACAATAGGGTACAAACTGTCCTTTCAGAGCTGCATTTCACACACACACACAAAATCCCATTTGTGAAGCCACAGCTCACCTCATCAGTTCTACACCCGTTTCAACAATAAGCAGGGGATACCAGCTACATATCAAGGCTTCAAGGTTGTGTACCATGCCTAGGTACTTTGGATAGTTGGTCAACTTAAAATTTTTTAAAAACCTCCAGAAAACTCAATCTATGATTGCAGATGATGAAAATTATAACCCAACACATCACTTTGAGCTAAAGAATTACCTCCTCAAAGGTAGCATATTAATTGCATTCTGATGGAGAAGACATTTCTATCAGCAGATAAGAATTGAAAGTGAAAGTAAGAATTTAGTGAATAATAAGAAATATCTACAAGAAACACATTTTGGAGCAAGTATGCTTAACAACAGGCATCTTCTTATTTACATACTTGCTTTAGTTGCCAATGAAAGTTTTCATATCAGTGAGCTACTAGATTTCATGTTCATAACATAACATATATTTAATGTGTATATATTATGCCAGCCTATACTAGGGAAATGATATAGAGAAGATACAAGGAGATTTAAGATTTAATTCTTTCCCCCCAGAAGTCTATACTCTAACCATAAAAACAAACCATATACATTTACCTGTACAATTCGAGGGACTTTAATTCATGCTATAAATGTTAAAGAAAGGCCAAGGAGGGACTTATCATGCCTGCTGGGCTGATCAGGCAAAGCTTCTCAGAAAAAATGGCATTCTCATTGGGCCTTGAAGGATGCATGGGAATTTGATAAGGAGAGAGGAAGAGACTTTCTGGCTTCAAAAACACTAGGAATGTTCGTGGAATGGTGGCAGAACAGCCCAACTAGAGCAAGAAAATGGGTATTATGGGCTGAACTATGTGCCCCAAAATTCATAAGTTGAAGCCCTAACCCCAAAAACTTCAACATGTGCATTTGGAGACAGGGACTTTAAAGTGATGTTTAAGTTAAAATGAGGCCATTACAGTGGACCCTAATCTAATCTAACTGGTGTTCTTATAAAGAAGAGGACACAGAGACACCAGGGATGTGTGCACACAGAGGAAAGACCATGTGAAGATTTAGTGAGAAGGCAGTCATATTCAAGCCACAGAGAGAGGCCTCAGCTTTGCTGACACCTTGATCTTCAAATTCTAACCTCCATAAACTTCTGTGTTTAAGCTACCCACTCTATGGTGCTTTGTTATGGCAATCATAGCAGACTAATACATGGGTATAAGAAGGCAGAGGGAGGGGCTGGGCGCGGTGGCTCACGCCTGTAATCCCAGCACTTTGGGAGGTTGAGGTGGGCGGATCACGAGGTCAGCAGATCGAGACCATCCTGGCTAACACGGTGAAACCCCGTCTCTACTAAAAATATAAAAAAATTAGCTGGGCGTGGTGGCGGGTGCCCGCAGTCCCAGCTACTCAGGAGGCTGAGGCAGGAGAATGGCGTGAACCCAGGAGGCGGAGCTTGCAGTGAGCCGAGAGCATGCCACTGCACTCCAGCCTGGACGACAGAGGGAGACCCCGTCTCAGAAAAAAAACAAAACAAAACAAAACAAAACAAAACGGCAGAGGGAGAAAAAACTGGATTTGGAGTTTGGTGATTTGGGCAAGGTTGAGGGCCACCATCTCACCTTGCTCTTCACCCCAACTACATCGATGTCCTACCTAGGTGTGCTGCCGGTCACAAGATGGCACGTCAGAAGATGTGAGTGAATCAATATGATAATAAACTGGCAGGTATTCAACTGACTGCCCAGACTCTAGCATGTGGGAGTAGCTCTGTAAATGTTGATTGAAGTAATGAATAAATGCATGAAGTAGACTCCAGTCAAAAATGCAGATGGAAAGTGATATTTGACAAAGGCAGCCAGGGAACACGTTAACTCCTTGTTTCTCTAGATTCACTCTTTTATCCATTTACTCTTTTTTAGTTTTTTTTAATGTCCCTTATTCTTACTTAATTTTAGTAAATGTATTTGTCTTCCCCTACTAGAATTAAAGCTTGATTAGAATGGGCCTGGGCTTTCTTTTTTTTTTTTTTTTTCCACTCAGTGCCTATAACAATGACATAGAGGACCTTCAGTAAATATTTGTTGATTGAATTAGTAAAGGCATCATTTTCCTTTCATATTGAGTGTTTAAAGCTTTATGAACTTGGATTGAATTAACTCAGCACTCAGATTTCAGTAATATAAGAATATATGTTTTATAACTTATAATGAGTTTTTAAACGTATCATCTCATTTGCTTCTCACAACAATTTTGTAAGGTTCAAAAGGTTTAAGTGTTCTTAAGCTCACATGGGTACAACTGGGACTCAAACTCAGTTTTCTAAGAACTTATCTAATGCTCATTTCACTAAACTATGTTGTTTCCTTAATGGCTTTATTGAGTTATTATTTAATAATTCTATTGTGAATCAATAAAAGAAATAACAAAGATTATCTCTGTATTACCTGCTGAATTGCTGTTGAGGACATTATATACTAATAATCAGAGTTCCTTATATTAGGAATCAATAGGAATTTAGTGCTAGGAACAAGTCTAGGTCTCCTGAAAATTGATGTTTCCTCTTACCAGACAAAACCTGATAAATTATGGAATTTCATTTTTTGTCTTGCCTGTTAGGAAGCACAGAAGTTGAATTAGTGCCTACTTGCAGTAATAATCTAATTTATTGTCCAATTACAATCTTCCCCTCCTACACATGATTTCTGATCATCGTTTTCATTTTAACCAATTATGTATATGGATACACAGTTTTTATTATTATCTGTAGCAAACCATTCTCAGAAGTAGCTAGAGTAGAAAAGATAGAAAATAGGCAGTAATTAGCACTAGTCAAATGCTTATCATAGGCCAGGGGCCATATTTGTACCTTATATATATATATTACTTTATTTCATCATCAAAAAACCAAAATTGCATGTTACCAGAGAAACCAAATGCTACAATACAGCATGATGAAATTAATGTTCTGAATTATGAAAGCACATGACATGTGCCTTCTCCCTACTTCCTCAGCTATCACCCCGGTAGGAGCCTCCTTCACCTCTCACCTCCATTATTTCAATACTCTCCTAATTAGACTTCCTGCTTCCACCCTTGCCCTTTTAGTCTATTCCCCAGAGAGCAGCTAGACTTAGCTAGACAAGAGCCAGATTGTGTCACCCCTCTACTCAAAATTCTCCAATGACTTCTTATCTCACTCTGGGTAAAAGCCAAAGTCCTTCCAAAAAGCCACAAGGCCCTGCAAGATATGGCCCCTGCTGTGTCTTTGGCCTAATCTCCTGAGGCTCTCTCCCTCCTTCACTCTGCTCCTTGGCCACACTGATCTCTTGCTGTTCCCTGAATATTCCATTCACCTGTTTACCTCATGGTCTTTGCATTTGCTGTTCCCCAAAGCTGGAATATTCTTGCTTTAGATATGGCATGCTCTCTCATCACCTTCAAGGGTCAAATGTCACCTTCTCAGTGAGGGCTTCTTTGCTCTCCTTGCCAGCTCCTCCCTCAACACTCCCTGTTCTCCTTCTTAGTTTATTTCACCTGAGCACATTTAACTAACATACTATTTATTTATGTAGAGTTTATTTATATTGACTGTGTCTTACCCCACAATAAAGACTGCAAAGGCAGGCATTTTCTGTCCATCTTGTTCTTTGCTATGTCCCAATCAACTGGAAAAGTGTTTTGGGCCAGGTGTGGTGGCTTACACCTGTAATCCCAGCACTTTGTGAGGCCAAGGCAGGCAGATCACCTGAGGTCAGCAGTTTGAGGCCACCCTGGCCAACATGGTGAAACCCCATCTTTACTATAAGCACAAAAATTAGCCAGGTGTGGTGGCACATGCCTGTAATCCCAGCTATTTGGGAGGCTGAGGCATGAGAATCACTTAAACCTGGAAGGCAGAGGTTGCAGTGACCTGAGATCGTGCCACTGCACTCCAGCCTGGGCAACGGAGCAAGATTCTGTCTCCAAAAAAAATAAAATAAAACAGAAAAGTGTTTGGCATGAAAATATTTATTGGGCATAAAGTAGGTGCCCAATAAATATTTTCTGAATTAATGAGGCAATGTGGGGGGAGGAGAAAAACATACCACATTTTGCAAATATACAAATGTTCAAAATGCCTTTGTATATTTGCAGATACACAAAATGTTCAAAACAAACATATTTACTGTATTATTAAACTGGTCTTCCAAATGCCTTCCTTCTACCACATATGAAAACTATCAGGTAAATTAACTTGTGACTGGCTGCATAGAAAGTAATTATCTATGCAATTTTGGTATATGGATTTTTCAGATGTACAGGGCATCTTTGGCTAGGTGAGCTGAAGCCCCAACCATGCTACTATGGATAGTTCATTTCTTCCCAACACCCCATTCGCAACTCTTTTCCATTTATCAATATCCATGGGAACTTTTGTTTTATAACTAGAGAAGGTGAAATAATTGGGTTTGGAGGGATGGGAGCTAGAAGCAGAGAAGAGAAAAGGAGGCAGGGATCATTTCTATGTGTTCATTACTGCATCTCAGCTTCTGGAAAAGTACCAGGCACATACTAGGCAATCAACAAAGATTTGTTGGTTGAATTGTTCATATGGTCCTTTGGTCTGAATTTTTATGGTTGGAAAGATGAAGACCAGAGGTCAGAACCTTTTTTTAGGAGACTTTTGAGACACTGAGTAACACATTCTCCTCACCTTTGCCTAGAGGCCTGGCAGCTTTGGAAGCTTTGGGAGGTAGCACCCCTGGAGGGACACTGGCATGCCAGATGTGAGCAGTTCCAGCAGTGGTTCCTCTTCAAGGGGCTCTTGGGCACAAGAAATGGGAAGTCGAAGGCTCCTCACACTGGCTGTAGCTGAATGACTGGACTGGGGACACACATGAGACACCCATTTGGGACCTCCCAGAAATAAATAACAAGGATTTTGAGGATACGGGGTGTGTGACTCTATCAGCTGGTGATGTAGGTTTGAGTTTCATGTGACATCATAATTTAGATTTGGAAGGAGCTTTAGAATCATCTCAACTAACTAGATGTTTCATCCAGAAGTTTCTTTTGTCTTCATGGAAGAACAAACACATTAAGTACGATATCATTTATCCTTCCCTTTCTCTCACATGTGTGTCTTTGAGTTTATTGAGATTATTGTAAATCCATCTCACCCTCCACCCCTCAGCTATCTGTGTTGAGAACTGCTACCTGTCAAACTTTCTTGCTCTTGCTGGAGATAAGAGCATTTGTTCCTCTCCACTTCGTGTGTGCCTCACTGTTGAGACTCCTGCCAAGTTATCTTCTTGCAGTTTTAATTGCTAGTCTTAGTATGGGGCGGCTCTCCTTCTCCTTTAGAAGAAAAAAAGCATTCATTTAATTTCTAACCCAATTAAACCATGAGCTCATGAGCTCATGCTCTGTGGGCCACAGTGATGGGCTCTGGAGACATGAGCAGAATAGAAATTGCCAACATTAACATGACTGCCTTCCCAGGAACACATTCCCCATCCAGGAATGACTAACACAGGGTGAGATTATGTTTGTGCTCCAGTAGCTTTCTTCAATTAATTAATCAGCAGGTACACATTCAAAAACAAGCTTCTGAAAGTGTTGAGGACTTGCTGGCATTCTTGGGAATGCCAGGGCAATAACCCAGGAGTTTGAGAGGAGCTTAGTACTAACAGCCTAATGATTCTTAGGCTGACCCCTCCCAGCTCCCTGCCTTTAGAAGGAATTTTATTCCCCTTCTAAGAGAGTTACATGGATAATCAACTGGGCCTGGGAGTTGGATCAAAGTAGAAAATTCCTGTGTGATCTGCTCCTGGTAGAAATGGAAGAAGAACTCTTCCTAAGCCTGCCCCGGGTTTGGGGGAAAAAATGGCCAGTGGCTACAGGGGCAGCTATGAGTTGCAGAGGAACACTGGGCCAGGAGCCAAGAGATGGGGGCTATTTAAGTGCTTGTCACCTCTCAATTCTATGCTCTTCAGTTTCCTTTTCTATAAGACAAGATGGCTATGCCAGAGGATCTCAGAGGTCCTAGTGGTCTTGCTTCTCTCTGAATGTGGGCATCAAACAATGGCACTTAGACATTTGCTGGGTGCTTGGTCTTTCTCTTTCTCTAATCTGCCTCCCACCACCATTTTCTGCCAACATGGAACATTAATATTATGAATACATTTCTTTGAGTATGGCAGTTTATTGAGGCTTCTTGAGTCCAAGAGAAGGGATTAGGGATAGAGAAACAGATATGCCATATGGTGCAAGCGGGAAGAGAGAAGGGTGATGTGGGGGGAGTGAGGCAAGAGAACCAGAGACATCTAGACTTGGTGGAATGGGCAAAATTATATGACTGGAGGAAAATTTATCTCCCAAGCTGATCAAAGCTGGATTCTCTAACTACACTCCACATTCCCTGTAAGGAAAGGAACCAAAAGAAAAAACAATAACCCAACTGATATGGTTTGGCTCTGTGTCCCCACCCAAATCTCACCTTGAATTGCACTCCCATAATTCCCATGTGTTGAGGAAGAGACCCTCTGGGAGATAATTGAATCACAAGGGTGGTTTCCCCATAATGTTTTTGTGGTAATGGATAAGTCTTATGAGATCTGATGGTTTTATGAGGGGTTTCCACTTTTGGGGCTTCCTCATTCTCTCTTTGCCTGCTGCCATCCACATAAGATGGGACTTGCTCCTCCTTGCCTTCCACTATGATTGTGAGGCCTCCCCACCCCTGTGGAACTGTGGGTCCAATTAAACCTCTTTCTTTTGTAAATTGCCCAGTTTTGGGTATGTCTTTTTGTTGTTGTTGTTGTTGTTGTTTTGGGTATGTCTTTATCAGCAGCATGAAAACGGACTGACGCAGTAAATTGGTACCCGTAGAGTGGGGCATTGCTGAAAAGATACCCAAAAATTTGGAAGGAACTTTGGAACTGGGTAACAGGCGGAGGTTGGAACAGTTTGGAGGGCTCAGAAGAAGACAGAAAAATGTGGAAAAGTTCGGAACTTCCTAGAGACTTGTTGAATGGTTTGACAAAAATGCTGATAGCGATATGGACAATAAGGTCCAGGCTGAGGTGGTCTCAGATGGAGATAAGGAACTTGTTGGGAACTGGAGCAAAGGTGACTCTTGTTATGTTTTAGCAAAGAGACTGGTGGCATTTTTCCCCTGTCCTAGAGATTTGTGGAACTTTGAACTTGAGAGAGATGATTTAGGATATCTGGCGAAAGAAATTTCTAAGCAGCAACGCACTCAAGAGGTGACTTGAGTGATGTTAAAAGCATTCAGTTTTAAAACGGAGACAGAGCATAAAAGTTTGAAAAATTTGGACCCTGACCATGTGATAGAAAAGAAAATCCCATTTTTTGAGGAGATATTCAAGCTGGCTGTAGAAATTTGCATAACTAACAAGGAGCCAAATGTTAATCCTCAAGACAATGGGGAAAATGTCTCCAGGGCATGTCAGAGGTCTTCACAGCAGCCCCTCCTATCACAGGCCTAGGAGGAAAAAGTGGTTTTGTGGGCCGGGCCCAGGGTCCCCACCTGTGTGCAGCCTAGGGACTTGGTGCTCTGTGTCCAAGCAGCTCCAGCTATGGTGGAAAGGGGCTAACATAGAGTTCAGGCCATGGCTTCAGATGGTGCAAACCCCAAGCCTTGGCAGCTTCCACGTGGTGTTGGGCCTGTGGGTGCACAGAAATCAAGAATTTAGGTTAGGGAACCTCCGCCTAGATTTCAGAAGATGTAAGGAAACACCTGGATGCCCAGGCAGAAGTTTGCTGCAGGGGTGGGCCTCTCATACAGAACCTCTGCTAGGACAGTGTGGAAGGGAAATGTGGGGTCAGAGCCCCCACACAGAGTCCCTACTGGGGCACCACCTAGTGGAGCTGTGAGAAGAGGGCCACCGTCCTCCAGACTCCAGAATGGTAGATCCACAGACAGCTTGCACTGTGCACCTGGAAAAGCCGCAGACACTCAATGCCAGCCTGTGAAAGCAGCTGGGAGTGGGGCTATACCCTGCAAAACCACAGGAGCAGAGCTGCCCAAGACCATGGGAACCGACCTCTTGCATCAGTGTGACCTGTATGTGAGACATGGAGTTAAAGGAGATCATTTTGGAGCTTTAAGATTTGACTGCCCCAATGGATTGCAGAGTTGCATGGGCCCTGCAGCCCCTTTATTTTGGCCAATTTCTCCCATCTGGAATGGTTGTATTTACCCAATGTCTGTACCCCAATTGTATCTAGGAAATAACTAGCTTGCTTTTGATTTTATAGGCTCATAGGTGGAAGGGTCTTGCCTTGTCTCAGACGAGACTTTGGACTGTGGAATTTTGAGTTAATTCTGAAATAAGTTAAAACTTTGGGGACTGTTGGGAAAGCATGACTGGTTTTGAAATGTGAAAAAATGAGATTTGGCAGGGGCTAGGGGCAGAATAATATGGTTTGGCTCTGTGTCCCCACCCAAATCTCATCTTGAGTTGCACTCCCATAATTCCCATGCCTTGTAGAAGGGACCCGGTGGGAGATAATTGAATCATGAGGGTGGTTCCCTCATAATGTTCTCATGGTAGTGAATAAGTCTCACAAGAGTTGATGGTTTTATCAGGTGTTTCCACTTTTACAGCTTTCTCATTCTCTCTTTGCCTGCTGCCATTCATGTAAGACAGGACGTGCTCCTCCTTGCCTTCCACCATGATTGTGAGGCTTCCCCAGCCACGTAGAACTGTAAGTCCAATTAAACCTCTTTCTTTTGTAAATTGCCCAGACTCAGGTATGTCTTTATCAGCAGGGTGGAAACAGACTAATACATCAACCTTCAATAGGAAGGTGAAAATAGCATGGGATGCCAAAATATCCCTGGCCACAAGAATCAGGGCCCAGAAGATGGGCCATTGGCTAAAGAAAGAGATTGACCCCTGAAAGAACTCTCTAGTGGTGCAAACCTGTGACCAGATCCTTGTGTAATGTGAAGGCTTGTTTGTGACTTTCCACAACTGATTGCAGGGATCTCTTTAATCTCAATCTCTCTCATACTCTGTCTCTCTCCCCCACCCCTACCTCCCCCTATGCATTCCCACACAGCACCAATGAGATGTGTCCTTGAACCAATAACTACATGTACAGTTTTACAGTGGGTAATATGAGATGTGCTGATGGAGAAGGAAAAATGTGAGAGTGTATTGTTTAATAGTAAAATCTCCCCACATTTTACAATTGGCTGTTAAGAATAATAACCAAGGCAATAGTAGAACATATTGCAGAAATTCAATATGTATTTGAATAATGAAGAGGGTATTTTCATTCACTAATTAATTCAATTAATGAGAGAACTTAAAACTCATCTATTTTCATAGGCCCTGTCCTATGGTGGGACAGGTTCCCTGTTCTCTGATAGCATAGCTTACTATTTTTTTTCTGGGACATCTCTACAAATTCATTCCTTTTTGAATAAATCAAATAAGTGCCTCTCTAACATTTAGACCTTCATATGAAGGCCTCCTTATTTAGGCCTCCTTATGAAGGCCTTCCACCTAGGCCTTCGTAAGGAGGAGAAAGGCTTGGAAAAGTACTGTCTGAAGGCTATTTTACTCTGTATTGCCACCAGCCAGCCTAAAATGCTGAGAAACAAATGTTCTCAATCATTTGTATAGTTTGGTAGGCTTATTTTCTCACAGCTGTGTGAGATAAAAACAAGTCACTGATTTTTTCCTGAGTAAACCAAATTCTAATTGGAGAGTCTATATCAGAAAAGAATCTACTTAAATGCACATATTCTTGTTTAGTACTCTTTGACATGCACGAATGAAAGACAATATTCTGTTATTTTGTCTTGCTCTCTCTCCTAGTAACCATGACAGAAAGCTATCAGGGTGTGTGTGAACAACACCCATATAAAATTATGACAATGTATTGCTGAGCAAGGTTCTTTGAGTAAGTCAAGAAATGCAAAAATCAAAGTTCTCATAAGTACATTAACTTTTTGCATAAACATTTCCCACTCTAAACCTTATCATTGCAGGTTCCTGTATCTCATTTCCTGGATATCTAGGGATGATTCTCTGGGCTGAGAACAGGGTATCTTGAAGCACTACAGAAACGGTAGTTGTGCTCTCCTGAAAATACAGAATTTAGAAGGTTAGAAGGAAATAGATCACGTCAAAGCAGCCCCTCTCTGTAGATTACACACATCAGGTCAGAGGGATTGGACATACGTATCCCAAATAGAAGGAGGCAATGGGTGCCCACTCCCAGACCATTCCAGTAATGCATCTAGGTGTCTCAAGCTCTTCTATAGAGAGAACATACTTGGAGCACCAAGCAATAATAAACATCAAAATATCCTTAGCAAGGCAGTAAAATGTGGGAAATTTTATTTCCAGAATTATAATATTCTGTAAGTTCCTTGGGGATAAGGGAATGAGTCTCTCAAGACTGCTAACTGCCTTCTAAGTGATGGGTCCATTTAACTGCAGGCATTTTGCTTTGCAAGAACAACGGGCCCATTTGGGACAGGGCTAAATTTGTTTGGGACAATTGACAGTGTGTGCTATCTGCCACCAGCTGTTTTCTTTCTTTGCCGTTTTCCATGGAGCATCCATCCTCTCCTCTAAATAAATGATGAGCAAATATTTAATAAATACAGGTTTGAAGAACAGCCAGATTATTAGTCTGCAGCCTGGCTGACCCTGGCAGGCCACTAAGTGAAAAATCTTTTTGGTTTACTCTCCTCTATCTCACACTACCACACCTTTCTCTACAGTAGATTCCTGTGGTTCCAGATTTCATAACTGTTCACAGACATCCCCTCCTCTCAATTTGGTAATCTTTGTCCAGATAACCTATGAAAAAAAAAATTATAAAATCCTATAAGAAGACATAGCATGGCCCAAATCTTTGGTTCCAAGACCCCTGGCTCCCAAAATACTCTGGGTTGATGCCTAAACACCACATTCCATCTCAACAGGAAAATTAGACAGCAGAGTTCACAGCAGAGAATTAAATGCTGGAAATCAGAAGACTCAATTTCTAGTTCTAGTTAAGCCACTAAGTGGCTAAGTGACCCTAGTCATCAGGTCAGAGATAGTGCTCACCAAAAACTCATGTGTTCCTCTAACTTCCCCAGCCCCCCTGCAGTTGGGTTGGGATACAGTGACTAGAGTTTGCTGATGAAATGTGAACAGAAGTCATCTGTGTCACCTTCAGAACAAGGCAGTGAGGAGCCAGTGTGCCTCCTCAGTCTGTCTCTTGCCCTCCTCTGTGACCTTGGAGGCCTCATGTTCCAGATGGCATAGCTACAAGATGGAGAAAGACCACTGAGTCGCATCTAATTGTGACATGAAAAATACCGTTTTATTGTGTTAAGTCATTGATATATTGTGGTTTCTCTGGTGCAGCCAGCATTAAGTCACTAATACAGTCACTTAGCCTTTCTGTGACCCAGCTTTTTTATCCAGTCCCAATATACTGAACCACATTGAAAGAAGATGAAATGAAACCCCAGAGATAAAATTGCTTCAAAATAATAAGTTATTATTACATAAATGACCTCATGATCTCTTGGGTGCAAGAGCCACTCAATTCAAATGGCTTCTATTAAATGTGAAATATGCTTACCATTGTGAAAGAGTCTCTAATGCCATGGTGATGGAGGCTTTAAGGGGGTCTTCTCTCTTTGTGAACCCACATTTTCTGCAGAGTCTGGCTATGTGGGACACAACAGATATTGCTAAGTAACCAAATGGGGCTACCAGAGGTAAAAACTGGGTCTCCGCAGAGCACACCATCTTTCTGTGACTGGTCACCAAAAAGCTGACCAACAGATTCGGAGCAGTCCTGATGGAGAGTTTCCTTGTCAACCAATGGATGGTGACATTTTCAAATTGCCCTAAAGAAGCTGCTTGAAAATATATAACCATGAGATTTGGGGTTAGAAGAGTTTTTAGAGGCCATTAAATTGAGTTAAAATATAAAGTAAGTTGTTTTTTTTTTTACCGACAGATATAGTTAATTTTATGGATGTATATTTGGCAATTAAAAATTGTATATATTGAAGGTGTGTAGTTTGATAATTTTATATGTATATAAGCTAATTAACATGCTGTCTCCTCAGATAATTACCATTTTCTTTTTGGGGGAAATGAGGTGCAAGAACACTTGAGATCTATCCTCCTAGCAAATTTCAAGTATACAATAAAGTATTGTTAACTATAGTCCCTTTGTTGTATGTTAGATCTGAACTTATTCATCCTGCATAACCGAAACTTTTGACCAACATCTCCCCATTTCCTCTTCCCTCAGTCCCTGTGAGTTTGTCTTTCTGTGTCTGGCCTGTTTCATTTTGAATAATGTCCTCCAGGGTCATCCATGTTTTCACAAATGGCAGAATTTTCTTCTTTTGGGGCTAAATAATATTCCATTGTATATATAATACACCACATTTTCTTTAACTTTTCATCCACTGATGGGCATTTAGGTTGTTTACATATCTTGACTATTATGAACAATTCTGAAATGAACATGGGAAAACAGGTATCTCTTTGAAATCCTGATTTCATTTCTTTGGATATACACCCAAAAGTAGGATTGCTGGATCATAACATATTATTGTTTTAACTTTTTGTGGAACCTCCATACTGTTTTTGCATAATGACTGTAACCATTTACAATCCCACCAACTATGTACATGGGTTCCCTTTTCTCAGCATTCTTGCCAACACTGTTATCTCTTCTGTTAACAGCCATTCCAGCAGGTGAGAGGAGTGGTTTTGATATGCATTTTCCTGATGACTAGTGATGCTGAGCATCTTTTCATATATCTGTTGAGCATCTGTATGTCTTGTTTGGAGAAATGTTGATTCAGGTCTTTTGCCCATTTTTCCATCAGGTTTTTGGGGAGTTTTGCTACTGAGTTGCACAAACTCCTCATGTATTTTGAATATTAACCCCTTCTCTAATCTATGGTTTGTAAATATTTTCTCCTACTCTTTTTCACCCTGTTGATTGTTTCCTTTGCTTTGCTGAAGACTCTTAGTTCAGTGCAAATCCCATTTGTCCATTTTTGCTTTTGTTGTCTGTGATTTTAGTGTCAAATCCAAAAAATCATTGCCCAGACCAATATAAAGATTTTTCCCAGTGAAATTTCTTCTAGTAGTCTTATATTTAAGTCTTTAATCCATTTTGAGTTGACTTTTGTATAAGGTGTGAGTTTAAGGTTCCATGTTGTTCTTCTGGGTATGAATATCCAGTTTTCCTAACATCATTTATTAAAGAGACTATTTTCCCCCATTTTATGTTCTTGGCACTATTGTTGAAGATCAGTTGGCCATGAATGCATGGTTTTATTTCAGGCTCTATAGTCTGTTCCATTGGTCTATATGTCTGCTTTTATGCCAGTACTGTACTGTTTTGATTACTGTAGCTTGGTAATATATTTTGAAATCAGAAAATGTGAGGCCTCCAGCTTTGTTCTTGCTCAAGTTTGCTTTGGCTATTTGGGGTCTTTTGTGGTTTCATATGAATTATAAGATTGTTTTTCTATTTTTGTAAAAAATTATACAGAAAGTTTAACTCTTCCAATGATGGACTCATTTTCCTAATAGAAATTCCATTCCATTAGTGCAGCTATTTTATAAATCCCTTCTTTTATTTTACTTAAATAATTATCCTGCATCTTCAATCTACTGTTCAGGTGTTTGATGTTTAGAGCAATACAAATAAGTCTATTTTCTTTGCAACATGACAATTTTTCAGATACTTGAGAATAATTTTAACTCCCTCTTTAGGCTTCTATTCTGCATGTTAAATCTGTTCAATTTATTTTACAAGTTTGCACATTACATTTTATTTTATTTTATTCCCTGAAATTATTTGTGCTGAATCTCTTTCCAAAGTTTTAAAGTGACAAACAAAAGGATAAAGCAGATATACCAATTCAAGGGCTAATGCAGTTGCTGAATTTGAATTTCAAATATGAAACTGAGTTTCCTGGCAGCAAAGACAATAAGGAAAATAGAATGAGCTTACATAGCTCTGAGTACCAGGAAGAGGAAGCACCACAAAAATTATTTCTACTCTCTTTGTCATCCTTGACATCTTTCTCTAAAAGCCTTTAGCTTATCAGTGTCTTTCCTAAACTGCCATAAACAGAAATGAACACAATCCTTCAGATATCATTTGCCCAGAACAAGCTTCTGAAAGTAAATTAAAAGCTATTTCCTCTTTTTTTTTTTTTTTTTTTGGCAGGGTCTTACTCTGTCTCCCAGGCTGGAGTGCAGTGGCATGATCTCGGCTCACTGTGCCCGCCCCATCCAGGATTCAAGCAATTCTCCCTCCTCAGCCTCCCAAGTATCTGGGACTACAGGCATGCACACCACACCTGGCTAAATTTTGTATTTTTTGGTAGAGACAGGGTTTCCCTATATTGGCCAGGCTGGTCTCAAACTCCTGACCTTAAGTGATCCACTCGCCTTGGCCTCCCAGAGTGGTGCTGGAATTACAGGCATGAGCCACCGCACCCAGCCCTAACTATTTTTTGTGGACCAAGAATGTACAAGATGCTTAACATATATGATCTGTAATTCTCATATTAGCCTTGCAAAATAGATATGAATACCTCCATTTCACAAATAAGTAAAACAAGAAATTAAGTAACTTACCCAAAGTCACACAATTATTACAGATTCGGGTCTGTCTGGATTCAGATCTTGTATTCTTTTTATTATTCAATGACAAATTCTCAACCAAAAGGATTATATGATTTCTAAAGGTGTCTCACTAAAAACTACAGGCATGTTGAGTCAGAGGGAAAATATGGTTGAATGTTTTGGATCTGACATTTTCTTAAAAGCCAACACTGGTAACTGTTTTCATCTTCTTCCGGCATCTTAAGGAATCACAGAAACACATGTGAGTCGGGGGTGGTTTTGTTTTGTATACTGCAGCCATTACTCATTTTTTGGGACATACTCAATGCATACTGGATTTGGATCCACTGGGCTTTGTCAAACACAGGTGCTCATGCATTGATTCAAATTTGGGTTGGCAGAGTAAATATTCAATACGGAGGTTCACATCTCTAAAAGCGTATGGAAAGTATATTAAGAACTACAATACATAAGAGGGGAATGGGGAAATCTTCTCCCTATTGACTAGAGGCCTCTCAGATCAAGGCTTTTTTCTCCATTTCCAGGGTCACTGACTCAGGCCAGGCCCTTATTATCTCTCATCTTTAATGCTACAATAGCTTCCCAACTATCTGCTGTGCCTCAGGCCTCTACCCTAATCTATTCCATTTTCCACATCCTCCCCAGGGTTATGTCCTTAAAAATAGTTCTGTCATGTCTTTTTCCTGTTTATAAACCACTGCCAATTTCCATTGCTCAAAAGATCAAATTAAAATCCTGTCACATGGCATACAAAACACTTTACTATCTGGTATTAATTTCTCATTCTAGTCTCATCTCCTTTCCTTTCTCTGTAATACCCCAAGCTCCAGCCCCACCGAACTTCTCAACATTCCACACAATGCCTTTTCACTACTCTGTGTCTTTGCATGAGTTGTTTGCTCTTCCTAGAAATGCTCTCCCGCCTTCCCTCACCTGGAAAACTTCTACTCATTTAAGATTCAGCTTAAAAGTTGCCTCTTCTATTAAGACTTATTTTCCCAGTCAAAATTAGTCACTCCCTCTTCTAGGATCTCATAGTCCTATCTCTAATAAATTATTTATTATTTGTTTTACATTTCTTTATATCCCCACCTGACTCCTTTACAGCAGTAATATATATTGTTCAAACATACACCCTTAAAGTCTATAAGAGAAAGTCTGCAATAAATGTTTGTTGAGTGAATGTCCCCATCGCTGTGGTTAAATTGTATATGCACCACCAGAAGTTGAACAGACTCCAAAACTGAATTCAGATGGCTTCTGTGAATGAAGTTACTCTAGATAAAGGGGTAAGGGATGACAACCATCATTCATTCATAGAAATAACACAAACTCAAAACTACATTTGAGGGTCACCCAAAATATATTAATAGTCATGATGACTCACATATAATGTCAGGAAGAAAAATCTGAATTATGACTTTTATAATAATGCTTATTTGGCTTTTTCTTATGATAAAATTTATATATAATTATTATGATAAAATTAAAGTAGATATGTAGATAAATAAAAACAGAAAAAATCACTCATAATTAAACCATCCAGGCAAAATTACCATTAACATTTTGGTGTACCTCTTTTCACACATACAAAAATTTGTATGTGCTTTATCACATAACAATATATCGTGAGTATTTTCCATTTAATTACATTTTATTCTAAACCATGACTATATATCAGCCCGTTTTGTGTGTGCATATACAATAATGAATTTATCTACTTCTATTCTTGGACATAAAGGTTGCTTCCAACTTTTCAGTATTGTTAATAGTGCCAAAAATTATCCCTGTAGCTACCAATACTTCATATCAAAAGATTGTGCTAATTTCCCAGTAACAAGTCAAGTATGAGTGCCTGTTTATCTAAAACTCTTGCTAACTATGAGCATTTAGGCTGTGATCTTTAACTAGAAAAGAGCAAATCTAATCAACTATACGGTATTTTGTATCTAATAAAAATAATTATTTTCAGAATGGGGATGGGGGATAAGGCACCTGTAAACAGGATGGTCAAAGATAAAATCTGGTGATGCATCTGAGCCCATGAACACGAGTATTCTGTTTGTACAGCAGGAACCTTCTGAGGAAGATGAATGCCTCAGGGTCACCATGTTTGATGGTCCTGCCTCTCATGATCATCCACTTTCTCCACCTTTGGTCTCTGCTCACCTGGCTACATGCAGCCTCGGGGAAAAGCATAACCTTCTACCAACAAGAGCCCGATGGTCTTGTTAGGCTAACAACAAGGTAGTTCTCACTGTCAGTTGTCACTCTAATCCATGTATCAGTCACATGTCATAATTGTGTTAATGTGAGTCCATCTCCAGAAGACTTATTACCTCTGGCAAGGAATTTTCTGGACCAAAATTAGAGGTAAAACCTTAGATCGTTTCCAAACTTGCTGCCCAACAGTATCACTCAACCAAGGATATTTTGTTTTTTCATTATTTTTTTTTAATGTTGACTTCCAAGACCTGTCCCTGGAGATTCTAATTTGGGAGGTATGGGATAAGACCTAGGAATCTCTATTTTTTAAAGCTCCACAGCTGATTCTGATGTAAGCCAAAGACTGAGAACTATGGACCTAGACTGTGATGGCCTAACCAGGGTCCTTATCCTTCAAAGCTGGTCTAAGAGAGTAGCCAGCTTTCTCTAAGTAATAGCTTTTGTTTCTCTCTATGCCATTCTCAAATAGCAACAGGTTAAACCTAGGATAATAACGCCTAACGTGTCTTGTTCTTACTGTGTTCCTCACAATATTTCTGAGTCCTAAGGCTCAGTTTCCTCATCTGTAAAATGCAGTAACAACCTACATGTCAATACTTATGAAACAAAATAACTACTATGACAAGAAATATTATTTTAGTCAGAGCTTTCCTTTTCATCACAACTCTAAGCCTGGCTCTAAGCCTGAAACACAACATAGACAGAAAGTAGTAGTAGTAAGTGAACTTTTTTTTCAGTGGGCCAAACTCAAATGTTGAATTTGCAAAGCAGTTGTATGAGCTGTAGCAACTTTTGGAAAATGTCGTCTAAAACTCTTGTTGAAAATGGAGAAAATCTCACCTCTCCAGGACCTTTTCCTTTACTCTGCTTTGTCCCTGTAGGTCTCCTAGGGATTCTGCAAAAGCTGCTGTGGCTGTAACTCCCCGCTGGCTTCTCTAATGGCGAGAGTATGGCAACCTCTCTGAGGGTGGGACTTGGTTGGAGAATCTCCAAACCGGGCCAAAGCCAGCTGGGCTCTGCTGAAAATGAGGAAAGCCCAGTCAAGGCCTAATACCCAGCTACCACTCCAACTCCAAGCCCAAGTGCTCACAGCACCCGAAATGAAGAGAAAATTCAAAACAAATTCCTGCATTTTGTCCTAATCAGAATAGGAGTCCTTATGCCCTTGAAAAGATGAGGAGTTCAGAGAGAAAAGGGGGTGCTAGACAGCAATTCGGCAAGTAGAGAAAAGCAATGCATATGACTTTAGTTCTACAGAGTGGACCTATCTTCGATCTACTTTGTTATTGTAACTCAAATAACAAAAAGATGGTCTGATCATCTTATGATGGCCATCATTAGGCCTTGTGTTGGGACCCACTGCTCTTGCCTATACGATGGCAAGATCTTCTTTCACATTAGGGTGGAACCAGGACCACTTCATACATTCTAAAAGGCAGGCAGAGGATCCTAGGGACCAACCCAGTGCATACCCATATGCCAAACAAACCAGAGCACCCAAAGGCTCGAGATGGGGAGAACCAACCTACCATCCTGCACAACATGCTCATCCCCAGGACCAGACCAGGACTGGAGCAGGCCTGCCACCTGATCTCCTTCAGCTTTGCTCTTACCTCAGGCCTCACTCTGAAAGGTCTTAGCAGCAAAGGAGTTTCTAAGACTAAGAGCTGGGCACTGGAAGGCCCAGCACAAGTTCATGGAAAATACAACTCAAGCCTGAGGGAGAAGCCCTGCCTGCAGAGAACACAGTTATGCTGCATCTCACAACTACCCACCAAGTACTGGCCCTCCTATAATGATCCCATAGCAGTGGGTATCAGAAGGCTGCCTTTTCTTAGGGTCCTGGGTTCCTCCTTTGTCTTCCCACATCAGCCCCAGGAAGCCTGGGAATGCATGGGGATTAGAGTAGAGTCTGAAGAAGGAGAAGGGTGGGGAACCAATACTCAGCTGGGGAGAGACGAACTTTTACAGGTGAGCAAAAAATTGTCTGTGAAATATCTGCTCTCAGTGGGCCAAGGTGAGCATATTGCTGAGCTCTGTCTGTGACTAAGGATGGCTGGAAACATAAAATGCAGATAATTTTGAGTTTGTTTTTCTATTTCAATAAAGAAAAATATATATTTGGACTTTTTTTCTCCCTCTTTCTGGATGTAGCATTAGCTGGCTTCCTCCACAATAAGCCCCCAAATAGAACACATGCGTGAGAGGTGGGAGCATTGAGGACAGCCCAAAGACAAAATTAGAACCAAGTCCTGGGAGACAGCAGTATCCTAGACTTTTCACAAAATCTGCTTTCCAAATCCGGCTCCAATAACACTGCTCTTTTGCAAAACTGGCAACGGTTGCCACTGAGAATCTCAACAGTATATCATACTTGTCAATCTGGGTTCCTTGGCAATGATTCAACCTGTTGTGAACCCGGTATTTGCTTCTCTCCTCACCCCCACATTAGCTATCTCCCCTAGATCTCTTTGATTTCTTGTTTACTTCTCTCTTCTCTGTTTGTCTCATTGTTAGGAGGCCACAGCCAAATAACGGGAAAAGAAGGCAAGGCAGATGCTGCTTTTATTTTGTAGCTATTGATTATACGAAACACACCATCTCTGGGAAAAAAATGGGGCTAAATAACTGAAATAGGCAATTTGTAGAGACTAACCCTGTGTGGGCAGGGATACATTAGTTGAGCTCTAGTGTGCTCAGATCTCATTTCTGTGCTCAGTGATTCTCTTCATCTGGTTTGCTGATAAGTGAATCTCATCTTTCAAGACAGGCTATAAGTGTCAAATTATTTTTCTCTTCTTCTCCTGATAGGATACTTATCAGCAGCCAGCATCCTGTAAGTGAAGGTGACCTCAGATGGGATGAAAAGTTTTCCCTGTCAGTTCCAGCCCTGTAGATGGATCTTCATCCCAGGTGGAACTGGGTGCGAATGAACTTGTTTAGCTCAGCAAATCCAGGAAACTCAGCAGGCAGGAATGCTGCTATGGAAATTAACACAGTATAAGAATCTTAGTAGTGGACAAAGTGCTGTATGGGCACTTATTCATTGACTCAAATAAAAATAAACAGACCCAGAGCCAATCATTAATATACGGATGTCTCTGTCCAATGGCTATTTCTTCCATTCAAGTGAGAGGTGATGTTGAGCACCAATTTTTTACTTCCAGCAAACCCGAGCAAACACTTTTAGATTATGTCAAATTAAATATATACTAAGCACTGCTAAGTATTCAAAGTATTTTATTTCATTTAATTCTCACAGTCACCCTGTAAACTGATTATTGTCATCCACTTATCATAGATGAGGAAACTGAAGGCTCAGAGAGATTTAGGAACCCAGGGACCTAGAATTCAAACCTGTGTCTCCGGACTTGGAGTCTTGAGTTCTTCCTATTACCCCAAAGCTCCTCCAGACTTTGACCTGCACATACCCTGGGTGGATTTCAGACTACAAAAACTCGGAATTAGAGGGCAATCCAATGAAATAATCTGTAAACAAGTCAATGGCAAGGACATAAGCATTAACTAAGAGAACATACAATATTTTTCTGAAACATCATATTAGGCAAACTTGTGAATATGAAATTCTATATGTTTTGTTTTAAGCAATTTATGTTACTAAGTAAAATTAAAGAGTATGTTATGGGAATTAATGACGTACATTTTAAAGACTTATAGTTTCAGTATTTTTAAAAATAAAAAACTTTTATAAAAGGAAGACAGTTTTAAAGAGGAGACTTCAAAAAGTTCATAGAAAAATTGAATTAAAAGATAAAAATAAAAAAAATAAACTTTGTTTCTCAACATAAGCCCTTGTCAAGTTCAAGACACTTTTGTTAAGTGATGGTATCAGCCATTTAGTCCATCCCTAAAGAACTGAAGATCATGGGTTTTTTGACCATCCCAATGCAGTCTTTTTTACATTATATACTGAAGAAAAATAGGTGCCCTTTAAAGATTTTTTCAGATAAGGAAACAAAAGAAGTCAGAAGGAGCCAAATCAGAACTATAAGGTGGATGCCTAATGATTTTCCACTGACATTCATAAAATTGCACTTCTTTGTTAAGAAGAATGAGCAGGAGCATTGTCAGAGTGGAGAAGGACTCTCTGGTGAAGCTTTCCTGGGTGTTTTTTCTGCTAAAGTATTGGCTTTCTCAAAACACTCTCATAATAAGCAGATGTTATCACTTTTTGGTGCTCCAGAAAATCAACAAGCAAAATGACTGGAGCATTCCAAAAAACTATTGCCGTGACCTTTGCTCTTGGTGAGTCCGCTTTTGCTTTGATTGAACCACTTCCACCTCTTGGTAGTCATTGCTTTGACTGTGTTTTGTCTTCAGGATCATACTGGTAAAGCCATGTTTCATCTCCTGTTACAGTTCTTTGAAGAAATGCTTCAGGATCTTGATTCCACTTGTTTAAAATTTACATTGAAAGCTCTGCTCTTGTCTGGAGCTGATTTGGGTGCAACAGTTTCGGCACCCAGAGTGGAAAGTTGCTCAACTTTAATTTTTCAGCCAGAATTGTGTAAGCTGAGCCAATTGAGACATCTATGGTATTGGGTATTATTTCTGCTGTAATCATCTACACTCTTCAATTAGTGCATGAACAAGATTAATTTTTTCCTCACAAATCAATGTGGATGGTCTGGTACCATGGGCTTTATTTTCAACATCGTTTCATCACTTCTTAAAACAAGCTATCCATTTGTAAACTGATTTCTTTGGGGCCTTGTCTCCATACACTTTTCATAAAGTATCAATGACTTCACCATTCTTCCACCCAGGCTTCACCATAAACTTGGTATTTGTTCTTGCTTCAATTTTAGCAGAATTTATGTTGCTCTGATAGGGGCTCTTTTCAAATTGATGTCTTATCTTTCTTACTGCCCCAAACTAGTTCCTGTTCAGACATGTTATAACAAGTTAACACCAGGGTTTTTTTGTGCAGCAAAATTTTGAAATCCATGTATAGTGTTTTCATTTTCCATCAACTTTTTGAAGTCCCATTATCTATAATTGGGAGTGATGATGTTGTTGCTAAGACAGTTAAAATATAGGAATATTTTAGAAGGTACCCATGAAGAAATGTACTGGAGCATATGCAGATGTGTCCACCAGTCTAGACCATGCCACTCGATTAAAAAAAATCATGAAATGGAGTTTATTATACAGGAATTCTCCAGAGTAGAAATGTCACAAACATATATGCAGAAAAATAATTGTGGTGCTCTGGCAGAGGGGATATATCAAACATGAAAACTAAGAAACATCAAAGTAAAACCAGTTGTCTCTAGAACAGAGGTGGTTGACATACCCTTTTCAGTGCTTGGCAACCAAGGCTCTGCACTGCTCTGGGATCAGTTCAGAAGGTCAAACACTCTCATATCATTAGGAAAGGTTTATGCTAAAAATAGAATACCATAAATGTATTTGGCTAACAGGAATCTTGAAGCAAAATGACTTAAGAGCTCCAGAAAACTATAATTATTACTGCCACTATTAGAAATCATCTTTTTTAAAAGGCTCAAATATATACACATGCATATATTATATATAATTATATAGACATATTGGTAATCATCTTTTTTAAAAGAGCCAGTATTGTATAAAATACTTTAGTGCTTTATGTATGTTATCTCCAGTCCTTCACATTTAAACAACTGTTTAAGAATTTTATTAAACCAACTTCACTCCAAAAGTAGCTCTAATGTTCAGGTCAGTTTTCCCATTTACATGATAGAACCTCAATTTGTCTGAAAAAGCGAGTATCCTCATAAGCCATTACCACAACTTTTAAATGAAAAAAATATATAAAAACATAAAATGTACTTTTATGTTTTTATACATTTTATATGACATACAATGTACAATTAGTACTTTTTGCTAATTGCCCAATTGCCAAGAGGTATAATGAATAATACATTTTAAACAATCATTAATTAATTTAATTCATTTATTTACTTACTTATGGTATTGATTTTTGCTTTTGTAACAAATTACCTATTCTCACATTCTATTTTGATACATTATGCTAAATATTTGGTAGGTGCGTAATAGACACATAAATTGATCCCCATATAACTGGCCAAAATTATTTCTGACATCTCTTATACATAGCAGAACTCTCCAATAATCTGTGTTTGGAGTAGGAGACAACATTCAAGAAAATAAATCAGATAAATATTGCAATTTACAATGGTTCAGCATATTTACTGTGGATGTTGCTATTCTTAGCATTGATCACATTAATACTTTTAGGCTGTATGAATTTATATTAGTAAGAACTGGAAATATTTAATCGGGGATTTTTAAATCCCTTGTGCATCTTTAAAACATCATGCACAAATGTGATGATAATGAGCTTAAAAAACACTATCAGCAATGAGGATTATTATAATATTAATTGAAGTTGCATTCCTACAATTTAATGCAGTCCTAGAAGAAAAAAGAAATGACCAAAGTCAAACAAGAAGAAGAAAATAAATCACTACTCGGTAATATTATTTCATTAGCCAGATAAAGATAGGCTAAAAGCCTGTTTGGCCTGTTCACATCCTAATCTAAATTCTGTCTTTGACTGTATATGAAGGTTCCCATTAAGGGTCAGGTGATTCACAAAACCAATTGATGATGTAGCTGAGGACAAAATCAGTCCCATAATATGTTTGTGTGCTGCTAGTCTCTGGTTGATAAAGTGCAGTGACCCACAGGAGTTGCAGAGTCGTGCATCATCATCCCTCATGCTTTTCCTATGTCTTCTTATCGCTCAAGCAGAAGTGGCAGATAATGTTTTTCTAGCTGGTGTCATAGGTCCGGAAACCTCAGAATATTGCATCTTCAATGGGCAGTACACCAGGGACAGTATTGCAAATCAATTAGATATATTTCATATTTGAAATTAAGTTGTCTGATTCCCAACATGTCTTCTGTCTTCAAAGAATGATGCATTTATCTTCTTGCTTATTTGGCAGAAATTGGGCTGACTGGAGTTAAAGACTGTTTTCTGACTCAAGAATTAATCTATCTCAGCAACTGAAACTACTTTATATTCCAGCCTCAGAGCAGAAGGGTCCTGCTTGTCTCTGCCCTATATTATACAGGAGTGTTATGAATTTTATTGCATTTACACAAATCCGATACTATGTGAAAGATGCAACTAAATTAATAAATATCTTGCTAAAGCTGCTATGAGGCTTTGGGGAAGGATGGGTGGGGATAAAGCTGTAGGGAAAATGATTTAAAATATATATCAATCTGGCTTTATATAGTTGTCACATCGAAATATAAGTTTGAAATCCATGACTTTATTCTCATGAGGGTTATATTTGTGTGCAAAAGAAGCATTAACTTTGCACTTTATACTCTGCCTCAGAAACTTCATAGACCTGGGACATGATACAAATTACAAAAATGTTAAAATGGGAGGAAATGGCATAAATGGTTGCAAACTATGACCAAGACTGCATGCAGGCAGCAAAAAGTTATGTTAAAATTTATCAGTGCAATGGCTTCTTTGGTCATTATAGAAAATGAATAATTCATGAAATGCTCAATTAATAACTACAGAGACCTACTATGTACAAAGCACTATACAAGGCACTGAGGAAGGTAATCATGAAAAAAAATATGGCCCTGTTCTCATCATCTAAACAAAGAGATAATAAAACCAATCTATTTTGGAATTTCCTAAACATGTTGCTTTATTAAACCAAGAGATCATCATTCATCAGGTAATTAAAAAAAACCTGGCAAACTGAATGTTCTACATTTCATTGTCATGCAGTCAATTTTCTGTTGTTATGTTTATTATTTTAGGAAAATGATCTCAGAAAACCCCAGTTATAATAGATTTTATGTGGCATATAGTTGGAGTTTTTTTTGACCTCCAAAGTCTATTGGGATTTAGTAACATCTAACCACAAAGGAGTATTCCAGTATTCTAATCATCCTCAACATTTCCTCTGACTCAGGCACACAGCATTATAAAAAGTAAGAGCTGTTTGCTTATTAGTGTCTCAATATCCGGGGTTGATAATGTAGCTCAACCATTTATGAAGCACTGAAGTACTCAGATGCACTTAAAACACTCTCAGATTACATATTTCAATGTGAGCATCTGGAATATTCTCTTTAGTTGGCACCTTTGATTCCATTCTTCATGCTGAGGTGGGCCCAGA
Source organism: Homo sapiens (assembly GCF_000001405.40). Classification (NCBI taxonomy): domain Eukaryota; kingdom Metazoa; phylum Chordata; class Mammalia; order Primates; family Hominidae; genus Homo; species Homo sapiens. Next base: position 110,687,234 of record NC_000001.11, on the reverse strand, counting down.
GCCCTTGTGTTTTACAATTAGAACTAATTAAGTTTCAGCCCATTTGTTTAGAAATCAACCTTGCAATGGGTGTCAGGAGTACTTAGCGATGCATTATCTCCCAAAACTATGCAGCCAGTGTTATCTGGGCACAAAAGGGCACTTATCTCCATTAATAATATGTATTACCACAAAACAGTCAGTTCCTACATCTCTTGGATATTGACATTTAGGGATTGAATCTCTCCTTCCAGATTTTGCCATTTTGTTCTACTCCATGCAGGAAAGTGATGTTCCCTGTACCCATCTCTGAAGCCAGTAGTCTTGTAGGGTCTAACCCAAAAGGGCATCTTCTCAACATGATAGCAGAGGAGGGGAGGTCAGCTACATCCATAGTGGGAAGAATGACCACTCCCATCCATACTGGGGTTGGTATAGCAGTAGAAATCAGGAAGCTTGACATTGGGTAGGCAATGGATCCCTGGTTTCAGGACTGCTGCCCTTGAAGAGCAGGATACAGACAGGAGTTGGTGACACAAGGAGTAGGGCTGATCTCCCAAGGAAGATCCCGGTAGGAGCTGGTAGGGAGGTAGTCCAGTTTAAACAAAAGGAAAATGAGGCAGAACTCGTCTTAAGAACTAGTGGAGTAGGACAAGAGGTGGGGTAGAAAATAACTTGCCAGACATGCAAATACCTTCATGCTTACATTGGCATATCGAAATTAAGACCTACTCCAGGTCTCATTCGGCTGGTGTGGCTGTGGCTTCTGCCGCAATTAGAATAATTTCAAGAATCACATACCATTGATCTTGTCAAGTGCAGACTCCACATGCAGAGGTTGAGGAAGGCAGTGGAGACATGCACTCTCCAGCAGGTGGCCACCTGCAAAGCCACCAAAAGGACAGAATTTCAAGCTGTGCCTAAGACCTCCCACTGCACCGGGACACCACAGTAGGATGTAGGGACCCAAAGGATAGGAGGTCTAGGTAGGAAATCCTGATTTATGGGCAGAGGATGACTAATAAATCAAGAGGTTGAAAAATGCTTGTAAGGGTAAAAAGGCTAGAAGAAAAGGAAGGCAACCGTAGATCTTGGCAGAGAAGTTAGCCAGTGCAGTCAGGTAGCCATAAGCAGGCAGGACTGGGGTGGGTTCAGAGAGGTCAGCTGAGGCAGGATGTCTCAGGCATGTATAAAAGTAGGAAACGTGTCTTGTTCATTTTAGATTCCCAGTGTGTAGCCAGCATAGGTATTGTGGAAAGGAAAGCAAGGAGAAATGGAGAGAGGGACAGAGAATGGGCACCACATCATGAGTGAAAAAGAAAAGAAAAATGTAGAAATAGAAGTCAATTTAACTTGGCTGGAAATTAGTAACATTAGGTTCTATCCTGACTCTGCTACTGATTAAATGCTGGACTTTGGATATAACTGACTTAATATTTTGAGACCGTACTTATGCCATCTGTAAAATAAATGTGTAGACTAGATAACCTAAAAGTAAAGTTTCCTGCAACAAATGTTTTTTGAATGCCTACTAACTGCTAAATACAAGTTTTGAAGAAACTGAGATAATAGGAGTAATAGGGCCAGGCCTGGTGGCTCACCCCTGTAATCCCAGCACTTTGGGAGGCCAAGGTGGGCAAATTGCCTGGGGTCAGGAGTTCGAAGACAGCCTGACCAACATGGCGAAACCCCATCTCTGCTAAAGTTAAAAAAAATTTAGCCAGGCATGGTGGTGGGCACCTGTAATCTTAGCTACTTGGGAGGCTGAGGCAGGAGAATTGCTGGAGCCAGAGAGGCAGAGGTTGCAGTGAGCCAAGACTGCGCCATTGCACTCCAGCCTAGGTGACAAAACTCCGTCTCAAAAAATAAAAATAAAAAAAAATGGGAGTAATAATCAGGAAAGGCCAGAGTTCTGATTCTAAAGCATGTACTTTGTTCTCTGACTAATTTTGTAAGCCCTGCTAAATGTAGGTGATTTTGGACTACGTATTAATTAAAGCCGTAAAGTTGTGTCCCTCTTCAAGACACAACAAAGATGAAGGATTTGCATTGCATATGGCCTTTTGCAATCAGAAGTATGAACATCCTAATGCATCTCACCCTCCCTGCATTATGCATCTATGTTGTATAGAAAATATAAGTGAGCAAGCAATTATTGAGCATCTATTGTATCTAAGGCAAGGAGTTGAATACTTCCACCTCTATAATCTCATTCAACACTCGTAGCATGTGGCTTAGATATTATTTTCTTCATTTTACATGTGAGAAATTAAGACAGAGAGAGGTAAAATGAATTTCTCAAGGGCATTTTAACTCCAGAAACAGTAGTCTCCCTTATCTGTGATCTTGCTTTCCATAATTTCAGTTACTCTCAGTCAATTGTGGTCTGAAAATATTAAATGAAAATGTATAGAAATAAACAATTCATAAGTTTTAAATTGCATGCTGTTCTGAGTAGCATGATGAAATCTCTTGCCCTCCCACTCCATCCCTCTTGGAAGGGGAATTCTCCCTTTGTCCTGTGTATCTACACTGTATATGCTATCCACTCCAGTCACTTAGCCCATGAGTCACTTAGTAGCCACTTGGTTATCAGGTCTACTGTTGTGGTATCACAGTGCTTGCGTTCGAGTTAACACTTATTTTACTTAATAGTAGCCTCAAAGAGCAAGAGTAGTGTTGCTGGAAATTTGGATATGCCAAAGAGAAGCTATGAAGTGTTTCCTTTAAAAGTCAAAAGGTGAAAGTCCTCAACTTAATAAGGAAAAAACATCTTATACTGAGTAAGAACAAACCTTCTGTCTGTGAAATTGTGAAGAGGGAAAAAGAAATTTGTACTAGTTTTGCTGTCATACCTCAAACTGCAAAAGTTATAGCCACAGTGCATGACAAGTGCTTAGTTAAGATGGAAAGGCATTAAATTTGTGGGTGGAAGACATGAACGGAAACATGTTATGATTGACAGCAATTATATTCAGTACTATCAGTGGTTTCAGACACCCACTGGGGGTCTTAGAACATACTACCCATGGATAAAAGGCAGAGGACTATAATTTGATTCCAAGGCTAGAACCCTTCTAGTACACTACAGCACATCTTTACATTAGCTTGTTCTGAATAACATAATGGATAAACATGCTCATACTGTAAGCTTTACCTGAAAGCTAATCTTCAACATAAAAGCATTTGGCAGAAAGTTCTGTTCACATGCATGTTAAGGCTGGCATGCTACAGGTGGATTCCTAAGTTTGATGGGGGTGGGAAATCAAGACAATTTATCCTTACAACTGATATATATCTCCATTTGTTCATTATATAATTCACTTAAATGACTATATAAACAATGAACCTCAGTGTAAGTTGGTTTAGTGTTTCTAACTGTGCATGCCAATATACATAACTCAGTCATGAGGCATGCTAGGACTTCAATAGGTTGGGAATGGTGAGATTTCATGCTAGGAGAATAAATTCAGCTTTAGGACAGGTCCCCAAGAAGGGTGGCCAGCTTCTCAAATTATAAAATCCTAGAGGGAAGGATAAAATTCGGATGCAAGTTGGGAAAGCCTCATCACTCATAAGGTCCAAACCAGTGGAGGATGCAAGCCACAGAATGGCCATGGCAATGGCAATACTGGTAATCAGGTGGGTGGTGGAAGCTGTGTAGCTCCAAGAGATTCACCTGGCATAAATAAGGACTCCAGCCCATGGCAAGGTTCAGCCTTTGAGGAGCCTACTAAGGGCTAAAAAGAAAAATGGAATCTCAAACAAGACAGTTGAGGTTTCAGGATAGGGCTTCAGTATCAACGGAGAAACTAAAGAGAACAGTAACAAGCTAAGACAGAGTATGTTTCTATTGTCATGCAAAAGATGGTGAAACCTCAGAACCAGGATGAACGTTTATAGGCAATAAGGGGCCCACTTCAGACACACTGAGCTTAGAGCAGCAAGAAAGATTCTAGATCTTCCACCAGGGATTGAGGTAAAGATCAGATTTTCTGATATATTTCCATAAGTTTGTTTAAAATTGGCTCTAGAATTAAATTGTCCTGAGCCTATAAATGAAAGCTTTCAATACTTGCAGCTGTGCCTGGGTCAGGCAAGGACGGATGTATCATAACATGTTGAATTTTATTTGCATCCATTTTATAACCAAGTAATGTATCCATTGCATCATATCTCAGGTATGATGAAATCCCCAAAGAATTCTATTCATATTCTTTTGTTATTATAATACTCAGTGTTAACTGGATCATTATGGGCCTTCATATACTTTCATTAACATTATTACAATTGTAATGAAAACTCAATAAAAGTGTAATGCTATTCTACAGACATGTTCTTGAATTGCTTTATCAACATAATTACAAAACCTAATGACAAAGTAATAACACTGTAATATGATGCCTGCAATAATAAGTTTTGGGTTTCACCAGATGGTAATACAAAAACCTCAATCAAAATGTATCCTTGACCTTACAGCGTTTCAATAATTTCCCATAGGTGTTTGCTTACAATGTCAATTTATGTTCAACAGTTCACATTAATGTCAACTCAATCATATAACTGAAATAATCCATTTTAGTTCTTGAAATTAATTTTATTGTGACTTACCACAGTCTCACAACAAAGTACCTCACAGAAGGAACATGAGGAAATAAATTAATTTTCAAGATATTTTTAAACATTCTTAGCCAAATCCACTTTGAGAAAAATCATAGTGAAAGTATTACTTGTAGTGTACATCTTGCTAAAAGAGAGGTAATATGTTTGCTAGTACTCTAAAGCCATTCAATTGTTTCTACAAATGTTGAGAAGATTCCCATCTGCAAATAAATAACTGGCATACATGGGCTTTAAGGCTTATCTCATCATTAACTGTATGTCTTATCTATGATTAGAGGTGTGACTGTGCCTGCTTTTTCAATAAATTAACTACAACCCGAAAAGGCTATGCAAGTGGCTCAGTGTCTGATTGCTGTCTCTTACATATAGAGGCTCAAGGGCTTATATTAATGCCCAGTCACACAATACTTTTAACTCTTTGGTTGGCATACTTGCTGAAAAGAGTTCCAATCTTCCCTGACTAAAAATGTTTTTCTTTTTCTTTTATTTTATTTTAGAGACAGAGTTTCGCTCTGTCACCCAGGCTGAAGTGCAGTGGCTCAATCTCAGCTCACTGCAACCTCTACCTCCCAGGTTCAAGTGATTCTCCTGCCTCAGCCTCTGGAGTAGCTGGGATTATAGGCACGCACCACCACGCCCAGCTAATTTTTTGTATTTTTCATGGATACAGGACTTCCCTATGTTGGCCAGGCTGGTCTCAAACTCCTGTCCTCAAGTGATCTGCCTGCCTTGGCTTCCCAAAGTTCTGGGATTACAGGCATGAGCCAATGCGCTCGGCTTAGAAATGTTTTTCTCAAAATCACTCTGCCATGTGAGAACAAGGACTTAGACTGCTGGGTCTTTCTGAGGATACGGCAACACTGGAGAGCCATGTTAGTCCCAGTCAGGACCTATATCTGCATCTACTTCTGGAATAACTTTCTCTTTATACCTTGCATCTTTCTTACTTCTTAAAAAAAATGGTACAGATTCAGGAAAGCCCATGTATAGCCCTTGCATTGAGGAACACGACTAATTCTTTCATCATGGTCTATCAGTTTTTTAGCAAATAGCTAGTATGCTTCGTAATCATTTTTCTTCTGTTATACTATATGAAAAGCATTTATCATATAGCAACACAATACCAGAGACTGGAAATACAAAGATGAATAAGATAAGGCCTCTAATCACCACAGAGGTAGCCTACAGTAGGGCTTAAGGATGTGAACTTCTTGGTTTGAATCCTAGTTCTACCATTTTCTAGTTATATAACCTTGCACAAGTGAATTCACCACCCTGCATTCAGTTTCTTTATCTGTGAAATATTACTACTGCTATTACAGTAGTAATATTATCTGCCTTACAGGGCTGTTGGAGGTTACTGCATATAAAGTGGTTAGCACCATGCCTGACTTAGCATAGTGTATTCACTGCTCAATATGTTAGCTATTAGTATTATGGAGTTCACATTCTCATAGGGAGACAGATCATATCAAACACACCTAAATATAGTACAATAAAGCCCTCTAATGGGGCTTTAAACAAAATACCGTAAGAGCTCTGATGAGAAAGAGTATCACTGAATTCATTTATCAGTTACATGGAATCTTCTTTGAAGTGGTAATTATGACTGACAAGAAGGTGGGGCTCTTAAAAGAAGTGGTCCCTAAGCTGGGACTTGAAGATTGAATTCACCAGTGGAAAAAGGTGAAAGGAGTATCCAGCAAGCTAGAGCATAAGCAGCTAGCATGAGCAATGGCTCAGCAGTGTGTAAGTGGATGACCTGTCCAAGGACCAGCAAGTAGTGTGGAGATGCGGCCAGAATGACAGGTCAGAGCCAGGGTTTGGCCATCATGGCAGCAGTGGAGAGCAATGTGATCCAACCTATGTTTTACAAAAATAACTCAGCTATATCCTGGAGGATAAAACACATAAAAGAGAGACTGCAAGCAGGGAGCCTGTTATGAAACTGTCATGGCAGCCTGAACTGGGACAGTGGCAGTGAGAATGGAGAGGTATGGACAGAATTGAGAAGGGCTTGGAGGGGGAATGGAAAGCACTTAGTGACTGAATAGATGTGAGAGCAGAGGAAGGATGCAGGGATGACTCCGTATTCTAGCACAAAAAAAAAAAAAAAAAAAAAAAACAGGAAGAGAAGCAAGTTTGGGGGAGAAGATAATGAGGTCAGTGTTATAAATATTAAGTTTGGGGAACTTCAGGAAGAATATCAAGTGGGGGAGTTTAAAGTATAATTCTGGAGTGCAGGACAGACCCCTTCAGGATGGTGGGAAGGGAAGGTGAAAAAAAAAGGGAAGAAGTGGCACTTAAAAAACAATCCTTGTATATATATGTGTATAGCCTAACTGGTTCTATGAACCAGAACTAGACAGATACGTCTTCAAAATAAACACTTGGCACACACACACACACACACACACACACACAGAGAGAGAGTACTGTCACATGTCTGTATGTTCATTCTGTACCTTTTCTTTCTTCCATTAAGCATCTACGATGTGCCTGGTACTCTTCCAGATCTGGAGCATACAGAAGTCAAAAAGCCCAAACCCTGCCTTCAAGGAGTTTATTTTTTAGTGCAGGTGACAGACAATAAGAAAGTAACAAAATAAATATAAAATATAATGTCAAGTAAATAAACGAAATGAAGAAAAATAAAGGAGATAAGAGACTAGAGAGTTACCAAACGGAGGCGGGGAAGGATTGCTATTTGAATTAGTGTGGTTGTGGTCAGGGAAGGCAACTTCCCTGAAGCTGACAGTTTTAATGGAGACCTAAAGTGATGGAGAGAGCCAAAAAAAAAAAAAAAAAACTGGAGGAAGAGTGTTGCAGGCAGAGGGAAGGGCAAGTATGAAGACCCTGAGAGCAGAACTCATTTAGTATAACTGAGAAACAGCCAGGCATCCAGCTTGGCTAGAATAGACAAAATAGTCACAAGTAACATTTCTAGTACTCTTGTCATGTATTGTTAATAAATAGCATTGTAAAAATTTTCATGGATTTATATCCTATCTTTTCAACAGCATGTAAGCCCAATGAGGGCATGATCTATGTTTAAACTTCATATCCCCACAGTATCTAGAACAATGCTGTGCACATACTAGGTGCTCTTTTTTCTATTATTATTATACTTTAAGTTCTAGGATACATGTGCAGAACATGCAGGTTACATAGGTATACATGTGCCATGGTGGTTTGCTGCACCCATCAACCCATCATCTACATTACATATTTCTCCTAATGCTATCCCTTCCCTACTCCCCCACCCCCTGACAGGCCCCAGTGTATGATGTTCCCCTCCTTGTGTCCATGTGTTCTCATTGTTCAATTCCTACTTATGAGTGAGAACATGTGGTGTTTGGTTTTCTGTCCCTGTGTTAGTTTGCTGAGAATGATGGTTTCCAGCATCATCCATGTCCCTGCAAAGGGCATGAACTCATCCTTTTTTATGGCTGCATAGTGTTCCATGGTGTATATGTGCCACATTTTCTTTATCCAGTCTATCATTGATGGGCATTTGGGTTGGTTCCAAATCTTTGCTATCGTAAATAGTGCTGCAATAAACATACATGTGCATGTGTCTTTGTAGTAGAATGATTTATAATCCATTGGGTATATACCCTGTAATGGTATTGCTGGGTCAAATGGTATTTCTGGTTCTAGATCCTTGAGGAATCGCCACACTGTCGTCCACAATGGCTGAACTAATTTGCATTCCATGCTCATGGATAGGAAGAATCAATATCGTGAAAATGGCCATACTGCCCAAAGTAATTTATAGATTCAATGCTATCCCCATCAAGCTACCCCTGACTTTCTTCACAGAATTATAAAAAACTACTTTAAATTTCATATGGAACCAAAAAAGAGCCCATATAGCCAAGACAATACTAAGCAAAAGAACAAAGCTGGAGGCATCACACTACCTGACCTCAAACTATACTACAAGGCTACAGTAACCAAAAGAGCATGGTACTGGTACCAAAACAGATATATAGACCAATGGAACAGAACAGAACAGAGGCCTCAGAAATAACACCACACATCTACAACCATCTGATCTTTGACAAACCTTACAAAAACAAGCAATAAGGAAAGACTCCCCTATTTAATAAATGGGAAAACTGGCTAGCCATATGCAGAAAACTGAAACTGGACCCCTTCCTTATACAGTATACAAAAATTAACTCAAGATGGATTAAAGACTTAAACGTAAAACCTAAAACCATAAAAACCCTAGAAGAAAACCTAGGCAATACCATTTAGGACATAGGCATGGGCAAAGACTGCATGAGTAAAAGCAATGCGAACAAAAGCCAAAATTGACAAATGGGGCCTAATTAAACTAAAGAGCTTCTGCACAGCAAAAGAAACTATCATCAGAGTGAACAGACAACCTACAGAATGGGAGAAAATTTTTGCCATCTATCCATCTGACAAAGGGTTAATATCCAGAATCTACAAGGAACTTAAACAAATTTACAAGAAAAAAACAATCCCATCAAAAAGCGGGTGAAGGATATGAACAGACACTTCTCAAAAGAAGACATTTATGCAGCCAACAAACATGAAAAAAAGCTCACCATCACTGGTCATTAGAGAAATGCAAATCAAAACCACAATGAGATACCATCTCATGCCAGTTAGAATGGCGATCATTAAAAAGTCAGAAAACAACAGATGCTGGAGAGGATGTGGAGAAATAGGAACGCTTTTACACTGTTACTAGGTGCTATTTCTCCATTCATTTATCTGTAATTGTGGATCAGGACCTCTAGCCCTGCCTTGTCCCACTCTCAAACACTTCTGAGCTAATCCTAAATGCTGCTTACCATCTGGCAAACAACTGGTGAACTATTTCTGGGATTGATGTGGTCAGTAGGAAACACAAACTATGCCTAGAGCAACACAGAAAGGCCAAACACCAAGATTTATTTACCCTTGCTGTTTGCAAACCTGACGGTTTTAGTCAGGCTCTAGTATTGCAGACTGAAATATGAGGAAATCCTGCACATGCTCAGAGAAGCTGTTGGCTTTGCCACAGTTCTACGCCTAAACGTTATAATAATATTATTATTATCCCACAGGGGTGTTATGAGGATTAATGAGACATTTTCAAATCACTTTGAGCTACTCTGTTGGGGGTACTAAATAAATGCTATGTTTTCCTCTTGAAATGCCATTTTTGGCATTGATTTGTTGTGATGGGTTCGGCTGTCCAACAGGGCTAGAATGAGCCCACCAACTCATTTTCTATAGACAACAGACGAGCCGTCAGAAGGAGTGGTTTTCAGTTAAGATAAATATGAATTGAAGTGAACTAGTCGGCAATCAGAAGCAAATAGGCTGCTGTTAGAAATCTAGTATATTAAGTACTCACAGTGATCAACACAAGCGTTGCACAGTGTGATACAGTAAAGCAAACACTGGATTTGGAAATGGTCCAAGATTTTAGGCCCAGCTCTGCTGCTAACTAGCTATGTGAGCTTAAGCAAATTGCTAAACTTCTCTGGGCCCCAAATACAAAGTAAGGACTTTATATGTGTCCTAAGAAGCACATAATCAAAGTCTTCCAGACAAGGCAAATACATGAAAGGGAATGGAAATAGTCACTTATGAAGGAAAGACATTTCACAGCTGGGAGAAGCTTGTGACCATTTGTCACAGGACTATCCTCTGCTCTGGTCTTCCTTGCCATTGATTAATATTAATTTCAGTACTAATTCCTGCAAAAGAAGGAATAAATCATTTTCTAAGTCAGACATAGAAGTACATGAAACATCTGGTCTTTAAAAATAGGGTCTTTGCCTTTCCATGAGCTATCATTGCAGCAAGCAGTCTGTCTCATTCTAAGATTTAAATATATGAATGATTGATTATACTGCTACTCTAATCACCAGCTCAAAATATATACGCAAAATAATGAGGTGGCTGTCACATTCCAGTGTTCTGGAGTTTTGTAAGAGAAAGAGTTTTACGTGGTTGCCCAGTTTTGCCATTCCACAACATAAGTGACTGCCTGCATTGTCTGGCACTGACCAGGAGGTGAAACGGAAGATGAAGGGACAATAAAAGGACATGGGTGCCTGTTGTGCCCAGGAGAGCCGGAGGTGGAAATCCTATGGAATAAATGAGCAGTGTTTTCTATGGTGAGCTCAGTTTTTCCTCACTCCTCATCCTAGGAATCACAGCAGCATCTTGGGCTCAAAAAGAAGAAATGTTGAAACTCCAGAGCAGATAGCAACGCAAAGAGACACTCCTTGGGGAATTCAATCTGACAAGTATGTACCAAGTCTCCACCATTTACAAGGCACTTTGGTAGTTGCTAGAAATATAAGTTGGCTAGGACCTACTCTGTGCCCTAGAGAACCCCATGGTTGGGAGTGGTGGTGGGAAGTATTGACCACAAATCACTTACTTAAAATTGAATTGTCAGCTAACTTTGGGTGGGTGAGGAGCTGTCTAGACAATAGTTCCTCTTCTGTAAATGATTTGAATGATACAATAAAAAACAGACTTTTTAAAGCCTAGGGTTGAGTTATATTAGATTGCTAAAATTTCTGGAAACAAATTGTGTTCAAAGTAACCACAATAATTTGGAAAAATAAGTTTAAAGAAGATACATGTAAGTTATCTCTGGGCCCAGATCAAGCAAGAGGTACAAGTTGCAGAATGAATGTCCTTCCAGTTTAACAACTAGAGCGCTGCAAATTCCCTACCACAAGGGCAGTGCCAAAATATTAAGTAAAAAGTCTAGGTACAGGTCCTGCTCTCATCCCTTCCACGACAGGCTTGAGTCATAAAGCTGGACTTTCTAACCACACAACTTCGACTTCGTGAATTTCCTTTCCCATTTTTCCTCTTATTTCCCCGCCAACAGGAAACCTGTGTAGTGGATAAAGACCAGGCTGTCACTGCTAATCCCAATCAGAAACTTGGTCCTTGATTCTTCCCAGTGGCCGACATCTCCGCTGCGAAAACGGGTGTGAACTATTCACTAAAGCAGCAGGGCCCGAACGCCTTTAACAATCCATTTCCTTCGGACTCCGTTTGCGAAGCCCATCAGCACCCATTACTCCCTTTGGCTTCGCATCCTAGCAGAAGCTAAATTGTTTAAACCCCCGCTCCTCCCCAGGGTTTGGCGGTCCTCGACCCTCAAGGGAACCTGGGATGCCGGCGCCAGGCTTGCCTCTGGCCCAGGGCGCCCGCCTGGCCTGCACTCCCTCCCTGGACACTGGGCCCGCCTGCCCTCCCCGGGCTGTACCTAGGGGTGTGGAGGCCAGGGGGCCGGCGCCCGCGGGGCCGCGGCGGGAGCTCTCCCGGCCCACGGGCCGAAAACCCTGGCGACTGGGACGCGGCCAGGCGGGCCGGGGGCGAGGGGCGCTGACCAGAAGCGGGCGGAGCCTAGGGGCCCGGGCCGGCAGCCTGACTCCCCGTGGGCCGGCTCTGCTGGGTGGGCATTCCCGCGGGGCGCCGAGGTACAACATGAGGGCTCTTTCGCTGACACCGAGGGGCCTTGAGGGCTGCAAGAAATGCAGGCCCGGCGGCTGCCCCCGAGAGCGGGACGCGCGCCCGCGCGGTGGGCGGGAATCCTAAGGGGACGCGGAGGCGGGCGCGCGCCCCGCAGGGGAGGGGGCGGAGAGCGCGAGAAGGAGGGAGGAGGCGTCCCCGTGCGGGAGCCCGGCTGACCGCGCCAGACCCAGACAGAGCATCGCGGCTTTGGCTGCAACAGGCGGTGGGCTCGGCTCGGGGGCGGAGGCGGCGAAAGGGCGGGGAGCGCGAGGAGGAGCGACCTGGCCTCACCGCTGCCGCCTCTTCCCCGCCGCATGGACGAGCGCCTCAGCCTTCTGCGCTCGCCGCCGCCGCCCTCAGCCCGCCACCGCGCCCACCCTCCTCAGCGCCCAGCGAGCAGCGGCGGTGCCCACACGCTGGTGAACCACGGCTACGCGGAGCCCGCCGCAGGCCGCGAGCTGCCGCCCGACATGACCGTGGTGCCCGGGGACCACCTGCTGGAGCCGGAGGTGGCCGATGGTGGAGGGGCCCCGCCTCAAGGCGGCTGTGGCGGCGGCGGCTGCGACCGCTACGAGCCGCTGCCGCCCTCACTGCCGGCCGCGGGCGAGCAGGACTGCTGCGGGGAGCGCGTGGTCATCAACATCTCCGGGCTGCGCTTCGAGACGCAGCTGAAGACCCTTTGCCAGTTCCCCGAGACGCTGCTGGGCGACCCCAAGCGGCGCATGAGGTACTTCGACCCGCTCCGCAACGAGTACTTCTTCGACCGCAACCGGCCCAGCTTCGACGCCATCCTCTACTACTATCAGTCCGGGGGCCGCATCCGCCGGCCGGTCAACGTGCCCATCGACATTTTCTCCGAGGAGATCCGCTTCTACCAGCTGGGCGAGGAGGCCATGGAGAAGTTCCGCGAGGACGAGGGCTTCCTGCGGGAGGAGGAGCGGCCCTTGCCCCGCCGCGACTTCCAGCGCCAGGTGTGGCTGCTCTTCGAGTACCCCGAGAGCTCCGGGCCGGCCCGGGGCATCGCCATCGTGTCCGTGCTGGTCATCCTCATCTCCATTGTCATCTTCTGCCTGGAGACGCTGCCGGAGTTCCGCGACGAGAAGGACTACCCCGCCTCGACGTCGCAGGACTCATTCGAAGCAGCCGGCAACAGCACGTCGGGGTCCCGCGCAGGAGCCTCCAGCTTCTCCGATCCCTTCTTCGTGGTGGAGACGCTGTGCATCATCTGGTTCTCCTTCGAACTGCTGGTGCGGTTCTTCGCTTGTCCTAGCAAAGCCACCTTCTCGCGAAACATCATGAACCTGATCGACATTGTGGCCATCATTCCTTATTTTATCACTCTGGGTACCGAGCTGGCCGAACGACAGGGCAATGGACAGCAGGCCATGTCTCTGGCCATCCTGAGGGTCATCCGCCTGGTAAGGGTCTTCCGCATCTTCAAGCTGTCGCGCCACTCCAAGGGGCTGCAGATCCTCGGGCAAACGCTGAAGGCGTCCATGCGGGAGCTGGGATTGCTCATCTTCTTCCTCTTTATTGGGGTCATCCTTTTCTCCAGCGCGGTCTACTTTGCCGAGGCAGACGACCCCACTTCAGGTTTCAGCAGCATCCCGGATGCCTTCTGGTGGGCAGTGGTAACCATGACAACAGTGGGTTACGGCGATATGCACCCAGTGACCATAGGGGGCAAGATTGTGGGATCTCTCTGTGCCATCGCCGGTGTCTTGACCATCGCATTGCCAGTTCCCGTGATTGTTTCCAACTTCAATTACTTCTACCACCGGGAGACAGAAGGGGAAGAGCAATCCCAGTACATGCACGTGGGAAGTTGCCAGCACCTCTCCTCTTCAGCCGAGGAGCTCCGAAAAGCAAGGAGTAACTCGACTCTGAGTAAGTCGGAGTATATGGTGATCGAAGAGGGGGGTATGAACCATAGCGCTTTCCCCCAGACCCCTTTCAAAACGGGCAATTCCACTGCCACCTGCACCACGAACAATAATCCCAACTCTTGTGTCAACATCAAAAAGATATTCACCGATGTTTAATATGTGATACAAGTGACATGCTGTGCTCAGTATTGTGTGGAACGTGCCCCCTTGGTCTGCCTATGCCCTTGTTTTATACATTTCCAGACCATTCATCAAGGAAAGGACCTGAAGAAGTGGAAAGCACACTTCATTCTCCCTCTCCCTGCTGCTTCATACTGAAACAGGTGCCTGTTTTGCAAGTGGGCTGCATTCTCTCAGCTCTCCTTTTCCCTCTTACCCTCTCTCTCTTAACATTGTAAACAACAGACTTACGTTAAACTTCATTTCTAGTACACGCCCTATTTAAAAAAGAGCAGTACATCCTGGGAGGAAATGAAACTAAAGAACAGTTAGAGTAACTGTTTAACCTCAGAATTTTAAAGGCAGTTGTTTCTTTCCTAAGCACATCAATTCGTAGTAAATGATGCTTCGGTTTGATGGACCTTTCAACGTTATTTATTGAATATGTATTTCGGTTGCCTACCCTGTAGATATGTGGATGAAGAGTCTAACTAGAATAATGACTTGTAAACCCACCATGAGTTATTTGGTTTTTGACTTAAATTCCTATTTGAATCCCCTTTCCCGGAATTTTAAGTGTCTCTACAACTTTGAATAAAGGGAAATGCCCAAGATGTCCTGATCTGACTAATTAGTTTAATTCTTTCGGGCTTGCTAAGCATTTCTAAAGCATTAGACTAACAGATTCCTGTGAAGTTCTGTGCATATGTCCCAGCCCCAACAACTATCAAAGTCTAGAAACAGATGTTTTCAGTGTTGCTGAGAGAAACAAAAAATTTCCTAATGCATCTGAGAGATAAGCTTCGGCAGTATCACAAGAAGATTAAAGTGGCAGACACCCCTTCCAGCGGAAGTTACTAATTCGGACCTGACTGATGCAGTTTCCATAGCAACCCATGTTTCCTGGGAAACCCGAAAAAGGTTGTCATGGCATCTCTTGCTCTCTAGCCCCACCTCCCAGCCCCTGCCGTTTCCACAGTAACCTTTCCAGATGGTTCCTACTTAAATGATTTCATAAGGAAAACCACTGTTTGAATAAGCCGCACAAAAAATAAAGTTAAGTCTGAGACTCTAAGGAGGTGAAATGAATCCCAAATGCATTTTTTAACTATGAAAATCATTATGTCATTCCATAATGACTGAATCAAGGAGGAAAATATGGTGTTTGGAATGTTAGATATTAACCACAATAAGGCATGATCTGGATTAAATGCCATTTATTAGGCAATAATTTTTAAAGATGCTTCTCTACAGTTTTCTTTCTCCAAGAACTTTCAAGCCAACAAATGAAATTTAAAAGCAAATGTAAAAGTGTTCTGTACATAAGCAAATGAGAGATTCGATCAGTGTGCCTGAAACCTTACTACAAGGGACCTTCAGGCTTTCTCTTTAAAAAAAAAAATACAGATCCCACAACAGCTCTGTCATCATCACAGCACTTGACAAGCTAAATAAACTTCAAATAAATAAAGGATGCACGTTTAAAACTGAGTGAATTGCAGACAATCAATTAAAAGGAGGGACAGGAAGTAACCAGATCTTGGGAGAACACCTGCAAGTTTCAGCCATATGCCAAGGGTTGCCAGAAGACAGACAGAATCAGGTGAGCACTCTGTGATCTACTGGGAGCAGTCCCTTTTGTTATCCAGAGCCAGGGAACTGTCATTCATGTATAGACTGATGGTATTTGCCAAACCAACAGTTTTATCTTAGTTACATGCTTGGTGTCTTTTTAAAAATAATTTACACCTTTCTCATTTGATTTCCATGTTGCTAACTGTCGTTTAGTTTCCATTGTTTATTACAAAAGGATGAAAAAACAGTCATTGCTCTTCAGAATAACCTTCACTCAAGCCAAACTGAAAATTATTCCGTTCCTTTTACTAACCCACTTGGCCTCCAAGCAACCTGTTTCCCTTTAAAAAGGATAAATGGCAGAATCTACTGCTGTTAGATTATTGGTCCAATTTTAATTTACATAATTATTTAATAGTATGCAGTGGTACAGTTCTTTGAAACAAAAAAGGGTTAAAAATAAGAGTAACATTTTATTTAAACATAATCATTCTGTTTCATATACATTATATAAATTATACATTATCTACAGTTGTTTTTTGGTTTTAATAGCATATAACTATTCTATCCTTCCAGAGTAAATGAGAGTAACCCTATTTTTAAAGCCCATGAAGTATTTTCAGTTAGGAGTACATTTATAATGCATGCATTGAAGAGAGAGGAAAATAGTGATTGAGACTATAAGAGAGAGCTGAGGAAGGAAAAGACCAAACAAATAGAGGCAAGAAATCTAAATATACCTGGTCATAGATTTGTTGTTTGTTTTTTATCATATATTTGTTTTTATCTATGTATATCTAAGTAGGACTTCATTATCTAGTTTTCTTTGCTTTTTGTTTGAGTTAACCTTTGACATTGATCTACCTCTTGACCAAACGTTTGGTACCCTTAATGACCAGAAATTATTTTTATGACACATTTTGATAATATGTTAGATACATTGTAACAATTACATTAAAATAATTTTTGTATCTGTTCTTAACATAGAGATGGAGGAAGTGCAATGACAATTTTATTCACATTTATTCAGGAGATGTAGAAACCTTGATTAGTTCTATAAGTAAATTATGGTTGTGCCATAATTCTTATGGTTATTAAATGGCAGTAATTTAAAGGGGGCCTTTGTTCTTTAATCCAGAGAAATATCCTGGCTTTTGACTCATAACTTTGAGGTAATATGATTGCTTGTAGTCACCACATTGTAAGTTCCCTAAAGGATATAAGCTCTGTGTCTTGAAGGTTTTAGGTACTAGTGCCTAGCACAGAATGTGGCACCTTTTATATTTGTTGAGTGAATGGCTGTTATCTTACATAAATGTTATTTCCAGGCTTTTAATAAAGTGGTTAAAAGCATAAGCTCTGCAGTCATATTTCCAGGATTTGAGTCCTGACTCTGGTATATGATCTTGAACAAATTACTTAACCTCTCTGTGCCTCAGTTTCTTTGTTTGTAAAATGAGGGTGATAAACAGTACCTCACAGGTTTATTGTGAATAGTAAATGTTAATACAGGTAGAACACTTAGAAAAAATAATTCCATGACACGGCATCAGAGATTTTGCTAAGAGATTATATTGTGATCATCACTCACAAGCACTGTATAATTAATACAATGTTTTGTGAATATGAAATACACAAGTAATCAGTGTCTTCCTATTTCCTTTCTATTATAAGAATAATAATTACCATTTATTAAGAGTCAACCATGTCCTGGACACTTGTCAACTCCGCAAGGTAAGTGCTATTAACCTCATTTTAGGAGGGCATAAAATAGATGCTTAAAGTTAAGTGATTTCCCTAAGACTTCACAGCTAGCAGGAGACTCAGTTATGATTTAAAGCCAGGTTATTCTGGCTCTGAAACCCATGCTACTTTTATTAGGTGACTTGAAAGACAAATCTCTTATGCTTTTAGACTTGGCTTCAGCCTATGTCACTAATTAATGAGTTCATGTAGATAACATATCTCCAGAAACCTATTTCATTTCAGTATACTGAAAATTAACCTGCTTAAAATAAGCAGGTATTTTAACCAAATATAAGCATCAAATATAAGTTATTTAAATAAGATGAAGAGATTGACTTTTCTAATAACAAAAGATTATTTTCTTATAGTTGGTTTATCTAGATTTAATCTTAGAAAGTATAACCAGTCATAGTAGTGTTTAGTGATAACTGCTATGACAATGGATATTTTTCAGTTTCAAGATTTTTCTGTTTTCATGTGTTTTAATCAACAATAGATGATAGCATTATGCAAATTAGTTTTCTATCTCCTTATGCTTTGCTTCATTTACTGAAGAACCATACCAGAAAGTCATGTAAATATTTTGACTCTCCCTTATTAAGAGGGAAGAAATTATTCAGAACAGAAGTATTAAAAGCAGAATGAGATTGCCAGTTCACTGAAACTTGTGACATTATTGCCTTACCTAACCACTCCATGGATCTTTAAGGGCATCTGTGCTCTAAAGAAATTAAAATAAAATTTTTCCTACATAATAGCTGCAGACCCTTCTCTCAGTTCTTAAATCATTTATGAAATGAAAATGGATAATGATTTGGGCTTAGAGCAAAATTCTAATGAGCCTACGTTTGCACATGCCAGCTGGCTTTGCCAAACTACAACCTTCACTGTTGAGCTCAGTTGCACGTCTTATGTGTTGAAGAAATATACGGATGTCTGTGTATAGCAAGAGATTCATGTGAGGAGGTGTGACTGGATCAGTGCACACCCATCAACACCCTGGGGAAAAATGTATATGCCTTACAGCTGATGAATCCAGATAGAAACATGGAAGTTAACATTGTTATTGTTTTATTTCTTTTATGATGTTTTAAAATGACATGATACACCAACTGTGGTGACATAACCACAGACACCTACGCATAGGAGGAAGCATTATGTCAGTTATTTCTAAACTTTGAAATAAAATTTCAGTATTGAAATTTAAATGCACAGTATGAAGACATTTAAAGTTATGGTTTGTTGGCATAAAACTTGTTATTTACCTTTTTGGCGTATAATATACTCAAGTATTTGTTTTGCTATAGTATATAAAGACAATGTATATAATATATACTAGTAGTCTGTTCCTTTGAGTACCATAACTATAACTTATTGACTTCTATACATTTAAAATTTCAACATTTTCTACAGCAGTTCCAAGTCCTTCCCACCTCTCAGCTGTGAATAGAAGTGATAACCCTTCCCACTAAGAAATGCAAAGAAGCACACGTGCCCCATAATCTGAAGACTTATGGAAACACTGTGAGATAGAGGTGAGGAGCATAAGAATGTGGAAGAGGATATTTAGGGCTGCATTTTTACAGTGGGAGCTTTTTCTTTGTGTTTTGTTTTAGGCCTTTTAAACTAAGGAGGATACAATTATTGGTTTTTGTACTATTCCGTATGGGTTTGGGGGCAATTCTATATATATTAATGAAATCACTTGTTTTTATATACCTTTAGGAAGTGGTTGATAACCTTTGAGAGAAAGTACATCAAAGGAGGCAGGAAAAAGGGAGTAGAAGCCAATCAGAGCCCAGACCTTACTATTGTGACTCAGCTCTTAGCTTTCTGCCAGAAAATGGCCATTGCTATATAGCATATGATAATAGTATTCTTTATGTACTCATATTCAGTTTGCAAGTATAATTTAAATGATTCAGACTGGTTAGAAAACTTTCAGATGTTTGTCTTGATTTTTAATGATGTCGTGAGCTAATTTTCAAAATTGTGAAGAAAATACATTTTAAAAAGAAACGTTTTCATGATTTTACTGGGTTCTTTTGTACCAGATGTGTGTTTTCTTCTGTTTTAAAATTTGCACCATTAGCCATCAAATGCATATTAAGAAGAGATCTGGGAAAGAGCCTCCATCATTTTCTTGGGATCCATGTTGTTATTGTTGTAACCTAAATAGAGTGAAATAGGAACTCTGCCCTGTAAAGTAAAGCCTGGAATTCTGGTTGCTAGCAATATAACACTTAAATGGAGAAAAAAATGATATTTCATCCTATCTAAAGAATGTTATGAATAAATTTGTTCATGCAAGACTCTGACTTTGCAGATACAGGGGTCATACCTTCCAGTATGGTGATAGTGATTGGGGAGAAGCTTTTTCTCTTACAGTGAGCTTCCAACCTCACACCCACTCCTAATATCATAGCACAAAGGCTCTTGGGAATCTCTATGGAGGCCCCTACCCACTTTTTAGAATGAAAGTTAGCATCATGCCTACATGTTTTATATCAGACAGCACTGTTATTTCATTTGTCTTCCATTACATTTATTTTAAACTTCTGTTCATTATAGAAGTCCCTCTGAATCCTAAGGTTCTTATTTTTATACATTTAAACATGTTCTTTACATTAAAACATAATTAATTTGGAAGAGAAGCAGTGGGGACAATTTATTACACACACACACACACCCCTCACCTGTTCATAGATTACTTCCTATCCTGCAGTACATTTACTTTCTGTCTATATTTCTAAATGGTGTCATTTTTTTCTGAAAATTAGTGAATTTCCAAAATATTGGTTTTCATTCTGTATGTGCAGCATAAATATTTACAAATCATTTTTCTTTTTTTCCAGCCTTACTTAAAATGCAGGTTTATTGCCTAGTGTTCTCAATGTATTTATTAATGAAATAACATTCACTGAAATAGTAAATATACTCAACCTATCACCAAATTTTGTCATTTAGCCTCCCAAATATCTCTAAAAACAGCCCACTTTACTGTGGCACTGCCAGGACCACTGTAATCCACACTGTCATCTCTATCCTACATTAAGTGTGAAGGTCTCTTAATGGCATCCTCACATTTCTTGTGGCCAGTCTGACCCTTTCTCTTCCTGGTAGCCAGAATGATCTTTTTGAGACCAAAATCCGATTATATAACCCACCCCTACTTAAAATTCTTTCAGGGTCTTCTTGTTTTTAGGATAGAGGCTCAAAGGCTTAGCATAGCTTTTATGGCCCCACATGATCTCATATCTAGCCTTACCTCCTCTTTGCTTATATTTCTCCCTTCCTTCTTTTGTGCTCCAGTCACCCTGGTCTTCTTCCAGTTACAGGATAAGCTCCCTTTCCACCTTAAGCTAATGGGGATCTTTGCAAATATTTCACTGCCAGCCTCCTCTTTCTCTCCTCACCTCTTGACTTCTATTTTTACTTCAATACTCCTCCAAGGCATCTCTCATGACTCTGGTTTTTTCAATTCCCCTATTATAGTATAGTAGTTCATTAAATTTAAGATGCCCTTGATTATAAGAAATACTATTACTTATGTGCTATTTTTTACAAGATTTCCAATTGTAAGGATAAAGTACCAGTGATTTTAAGGTGCATCCCAATTTCATAGATGCTCAAATCTAAAAATGTAGGTCTTAGAATGCATTAAATATAGTATGTTATCTTGACATAGCTGTAATTTTATATTTATTTGTGTTATATGATTAATTTCTGTTTCTTCCATGAGAGTGGGGACTATCTCTCCCTTTGTTCACCACTGAATCCCTTCCCACTCTCTCCTGAGTCTGCTCCAAAAGGCTCTCACCCCGCTATCATTCCACCAAAAGTGTACTTGGCAAGGTCACTGGTAACCTCATATAACGATACCCAGTGGTCATTTCTCAGTTCTCATTTCAATTTGACCTATCAGAAGCATTTGGTATGGTCAGCTACCTCTTCCTAAGAAGACTGTCTTCATTTGACTTCCAAGATACCACACTGTGGATTTTCTTTCTACCTCTCTGGCCTCTCCTTCTTAATCTTATTTACTGGTTCTTTCTCATCTCTTCGTTCTTCATTCTGTCTTATTCTCATAGCTTTAAATTATCTGTGTATGTAAATTTGTATCTCCCAGCTAGATCTCTCCCCTGAGCTCCTGACTGAATTTCCACCTGCCTACGTGACGTCTCCACTTGGATATCTAATAGACATCTCAAACCTAATATATCCAAAACTGAGCTTCCGTCCTTCTCCCCTCTCTAGCCCATCAAGCCTGTACTTCCTGCCCTCTTCCCCACCTCCACTACTGGCAGCTTCAATTTTCCAGTTGCTCAAAGTAAAATCCTTGGAATTATCCTTGATTCTTCTTTTTCTCTTACACCCCTTATTTAGTCCACTGTGTTGACACTTCTAAAATGTTTCAAACGCCTTACCACTTCATACCACTTCTACTGCTACCACTTGATCTAAACCATCGTTATCTTCACCTGAATTTTTACAGTAGCCTCCCGATTGGTCCTCCAGTTTCCATCCTTCCTCTTATTTGAGTCTATTCTCAACATAACCAGAGTGATTCTTTAAAAACATTTATCAAGTTATATTACATCTTTGTGTCAAGACCACCATTTGGCACCCCATTTCACACAGAGTACTAACTAAAGGCTTTTTTACAATGGCCTGCAAGGCCCTGTCTCATTTTGCCCTCCTTACCCTTTTGACCTAATTTCCAACTCCTCTCCCACTTGATCCTGTGCTGCAGCCACACTGGCCACCTTGATCTTCTTCAAATACACCAGGCATGCTCCACCTTGGGGTCTTTGTATTTATTGTTCTCCCTGCCTGGGATGTTCTGGCATCTGATAGCTGCGTGGCTGCCTCCATCACCTCCTTCAGGTGCAACTTTCACATTGAAGCCTTCCCTAGCCACACTATCTAAAATTGCAACCTCACAACACTCTCTATATCCTTTCTCTTCTTATTTTTCCCTCTAATGTATTAGGTATTTTATTTATTTTGTTTATTGTATGTTTTCCATTCCCTTCCATGAGGACAAGGAGTTTTGTCTGCTCAGTATGCTGTATCACCCAAGACCTGGCATAGTACCTGAAATACAGTTGGTGCCCAATAAATATCTATTGGAAGGAGAGATGAGAGGAAGGAAATTGCCTTCCAATTTGAGGTGTTTTAACCTATAAACAAAATTTTCATGTCATGCATCTATGCTTCATTTAAT
This sequence comes from Homo sapiens, assembly GCF_000001405.40. NCBI lineage: Eukaryota > Metazoa > Chordata > Mammalia > Primates > Hominidae > Homo > Homo sapiens. The sequence continues at coordinate 110,664,530 of NC_000001.11, read as the reverse complement.
CACTATGTGGCTTACACTCCTCATCATGCTCTGAAGGACAAAATTCCTTGTAATCAGTTCACTGGAGAAGGCTTGCATTTGCGAAAACATGCTCCAGCAAGTTTTCCACAAGAAATATTACACCACCCAATTATGGGGATGCAATCCTTTAATGTAAGTAACTTAACTGTTACCTTATATGAGATATCATTGAGGGTACCTAGTCACTAAGGATACCTGGAAGTTAGAATGCTTCACAAAGACCATGTTTTTTCATACGTAATAGCTGATAGAGTGCTTTTAATCAATGATAACATAAACATGTTGACTAATTGACCAGGACAGCACAGCAAAATCAGAACGAACAAGTAATATCTACAAAAGGCTTATCTATCTAGCAGACATTCTAAGAAACTTCCCTATAAGTTCAGTCTCAGTTTCAGTTAATGATGAGTCCTGAAAATCCATGGAGTCTTCATTACTATGGAAGCTGATTGAATCAAACATTAGATTTCACTAGTGAATCACATTACAGAATTACATCACTGTAGATATGGCCTGACTATCTTTTGCAAAATGCAATTAACATTACATTTTAAAATTATGACATTTAAAAGTTAGCTATTTTTTAAAATAATAAAAATTAGCTATTTTTTGAAGTGATTGTTCATACATGAAAGCAGATGGGGACATTTAAATCAGTTAATGAAAAGTAAGAGCAGATTTGTAGAGTGACATTTATAAAACGGTCAAACTTAAACTACTTCTAAATAATAAAATGGAAGGTGAAGGCAATCCAGTAGCATTTGGTTCTTAGTATTGGGAGATTCCTAGCGGTATTGAAATACCAACACATATAGTATGGAATGACTGAAACTAACTAAAGCATTGATATGACCACTGCAGATAGTGCCATGATTTTATGTAATATTGTAACCAAGGCACTTTCCTCTGCAGTAGGAAATGAGGCTTCTCCTAATAAGAATAGAGAGGAACTTTCTCCACACCCCTTTTGAATTTTCTCCTTTCCCTGCATTTTCAGGCAAACCAGACCAGAGAATGACTTGACTGTTGCCTCTGCATATCGAAGTGGCACAATTTCCTTACCAAATGTGTCAACAAATTTGAAACTAACATATGTGCCTGAGTTTACATATGTAGACCAGCAGAAATTAGAAACTCTTTCTCCTTACGCCACTTTATGCAGTTAAGCTCACATGGGATAAAGATCATTTTTCTCTTCTGAGAAAAATGTTAGGGATTTTTAAAGAAATGACATAAAATATAGGATTGAAATCTATAGTTTTATTTTTTTCTGGTTTTGGGTGAAGGATTGTGACATTGTTTATTTTTATGATTTAACTCACTATGGGTTTTACTGGATTTTCTATTGTAACTTTGTTTAGTCAAGGTATTAGACATTTAAGAGGCAGCCTTATGTGCCATTACATTTTGTATTTACCTCGTGTCTGACTACAGGGCAATAAAATATCAGATAGTCATGAATACATTTCTTCTATAAGAAATTATTATGAAAAGCTTGTTAAACAAGAGTGACTATGTGTCAGACTTCTAAAGAGCAAAATTAACTGGGTAACCAAAAAGTACAGACAGAAATAACTACTCCAAGCAAGAACTGTTTGAATTGCTTTATACCTAGAGTCTGTAGATCTTTTCCCTGCAGACCTTTTAACTGATTTTAAAAGAGCATTTTATTGTGTGACCATATAAATTGAAGATATTTATTATTAGTAGACCTAAATACGGCTCAAAGTAGTATCAATTATACCTCACAGCTCATTTTCCCATGACTTTCTAGATTTTTTTAAAAGCTCACATCTTAACATATTACTGACTTTAATTACTGAGTGAGATTAAAGGTTTTTGCTTGCTGAGAGTACATAATTTTCAAGACCTCAATCAGAGAATTATATAGAATCGAGTAAGAAATCTTTCTAGTCCTTGAGCTTATTCATTACCATTTACTTGGTAGAACTGGTAAAACTTATTGGTGTGCAGCTAACACTAAGTAATTTAATAGATGTCAAAGTATATAGACACATGAAAACAAAGTTCCCATATAACTACATGCTATAGAATGACTTCAACTCTTTTCTCATCAAATGTAAGTTGATGAGACTAACAGTTAAGTAAGCTAGGTTTCTGTACTTCTTTCATTTAGGCCTTTTGGAGGTATTAATTACTTCTTCATAAATTTGATAATTATTGAAATTTGACTATTCTTATTCTCTTTTCTTGTTCTATATGTTGGAACATTTATTTGGTAAATTATCTTCAATTATAGGTCACTGTTTTCTATTGTACTTCCTTTCTCTCATTTTATAGAATCGATTTTGGGTCCATTCTTCTAAGCCTTTCAACCCACATCTTAACCACTAATATAGACATTCTGAATTTTTTTTTTTTTTTTTTTTTTTTGAGACGGAGTCTCGCTCTGTCACCCAGGCTGGAGTGCAGTGGCACCGTCTCGGCTCACTGCAAGTTTTGCCTCCCGGGTTCACGCAATTCTTCTGCCTCAGCCTCCCGGGTAGCTGTGACTACAGGCGCCCGCCACCACGCCTGGCTAATTTTTTTTTTTGTATTTTTAGTAGAGACGGGGTTTCACCCTGTTAGCCAAGATGGTCTCGATCTCCTGACCTCGTGATCCGCCCGCGTTGGCCTCCCAAAAGTGCTGGGATTATAGGCGTGAGCCACCGCGCCCGGCTGACATTATGATGATTATCCTGATATCACTTTTATTTTTGTTTCGTTGAATTACCACCCCCTCCACACCTATACTTTATTAGGATGCCATGCTTATACCATTCTTATTTAATAATCTCAAGAGCCTTGAGAGGCAGGTATTAATACATGAGGTTGTTTTTTAAGGCCCACCGTTTTATATAAAAAGAATGTAACAGCAGCAAGACAAGAATAGCTTAATGCAGACTTCTCAAGGTAAGCAAAGCTGCAGTAGCATTGAGCAGAACCTAGGCACTTAGGAAATAAAATGGATGCTAGGTCATTCATGTTACTTGTGATTTCTTATGATTAGTAGTCATTAATAACTATTAGACCATTATAACTTTAAAACTCTGATAGTGAAAATTAAGCATACTGTGAACGTACTCTTTCTTTTTGCCTAAAATCAGCGTTAAGACTTTTAAAATCACTGATGAGCAGTGATCTGTCTGCGAGATCAAGGTGACCGAGTGTATAATCCAGGCCAATAAGAAAAAAATTTCAATAGATAGTTAATTGATTGCCCAGCACACAGTAGGCATACAGTATTTAATTTAGCAAGTGAATGATTCTTCCATCAAAAGCACACTCAAATTCCAGATCACCATCTTTGGGCATTTACCACTGGTTTTGGGCGCCTGCTAAAACCAGGAGTATATATGGGAAATAGTCTTCTCTACATATTGTGATGGATGATATTCACATATTCAAACCCAGAGCTGGGTTTATAGCATCTGGGTTTATAGCTGGGTTTATTTTTGTCTTTATAATTTCTGTCTTTATATTATATAGTTAGTAAATTTCTAGAATACATAAATCTAATTTTTATATATCCATTTATGTATTCAACATGTATTTACTGAGTACCTCCTATGTGTCAGACACTACCCAGGGTGATAGAGATTTATTCATTAATTCAGCATATAAAGTGTCTACTATATGCCAAACACTATTCTAGATTCTGGATGTAGGAAGTGAATAAGTCTATTGTATTGCTTTATCCTCTTCTTAAGAAATATTTTGCTATCAGAATTTCTCAATAATTATTTTGGCAGTTAAGGAAGGGAAGCACCAAATCTTTAACCTTTATTTCTTGTCCTGGTCAAGTGGTTATTATTGTCTTAATTTGGGAAATTTTAAAATGGTACATAACTGTGCAGAGTTCATATTTTAAAGAATCAACAGACTTAAAAGTTATTTATAATGAAGAGATAAATGATAGGAATGTCATCCTATTAGCACATAGAACATGGTTTTCTCAGCACTTATTTGGTGTCTTGTCTCTCTCTCTCTCTCTCTTTTTCTCTCCATGACACTTAGCGTTGGATTTTTATTCACTTCAAGAGTTCTCATCATAGATTACCACAGTAAGATGGGCAGCCAGGAAAAAAAATCCTTGGAAATACACTGAGAAAATTAACACATACATTTTTCTAAAAATCAATAGGCACTCAGAACCTTTCGATGATTCTAAGGCTGAAGATAAATTTTGTGTCCAAAAGCAAACTATCACACTGGTTTGGACTAAATTTCAAGATCATTATTAGTAGAAAAATGTCTATAATTTCAGCATACTCCAAAACGTTTTCTAACTTACAAATTAAAAGAAATATGTAGTTAATACATTTAGACAATTAAATTGCTTGAGGTTTTCAGGGTAACAGTTTTTAAAAAGCAACATTTAAAAAATATATAATGAATGGAACATTTTCTGTTTTTTTAAAAAATTATACTTTAACTTCTAGGTTACATGTGCACAACATGCAGGTTTGATACATAGGTATACATGTGTCATGTTGGTTTGCTGCACCCATCAACTTGTCATTTACATTAGGTATTTCTCCTAACGCTATCCCTTCCCTAGCCCCCCAGCCCCCCACCCCCCAACAGGCAGATGTTCTCTGCCTTGTGTCCGAGTGATCTCATTGTTCAATTCCCACCTGTAAGTGAGAACATGCGGTGTTTGGTTTTCTGTCCTTGTGATAGTTTGCCGAGAATGATGGTTTCCAGCTTTATCCATGTCCCTCCAAAGGACATGAACTCATCCTTTTTTATGGCTGCATAGTATTCCATGGTGTATATATGCCACCTTTTCTTAATCCAGTCTATCATTGGGGACATTTGGGCTGGTTCATGAATGGAACATTTTCTATTGACATAAAGTCTATAGTTTTTTAAAAGTTAAATATACCAGTAAATTATTGTGTTTACTCTGTCTGACAGATCCCTGAAGAGCCCCCCATATAAAGAACTGTAGAGCTGCACTGACCAGTAGGATGCTCCATTTTAAATTGCCTGGATCAAGAATGCAGTAGCAGTTATATCACTGATGGGCAGTGATCCATCTGCCAGCACATATTTTTATTTCAGTTGACATTAAATAATATGTCTCTAACAAATGCTTTATATAAAGGGAACAACTCTGAAGTTGGAGGATTCGCTTCATAATGCGTGCATATAAAAGACATTTCATCAAGAGATGAAGAATGCTAAAAATATTAAGGTATCATTGCAACCTTTTGACATTTTGATGAAATCGAATCATCCAAAAACTATAATCAGTGCTGCAGAAAGAAAGCCTAAAATTTGTTTCTAGCAAGCCAACTATTACTGTTTTTTGTGTTTTTTTTTTCAATTAAGTAGTGGACTGTGTTTAATCATGAGATATAGTCGTGTTATATTCCATGTTCTGGGTTATGTGCAACTTTATTTGTGAAGGTGTGTTTTGTACCAAAGGCTCTCATACATAGATTAGCCCATTTACATATAAATAAGTGAAGTCTACACTGTGCCCAAATGAATGGTATTAAAGACAGACTTGCCTAAAAGAAATGTGCCTTGCTTGATTAAACATTCTTTTATTTTTTAATCAAAATGATAAATTTGCAAATTAGCCTTATAGGTTTTAGCTGAGCTGAACTTGACAAAAATGTGTTAGTACTTACTACATGTTTTAATATTCTATCTTAATTAAAATTGTAACATTTAGTTATACTTTCAACAGTTCATATATAATATATTCATTTAATTTTGTTTTCATGGGATGTTTGGTGTGGTGAGACAAAGCACATTCTTAAAGATATATATAATATTTCATCTAATGTTTATAGCTTTTCCTTCAAAATTATATATGTAAAAGTTTCCTTAACTCATTTTCTATTTTTATATTCTTTTAGAAATGGAACTCTTTTTCAATTAAAAAAAAGTTTTAGTTGGAAAAGAGATTTAGGAGGTCATGAAGATGGCTTCCCATTTGGGGACATTTCACTTCTGTGCCATTAATGTATTTACTGTGACATTTCAGCAGAATGGTAGCTATTTGTATATTATTTCATAAGCCTTATGGAAAGTCAAACTGTGAAAATTTATTATATAGAACCCTTTTTTATTTCCATATTTTAGTTTCAAAATATACCTGAACAAATGCATAAATAACCAATCCTCTGTTATTTAAATATATAACCATGCTATGTTATAATAAGAGCACTTGTAGAATTTTAGTAACTATAAAAATATTTCAGTAGCAAAGCCAAGATTATAAATGTTTTGATCCCCTACAGAATGGAGTAAAAGTGATGAATTGCATTGTATGAGAATCAGTAACTAAAACAATCTTATACCTGCAGCGAAACAGATAGATAAATAAGAGATACAATCTAGGTAACTTTCTTTGAGGCAAAGTCTACAATGAATGTCTCACAATCTGCTGGTAATTTCTTTGTGTCAAAATTTTGAGACTAGATCACTACAGGAAAAAATGAAAGTCTAACAGCTATCTCAGATTTGAGCTATGTGAACTTTTAGTCAAGATGATTTGTGATTAAAGTGAAAATTTAGCCACTGCCTTGTCTTTGTTCTATGTTAGCCCATTTAGTAGAGATATGGGCCTGGAGAATAGTCAGTCCATTGCAGCAAACATAATCCTTATAACTAATTATCACAGCCTGGGTAACAGTAAAGTAATGCACATTAGCTACTGGGATGATTGAAACAAACTGATCAACTGTGTTACAGGAGGTCTTAGATATTCAGATGTTTTAGTAAGGATCAGTAGGTGTTACAAAAATAGACACAAAAACTACCTTTATAAAACACGAATGAAACAACTGTATGCATTATAGTATATTTAATATCTGAATTATTATTACAGGTTACAGTTTCAAATAAAGACAAAACCTGGATTTTTGTGATAAAAGCACAGGATGGTGTCAGATGAGTAAACTGTTATACTGAATATGATTCACAGAAAGGATAGTAAAAATGCTACTGGTTTAGATAACAGTAGACCAGAATATTTATTCACTTTCTACCTGTGGGACCTTAGGTAAATCTGTTACATTACTAGGCTTCAGTTTGCAGGCTTGAATTGCAAGATGGGCGTGCTGGATTCAATGATCTCCAAAGCCCTTACCAGTCCCCAAATTCTCATTATACACATTTGAGAAATGCTTTGAAGAAAACAGGGCCGGGTGCGGTGGCTCATGCCTGTAATCCTAGCACTTTCGGAGGCCAAGGCAGGTGGATCACAAGGTGTCAGGAGTTCGAGACCAGCCTGGCCAACATAGTGAAACCCCAACTCCACTAAAAATACAAAAATTAGCTGGGCATGGTGATACATGCCTGTAGTCCCAGCTACTGCTGAGGCTGAGGCAGGAGAACCGCTTGAACCCAGGAGGTGGAGGTTGCGGTGAGCCAAGATCATGCCACTGCACTCCAGCTTGGGCAACAGAGTGAGACTTTCTCTCAAAAAAAAAAAAAAAAAAAGAAAACTTAAGTACCCAGATTTTCTTATGCAGGAAAGAAACATGAAGTAAGATTTAAGCCTTGAAAGTATCATAAATATATCATTCTTCAAATTGATTGTGATGAAAGGAAATAGGATTCTTTCTCCTTAGAATTTTCACTGATCTATAATGGGATCAAAAAAGTAGAAAAATCAGTCTGCAGAATGAAAACAGATTAATGAAATAGCTAGAAAGGAGGGGAGAGCATTTGTTTAGTTAAATGTTAAGGTAACTTGAAAATTGTCTATGAAATGCTAAAACTGTACCAGAGCCTTATTGCACACTCAACATTTTAAGCCTGGGAGCAGGGGAAGGTGGGAAAAGGTTGGAGTGATAGAAGTGTTTGCCTTATGATCTCTTGACTCCTTTTACACAAGAAGCAGATTGGTAGAGCTTAAGCAGGTGTCTGTGCTGTGGTGCTGGCTCTGCCAAAAACTCTCATATGCCCTAGGAAAGTTCCTTTAACTTCTCTGAGCCCGAGTTTATCTGTAAAGTGAAGACTTTTTAAATTTAGTAATCTGTATGTCTCATCTCTGAGAATTCTATAATGTTTTCACATTGTTATATGTGTATATGTACATGTTGCTCCCCTCTAGTCACTAAGATGCCACATATTTCTACTTGAGTGAACAGATTGCAAGTCCAAATGTTCTTGTTTCTAATACTAATAATTGATCTCAGCAAGACATAAAAAAGTAAAAAAAAAAGTAATCTTACCTTTTATTTTGACCTTGGCTTTAAATTATTATGATTTATCATTTCATCTTTGAATGCTGAGTGAATTACCTAAACAGAATGTCTGTTCCAGTTAATCTTCTCTTTAAATTTTTGTAGTTTAATAAACATGTAACAAATCAGAAGCAAGTATATCATGCTTATCGATGAACTGTAGCAGATTGTAATGGTGCATTTTTGTCACATTAAAAAGTTAATGTCCTTTTGGTCCCAGAAGCAATTACTATAATTTAAAATAATATTCACAAAATTTTGTGAATGTTTTTGAATACAAAGGAGGCCTAATACAGCCATATTGTAGTTCATTTTGCTCAGGAGTGAGAAACAAAATTCAGGGATAACCCAAACATGTCTGTTTGGCAATAGTGGATAGTTAGGTAAAGAAGGGTTATAGCTTTTGCACATCACAGATAAGAGGCGACTATACCTATTGAAAAACAGCAGTATATTCTGGTTCTTGGTTTTATGATGGAAAGATATTAGAATGATACTAAAATTTGGATGCTTGGGAAATTGAATAATACAGAAATATTTTGTCATACTGAGATTATTTGTCCAGAAGTTTAGTCTTATATCCCTTCCATTCAGAAAAGGGGGCAGTTTTTAAAGGCCTCTGTCATAAAAGGAAATGTATATTTTGACTAGTGGAGCAATTAGTTAAAACATTTAATCTGATCATTTTGGTTTTATGAATCTGAATTTTCACTTTAGGTGTAATTGAGTCGCTTATGTATTACTGTGATCTTTGTGAGAAGTGATTTCGTCCATTTTTTTAAATCTGATGAAACTTGATAAATGGTGATTCTAGCATATTGTGTTAATACTGTATCTTACAACAATTTGTGAACTGACCATCATAAACGAATCATAGTAGTATCTCTTCTGGTAAGTTGTTTCTATATGTGATCTCTTAATGCTGGGTTTGGGGGTGGGGATGGGGTTAAGTATTTAGTTTACTTTAAACTGTCAAAGTGTTTTTCTTAAATGCCATAAAATTGTATGACTATAAGCCAAATAAGAATATTCTCTTTTTTCACTTTTAAGGGCACTGTATAGACCATTTTTGAAACTATCCCACAGAATGGTATAATTTCAGTTTAAAAGCTCTTACACACATACACACACACAAATATAAATATATATATATACACATTCAAGGGAAAGCAAACAGTGTATGTAGTATTTCTAAGTGACATGCTACACGTTATAAGAATCTATTTTTGAAATCTTATACAGATTATGCAGAAGTCAGAATAACAAATACAACACCTCAATTTTTTTATAGAGTCTAGCGTTAGTTTACTATAAGATTTGCTTACATCATACTTGCAAAGATCATTCACATAATTTATTTAGCATTGAAAATCTTTATATGAAGTACTAATGTCATCTGAAGTTTAGAGATTAAACAACCAAGGTTTAGAAAGATCAAATGACTAGTCCAAGATAATATGGCCAATAAATGGCTCTAAACCTCCTATGTTCTTTATACTATTCACTTTTTGTCATGTTATTTTTATCCTGTCACTGCCATTATCTTTAAAACTTTGACAAAAATTTAATTTTAAAAGTTACATTGGGAATTTTCAGATTTTAGTGCAAAGACATTGTTGCTGTTCTTGTCAGACCTTTTCAGATACCTCCAGACTATAGCCCTTCCACAGGGTGATATTCAAACATTTTCCACCTAAACATATAAGTTTGCACACCCTGACCACAGACACTGAATTCACTTGATGTCAGAATGCTAGACTAAAAGTTGATCTTCTTGACTGACATTTCTAATCTCCCTTTTTAAAAATCCATCATAAGGACTGACTTCTGAACAGTTGAATAAAGCAGTAATCAATCCAAGAAACTGCATCCATTCTGATTCAGAGGAAAAAAAAATCCAACCTAGTGACCATTTTTCAGCATACTGTATTTCATCACATTTATTCTGTGATTAGTGGAGGACAGAGAAGAGGGACTGGGGAGAAAAACTGCCTTTATTTTAAGAAAGCTCATTTTCCTGTAACTATTCAAAAAGAATTGATTATCAAGTGTTAGATAACAATATTACTAACATTTATCATCATTCAAATATTTAGTAAAATTTCTCCATATATTTAAAATTTTACTTAAGAATTTTCCCAGTTAAAATATGACTGCTTAGTTTGAATAAGGAAGACATTCCTTTCAATTCATGACACAATAGTACATTTTTATTCTTTTCTCAGACAGCAGAGAGACACTGTTACTGCTTTCCCTTGTAAGTCAACAGTCTGTGATACATGCTGTACTTTTACTGATTAGCAATGCAATGTTACTGTGAATATTTAACTAGAACTTATTATATTGGAATTTAAAATTTTCTAACATTGAATTTAGTTCTCTTCATCAAATAAGCAAGCATTATTTTTATGAAATGAAATAATCATTCTTAAGCAGTGATGATAATGGAATTCTGAATACGATGTAAAATCAAACATTCTATTTTTTCTGTTTATCCTTTGACATTGAGTTGTTTTAATTTATTACATATTATTAAGTTGAAATAAGCTTTATACCATGTTCTCTGATGTTCTTGTCATAATAATTTTGGGTCTTTTGTTAAGTAAATATCAGAAAATATCTGTGAGTTTTGATTATGTGATATTTTCATCTGATTGATTTTTTAAATTTCTCATTGGATTTAAAGTGTTTTCTTTGCTAATGTTATATACAGAATTCAATAAAAGACCAAAAAAAATCCTGTTGCGCATATTACTAATTAGTTCCAAATGACTTCCTTCCCCTTCTTTCCTTTCTTCCTTCCTCCCTTCCTTTCTTTCCTTGTTTTCTTTTTGCAAAAGAGGAAACATCAAAAGCTGGGCTGTTGTCAGTAGCTCAAACATCAGCTGCCTTTGAGACCAGCTCTGCAGGCTCTTGTGTATTCTCCCACATGACTATAGTGAAGACTTCTGTGTATTACACTTAGCAGGCCTTTTGAATGCCAACATTCCCTAGGTTTCTTCCATTGCTCCCTGTCTTACACTGTTGGAGGCCCAGTAAAGTCTCAAGGAAGAAAAAACTTATTCACAATAGTCTGTGCCTTTATGCGTTGTGCTAGTTATATGAGTAAATTATGGCACAGCAAATGTACATTATTTCATTCACAAATAAGTATTGGACATCCATTGTGTGCATGACCCTGTTCACAGCACTGTCAGGGGGGTATGAATGTTAATATGTAGGTGACCCTGCTCTCAGATATATGCGTGCACATATATATATACATATGTATATATACACGTGTGTGTGTGTATATATGTGTGGAGATACACACACACACACACACACACACACACACACACACACACACACATATTCCCAAGCTAGTAGGTTAGGATCCTCTTTAGATCCAGAATGGTCAAATATTAAGAACATTTTGTTTTCAATATTTATTTTCCATGTATGCCCAGTGTTTTTGTATCATAAGAGGATAATTTCTAGCATTCACATTTTACATACCAATTGTTCTCATTTTGTGCTTAACAATATTGATCCTTACTCTTTTTCTTTTTCCTAATAATAGCTAGTTACTCAAACGTGTTTTTACTTTTGGAATGTCAACAAATGATACATCACCAAAACAGAGGCCCTCTCTCTTGGATAATTTCTAGCATTCACATTTTACATACCAATTGTTCTCATTTTGTGCTTAGCAATATTGATCCTTACTCTTTTTCTTTTTCCTAATAATAGCTAGTTACTCAAACGTGTTTTTACTTTTGGAATGTCAACAAATGATACATCACCAAAACAGAGGCCCTCTCTCTTGTTTCCATCTGGAATTTTACTTTGTCTAAAAAAACTAAGTGTAGATTTAGATGGCTTTACACATGTGGTGTTAGCTATTAGAGACAAGAACAAAACATATTTTTCTAATCCTCCAATTGATATGAGAAATGACTTTTTAAGCTTTCTTGTCATAGAATTTTGGTGGTGAACTCCATTAGTGACTATTTGTAAAGTTTTTGTTTTGTTTTGTTTTGTTTTGTTTTTTTCTTTTTGAGACAGAGTCTTGCTCTGTTGCCCAAGCTGGAGTGCAGTGGCATGATCTTGGCTCACTGCAACCTCCGTCTCCCATGATCAAGCGATTCTCCTTCCTCAGCCTCCGAGTAGCTGGGACTGCAGGCATGTGCCACCACACCCAGCTAATTTTTGTATATTTAGTAGAGATGGGATTTTACCATGTTGGCCAGGCTGGTCTCAATCTTCTGACCTCAGGTGATCCGCCCACCGGAGCCTCCCAAAGTGCTGGGATTACAGGCATGAGCCACCATGCCAGGCCTAAAGTATTTCATTTTAAGGGACCAAATCTTTAAGTCTTTTGGAAACAATCACAGAGTAAATTAAGAGATGCAGGTTGTTTCCAAGGGATTACCTATATCGTCTTTGAACCATGCCTCTATCCAAAAGAATTCACACCTTTCTGCTGGATTTCAACAGAGACAAATTAGTACACAATTACTGCTGCACACCTCCTATGAGTTAGGACCCACTCAATCGTCCATTCACTTTTCTGTACTTTGTACCAAAACCCTTATAAATCTTGTAACTTTCTCTCCCTTAGATCTACTGTTTATAGGTTTCATTAATCACAATCAAATTGGTTATTTTGTTTCAGAAAATCCTTTTTACATTTGGCGATATCTGGTAACTTGAGTCATAGAGGAGGAGACTATATCATTGAATTAGAAAAGCCAAATGAGGAGCTAAAATTCCAGGGACAATACTGTCTTAAAACGTAAGGTCAGTGAAGTAATTTTTTAGGAAATGGAGCCACAAGAGAAGGAACAAATAGAAATCTGATTTCAAAACACACAATTGACAAGGAAATGAATAAATGTGGCACAGTCCCTCACCCATGCCTGGTTTGATTTGGCATAATAAATGCTTCTAAATGAAGGTGAAGAACACAAATGGATTCATAGGCACTATTCATTAAATTTTACAATGTAGATGCCATGTATTACTAGTTTATACCCATTATGCCAGCCATGAAAACAGACAGTTGTTTCCATATAACCTGAATCTAAAAGTAATCAGAGACAGCATGATGTAAGTTAGTCAGAGGGCCTAATAGGAATCTGGAATCCTGAATAATCGATGATAAATATATCTTAAGTCTAGTTTTCATTTACCTCTATAGAGAAGCTGAGGAATTCTGCAGAGGAAAATGTTTGTGTTTTGTCTTAATTTGTGGCAATAGAGATGGAAATAAGAGAGAGGAAAGTGACATTCATAAATGTGGATGAAAATTTTTGAGGTAGAGTTAATTTTTGCCTTTATTCCTGGAGGCAATTTATAAGGCTATTTTAACTTTGTATGTCCTAGTCTCGAGAAAGTATTGAATTTGTGATTTTAATATGCTGCTCCCTGCAGGCACTTTCCACGCCAGTAGTAATCTCTGCACTATCAGGCCAAGCTCTCAGCATGTGTAATAGCCAAGAAAAAAACTAGCAAACAGAACTCCAGGGGCATGCCATACATGTATGTATAGTTAGACAAGATTAGACAGCTCTACAGGGCACCCCTCAGAGGCAACCCACATTCTCAGAATGTCTGGAATATACATTAATGGGGCATTATATCTGTACTGTGCTTTCTAATATTTACAATATTTTATGCATATATAGTTCAAAGCAACTCTATATACTTAAATATATAAAGTATATATATTCTCTGAAATAGGCAGAGAAGGTAGTATCACATGCTTTTTATAAAAGAAGAAACTGGATGCACAGTTATGCAATTTACCTAAGGTCATGTGGTCAGTAAATGTCAGAAAGTGACTAGAATACAAGGTTTTCTGCCTCCTCATCTGCAGTTCTTTTTGTATAGTCACATTTCCACCCCCCCATCACCCCACTTATCTCAAATTCTGACTTCCCTAAGAAGTGAAGAAACTGAGAGCATTATTATCAGAAAATCTTAAAGAAGAGCAGAAGAAAGCCCTTGTCGTTGTATTTGTCTTATACTTTGTTCACATTGGCGAGCCTAGTCCTGCCTCAGCAAGCCTCAAGATCCAATCCCCTTACCTTAAAGTGAGACACCAAGATAAATAAAAATCCAAGCTCTTCAGACTGAGTCAACCATCATTCCCTTTGTCTATTCATTTATTCTTTCAAAAATATTCGAGTATTTCTCCTTCTCACTTCAGTGGAAAAGTTTTCCCAATCTCTGGAGCTCCAGTCCATCCTGTTCAACCTCCTCCAGAACTTGACTGTATTAAATAACATCTGCCTTTTCCTTATCCTCAGTGTGTCCCCACCTCAGAATCTATGATCGGTGAATATGTTTCCTTGACCATTGTTAGCTCTATTTGCCCCCTTCCACTCAAAGCCAAACTTCTTAATAAGAAGTTGTCTCTACTTCCTGACCCCTCATTTATTTGACTTTCGGCTACAGTGTTATTCCTCTGTAATCTGGCTTTGGTCTCCACTTCTACACTGAACATTTCCTTAATACTAGTTTCTTTCTCATACATCAATTGTCAACCTCACCAACTCTGTAGAATTTGACACTGTTGATCCCTCCCTCCTTCTTGGCTTTTGTGACATTTTCTCTCAGTCACCTTCACTGACTTTTCTTTCTCTTATCACTTTTTAAATACTGCTGCTCCCCAAGATTCTGATCTCAAGCCTCACTTTTTCTGAGTCAACACTTTCCCTAGGTAATCTCATCCAATATCCTAGTTTTAACTACTTCCACAGATTTTTATCTCCAGCCCAGAGCTACAACCTGAGTGCTAGTCTTACCATATTTCAGGTACCAGTCACCTTCTCAGCCAATCATTTCTGCCCTGTTTACCTTTGAACCTGCCAACCCATAATCTAGAAGGGACAATCCTAAAACCCATGTCAGCCCATTCTCTGTCCACAGGTGGTCACCTAACTCAACTGGGCCAGGTGATTCTCTCTCCTTGGAATTTTGATTGAAACTTGGGGAGTTAGAAGTAGAAACAATTAGGCGAAGAGCTATGATGTTTTAGCAAGTTGAGCCAAAGTCAGCATCATAACAATCCTAAGTCCATGTAATTTATATTCTGGTGAAGTAGTAACTAAGCCTAGCAGAGAAGCAAGGAGAAGAATGAAACACAAAGCAAAACAATCACACTGCCCCAGTGAAAGATCAAAAGTAGCTACAGACTGTTTTCCAACACATGGGAGGCCCAACTCTACTCCCTGTCACTGGGTTCTATGAGATTCTTCTAAACCCTCCAACAAGCCATGATTGCATTAGCCAGCTTGATGGAGTCTTCTGACCCACACAGACAACTTATCTTTTGTGTACCAATCTCTTTGCCATAAATATCCTTTTGGATGGTCTCGAAACTATTCATGATACCTCAAACCCAACATGTCCAAGACAGAACAACTCATTTCCCACACTCAGCAATGTCATCCCAACTGTATTTCTTGTCTTTGGTAATCAAACCACCTCTCCTTAATGCTACTGTTTGGAAATCTGGGGACCAACTAATCTCAAACTTCTCCCTCACTCTTCACAGCTATTAAATTCTTGATGCAACTTTAGCTGCCTTCTTCACCTCTGAATTATTTTTGTATCTTATGATTTCTTGCCTATGTTACTAGAGTAGTCTTGTGAATTTTTCATACTGCAGACGAAGTGATCTCTGAGTCACAAATATGCTAATAACTCTCACAGCTAAAGTACTTCAATGACTCCTCCTTTATCCTTTTAGAATAAAGCCTAAACCTTTTAGTATGACATCCAAGGACCTTCACGGTCCAGCTTCTGTCTACCTTTCTAATTTCATCAATTATCACTCTCCAGTATGTCCTCCCTGCTCCAGTCACCCTGAATTACTGTGAATCCCTTATATACAGTATGCCCCCCCATATACCTTCACATTTGCTGATCTCTCTGCCCAGAAATATCATCACAACTTTATTTTTCTTCCCCACTTCACTCACCCACATTGTTCTTCTACTCAGCTGGATGATAGCTACTTATCTTCCAAGACTTACATTTTCTCCAGGAAGATTTCAGTTAAGTATCTATCTGATATTTTATATCAAGAGCCCTCCATCAAAGAACTTGACACAAAATATAACCATCTACTCTTTTGTTTCTTTTATAAAACTGTGAGTAACTTGAGAGCTGACTCTGTGTCCTTGTAATCTCTGTATTCACAGCGCTTGGTATATAGCGGATGCTCAATAAACATTTGTTGAATAAATAAGACACTGAGAAGATGTAACTTCTATCCTCAAATATCTCATAGAAATAGTGGGAAATGAGAACACCTATGATTATGGAACAGTGACAAGTTCTATACCAGGTAGGCTCAGGGAACTATGAGAAAGAAGGAAGATAAAATTAACTTAGCTCAGGGGCCTTCAGGAAATAAGAGAGGGATTTAGGCTTGATGACTAAGTAGGAAGGACTAAGCGAGGCCAATGAGATGGGGAAGGGTTTCTAGCTCCTTGTAGCCGGTGCCGGTCTACTTATCTTTTATAAGTTGCAAGAAATGTTGCACATTGATATACCACTGTTAAGAGGCTCTCAACACTAGATTGGTAAAACAAATGCAGTCTGAGGAAACTAGCTAATTGTCTCAGCAGTGGAAAACCCTTAAAAACGTTTCAAACTATTGCAGCACTTAAAACTATTTTGGGTTCAACATGACCTCAAATATGTCTCTCTCTTGGAAATTTTCCCTCTTAATTTTGAAACATGAGTAGTGTTGAGAAAATTAATCTGTACTTTCTAGTCAACCACACTTACCTCATCCAGTTGCCGTTTTAGAAGTGTTGTTTATTATTCCAGGAAACTTCAAGGTCCTTATTGTAAGCTTTTTGACTTAGAAACAGGAAATCAGATTTTATCTCAAGTGTAATTTTAAACCACAGTATTTAAACATTTCCAGTAGTTTCCAGACTTCATCAGAGGGCTACTTCAATCTCCAACCCTCTGAAGTATTCCACTCAGATAAGAACTCCTGTGTTTAAACTGTACTGGATTTGCCCATTTATATCTCTGTAGATCCCGGTCAGAATGTCTTCCAGTTCAAAAACATACACACATTCTCTCATTCTTACGGAATCTACTGGAAATTAACATACACAAGGCTGTGGGCATCAAACTTTAGATCATTATAATCATCAAGAACAATTGACTAACTTAGAGTAAGATTTTCATTGCTGATAATTCTAGGCAAAATTCTTACCAAAACTGAAAACATGAATTTTCCTAACTGCATTAATAGATAAAAATGTCAATTATTGGAAAGCAAACCACTAACTCCAAAGGTTGCAAATGGTCTCAATCCTTATTCATCATAATTCCTTTAGGTCTATTAAGGAGAAATTTAGGGAGCTAAAGAGTAAGATATAATTAATGTAACTTGGTGTTGGTGATTTATTCAGTGACAAATTATAAGGCTGCTACTATAACATGCTCCCATGAGCTTAAAAGGAACAAAGCTCTTCTGTTTTAAGGATAGGTTATGATAGCAATTCTCAGATAATTCTCATTTCATCTTTTCCCACTGGTTATCTGTCAACTGAGGAGCCTTTAATCTGGAATCCTATTGTGTAGTTGCTATTTGAAAAGTCTTTTAACATCTCCATGACCCCTAATGCTGCAGAAAAGCTTTGCATTTTGAAAGTGTATTCTTGTCCATCTTAGCCACACTCTCCCATCTCCCATCTGAGTTGTTACTGGTTGATTGAATTGGCATCTGCAAAGGCTGAAGGTGCCACTAAAAGGGCAATTCCCCCTCCACTGATGTCAACATATCTTGATCTGTGGGTCTTTTTGAGAGATGATACAGACCTTGCTTAATAATCTAATAGAAGTGACAATTTTTCAGTACTAGCCTAGAGATAATCCTGCCTGCAAAAAGAAGATGGATTACACGAATAGAAGTCTAAATCCAATTGTGATGGCCTTTCTAATAAAATGAGCATATACAGATGTCCTACCATGCTCTTTGAGTCATGGCTAATCCAGAATTTAAAGAGGAAGTCTACTTCACATTTCTTTCTCTAATTTCACATATTTCTTCACAGTTTGCCCAGTCCTCCAAAGAGAAGCTCACAGTCACTGAGATTTTTAAATCACATGACTCGTAATTGTGAGTCACTGGCTGATTAAGCCTATAAAGTAGCTAAACCTCTCATCTTCTAACATGAGCCTTTAATTCCTCCATTCGGAAGTGAGACTGCAGCTGTTGTATATCACCATTATTGTTAGTTCTTAAAAACATGTCAAAGGTTTTGTTTTGCTTTGTTTAAAAAAAAAGACTTAAATAAGATATTGACAGACATTTAGAGAGGGAAGCAATGCTTTCAAACAGGAGTTAAAATTTCAAGTTAATGTTTTAATAATTACGTCTTCTTTTGGCTCAGTTTCACTTGGATCTTAGTCCCACAATCATGTCTTCAAAATATTCTGAATAAATCACCACCCAAAAAAAAAAGCCTTAACTCTCATTCAGGAAAATGATGAGTTTTACTGGGTTCTAAAAATGTTTCAAGAACAAAATTAAGTGAGTAATCACATTTGACTTATAAAGCAAGAGTAGAGCCTGAATACAATGCAGTCAGGCACCTCTGAGCTTTCTGGCCAAAATAATAAAAATAAAAATAAAAAAAGTATATAGCCTTTCCTGACTTCTCTTGTTAAAATCTCAGAAAAAAGAAGTCTTCTGGCTTCCACTGGTGATTCTTAACCTCATTCTCTCATGAGGGCCCAGTTCTATTAGTATTGGGTAATTCCAATTGGGTAATAACTAAGAAATTGGAGAGCCCCTTCCACTCAACCCACACCTTTGTTTAAAAAGTGTCTTTAGGAAGAGCTGGCCCCAAAAACCTTAAACCTTGCTACTCAATGGTCCTCAGGGACCAGCAGCAGCAGCAGCATCTAAGAGCTTGATAGAAATGTAGAATCTCAGGCTCCACCCCCAACTCACTGAATTAGAATCTGAAGTGTAATAAACTTCCCAGGTGATTTATATGCACATGAAAGTTTAAGTAGCACTACTACCAGATCATTACTGTGTAACCTCACTCAGAGATTTTCCACCTGTGAGCCCTTTGAATGAATAAACAATGTAAGTTCAAATTAAGCTAAAATAATCTGCCTTGCTCCTATATAAAATTTGTTTTTAGAAAGTCCCAAAACATGATAAAGAATGAATATTTTCATTATTGAACACTAAGAATTTAAAAGCTACTCCTTCATTCTACTCTTCAATGTAGTCTAAATGTTTCATTCCATACAAAATAACCCCTCCTAACCTCCTCCACCGGGCCTATCCCTCAACAGCTATAAAACCTTGGTAAAACCTCACATTTGGAATAGTCTTCATGGATGTTAATAAGCTACTAAAATAATAATTCAAATGCCTATAACAAATGACGACAGACACTCTTTTAAGTCCTTGTCTATATTAATTTATTGGATCCTTAAAACAACCCTAAAAGATCAGTTCTATGTTTGTTTTTGTTTTTGAGACAGAATCTTGCTCTGTCACCCAGGCTCTTACTCTATCACCCAGGCTGGAGTGCAATGGAGCAATCTCAACTCACTGTACTCTCCGCCTCCCAGGCTCAAGCAATTCTCCTGCCTCAGCCTCCCAAGTAGCTGGGATTACAGGGACACGCCACTGCGCCCAGCTAAATTTTTTTGTATTTTTAGTAGAGATGGGGTTTCACCATGTTGCCCAGGCTGGTCTTGGACTCCTGACCTCAAGTGATCCACCCGCCTCAGCCTCCCAAAGTGCCCGGAATGCCATATTCAACATTTATATGGTATATTTTACAAGGATGGGGTTTCAGCCCTGTCAACTGAGGTTCTTCATATATGCAGGCCAAGCCCTTCATACATCTTAAACAATATCCTAAAGAACACATATGTCTCCCAAAGTGATTGCTCTGGAGGGCTTCCTCACTTCCTCACTGGAAAGCCATGTTTTAGTTATTAGTATTCTGGTCAGACAGAAAACCTCCCTTGCAGAGCTGCAGTGGAGGGGAATGCAGCTTTGTGCACTATAAATAGTAATTTTATTAAAATGTAGAAAAATTGTTGAGAAAGGAAAAAGAGGTGGGGGCAGAGGGTTGCCATGGCAACTCGACCATTCCTTCAGTTTTGAAAGCGTGGGGAAGACTACAGAATAGTAAATAAAGAAGAGGAAATAGAGGAAGTCGGAATGGCACATGATCACAAACGGAATGAGACAGCTCAGACAGCCTAGTCTCAAACTGAGTGCTGAGCTAAGAGGCAGAGGGTGGGCCTCCCAAGGGAAGAGGGGATGCCTTTCTTCAGAGAGCAAGAAGACTGGCAGAGTGAAATCTTTGTCATCAGCTTTACCTCATGGCTCAGCCACAGAGGCCACCAAACAACACAGCCCCCAACAAATGATTTATGGATAAATGAATATGGAAGCAAGAATCCTCCTGGTAGCCTCCCAAGAACTCCCTCCCTGCCCCCACCTCCATACATATTTTTAGATATTGGTTCTAGAATCTCCATTCTTCATCCCACTCCTCACTCCTGAATGTTGATTGACTCCAGGCAGATCGAGAAAGATCAGGACACACCAGAAATCCACCCATTTACAAGACATTAGATTAATTCACATGCTACAAATTCAAAATATATTATTAAAGGAAACTAGGATAAAAGGATAACCTTAATTCAGCACTTTACAGGTTACTGATCATTACACATTATCCCATGGGATGCATGGAACAGCCCCGGCAATCTGGGATTACTCCACCTTACAGTAGCCCAGGAAACTCTGTGCACAATTCAGACTGAAACAGAGCAACTAATATCTCCTGCATGCAAGAATTTTCCATCTCTCCTGGAGAATGGAATTACTATTGAAGGTTTAGAGGACTTTCAGTCTGTCTTGATCACACATTGTGACAGCTTAAACAATGCACTATCCCCATTAACACTTCAGTATTTGGGGGTGGGGGGTGAGGTGGGGTGGGAGGTGAGGGAGGAGGTGAGAGAGATCCATGTAAATACACATAAGCAGTTCTATGTCATTTCTGTTAATGGAGGGTAGATAAAGAAAAGATCATCCAGGAGTCATGTTTAAGGACTTTGTAATGCATCAAATATATTGGATTGTGTGGAGGCTACTCGCAGACATTTGGGGTAATTTTTAAAGCTTTAAAGGGATAGGAAGAGAAGCTAGTTAAAGAGAAAGCAGGCTGGGATTTAAAAATGTCCCATAGAACCTACAGATTACCGTGCCAGAGCAGCAACCATATTGCCTACATCTGGGAAACAGTGTTGACTCTAGTTCCCTCCCCCAGCTGGACAAACCTCATGCACAGGGCAGAGCTCAAGAACGCTCACATCATGGCTGATGGGATGGGCATTGCCAGAGAGAGAGCAGCTTCACTGGGCAGAGTCAGGGCCTCCTCAGACTGGGAGAAAATGAAAAATGAGATCAAAGGTTCTGGGTGAGGTTCTGGGTGAGGTTCTGGTGATCCACTTGATCACCAGATCCAGGGACGTTGTTCCTGAAGAGCATTCCCTGAAGCTGAACACTTGGGAAGTAAATTTAAAATGAATGAAAGGAGCTAAGTAGTCAGCATATGAAGTTTATTGCCCAAAATGTGTTACAGATTACAATGTAAACAGGTTCAAATCACCTTCAGGTGAATTCACATAGAACAAATCCAAAATAAAATATTAAAGAAAACTAGTATAAAAAGATAACCTCTGGCCGGGCACCATGGCTCACACCTGTAATCCCAGCACTTTGGGAGGCCAAGGCAAGTGAATCACCTGAGGTCAGGAGTTTAAGACCAGCTTGGTCATGGTGAAATTCCATCTCTACAAAAATACAAAAATTAGCCAGGCATGATGGTGGGTGCCTATAATCCCAGCTACTTGGGAGGCTGAGGCAGGAGAATCACTTGAACCCGGGAGGCAGAGGTTGCAGTGAGCCAACATAGTGCCATTGCACTCCAGCCTGGGTGACAGAGCGAGACTCCATCTCAAAAAAAAAAAAGATAACCTCTATTTAGCACATTCCAGGTTACCAAGTACTTAAATACATCTCCATAGACATTCAAAAAGGTAGACATTAGGCGATCATCACAGAGAAGAAAATTGAGACTTGGAGAAGACAGAACATGAATCCGAACTGTACACCAAATATTTTGGTCTGATATTCTCAGTATTCTTTGTGTTTACTGAGTTTGGGTGTGGGTAGGATAGAGAGTCCCTGATTAGGATGACTTAGCTACAAAGTCAAAATTAAAGAAATCTGTGGTTCTGGACTGTATATTTGCAGTTTTGACTGAAGGGTTTCATAAAGAGCACCAATGTTCACAACTGAGAATTGTGAAACCACAAGTTGCAGGGTTTCCTGTATTTAAGTCGACCATGCAGTGGTACCATGGAACCCATTTCTGCCAGTCATGAAATGCTGCCTTTCTCCTAGCATTATTACCATCTTCCCTCCCTACACACACACACACACACACACACACACACACACACACTCACAAATGCACTAAACCTCTCCTTTCTCTTCCCTTTTCTCTTTTGTTTAGTCACACACGATCTTTCACTTCTACTTCAGTTGCATTTATCCACTCAATGCAAGTATTTGAGCATCCATCCAGCTAAATCTCAGGGCCCAGAATGCCAAACTGTTCCCTCCAAGACTGCACTACCGACAGCCGAGAAAAGCTAATAGTGATGATAGTTAATACTTACTCAGCACCTACTCACAATGCACAAGGCACTGGGATAATAACTCCTTTGCATTCAGATTCCTCAATAGCTCACTCAGTCCTTACAACAATGCAAAAACCTTGAAAAGTGTTACTATCCCCATTATACGATGAGAATGTGAAGCAGAGGGGTCATAACTCACAGGAAGTCGTGTGGCTAGTGATGGTGCAGTTGGAGAAGTGCGTGCTTCTCCTCCTTCATAACCATTGCCTACCCAACATTTTAAATATATTTGATATTGTCTAAATTGTTTTCCTTAAGAATAAATGTTTTATATTGACATATTTTAACTGACTCATATTTGGTTCATAATCAGGCAATTCTATTTTATAAACAGTCTCAATCTTTGTTTTCTTACTGATCCATTTATATACACCCTCTCACACTCCGCATTTCTGCTACTAATACCAATTTCTTTTTTTCTTTTTTCTTTCTTTCTTTTTTTTTTTTTTTTTTTTTTTGAGACAGTATCTCGCCCTGTCACCCAGGCTGGAATGCAATGGCACCATCTTGGCACACTCCAACCTCCACCTCCCAGGTTCAAATGATTCTCCTGCCTCAGCCTCACGAGTAGCTGGGATTACAGGAGCCCGCCACCACGTCCAGCTAATTTTTGTATTTTTAGTAGAGACAGAGTTTCACCATGTTAGCCAGGCTGGTCTCCAACTCGTGAGTTTGTGATCTGCCCGCCTCGGCTTCCCAAAGTGCTGGGATTACAGGCGTGAGCCACCTCACCTGGACCAACTTCTTAATATTCTGGCTTCTCGCAGCCATCTAGCCTCTTTCTCTAGTTCTCTTTTCTGATCTTAATTCATGCATTAGGAAGATAGGCAGGACTGAATGCGCTTGGTATCTCATCTCTTCCCTTAATTCTACAAAGCCTCTCAGGTCTTCCCACAACCCTTTGCTCTACCATGCTCTCTCACTCTGCCCATCCCAGAACTCTATGCAGATGGCTCTTCCAGGTCACCAGCAGCCCAAAAGTAGCCTTTCCTTGGGTCTTACCTCCTTG
This sequence comes from Homo sapiens, assembly GCF_000001405.40. Classification (NCBI taxonomy): domain Eukaryota; kingdom Metazoa; phylum Chordata; class Mammalia; order Primates; family Hominidae; genus Homo; species Homo sapiens. The sequence continues at coordinate 110,640,518 of NC_000001.11, read as the reverse complement.
ACTTCTCCATCTTTTGGCATCCATCACACTGAACTGCCTTGCTTCTCCTCAGTAGCAATTATTCCTCTTCAGTCTTCTTCAAGGCTCCTCTCAGCTGCCTTTCCCCTCCATGTCCTGTCTCCCAGGCTCAGCCCTTAGTCCTTCTTACTTCTCCTATAATTTCTTCTCAGGCCATCATATACATTCCCATAGTTTAACTCTATTTGCCACTAACTCCCAAATCCATATCTCTATTCTTAGCCTCTCTCGCTTTAGCTCCTCCATTTCCAACAATCTGCCAGTCATTGCCACCAGGATGACTCACTGGAACTTCCCATCCAGACTGTCCAAGTAAAGCATTTTCTTTCTCCAGTGATTTGGCCCTTTCTTCTGACTTCCCTATCTCTAGCAGATACCATCATGCAGATAGTCACCCAGGCAAAACAAACAAACAAATGAACAAAAGTTGTCGTCTTTCATCCCTCCATCTTCCTCACTTACTGTAGTCTACTAGTTTTAAAATATAAAAAGATTCTACTCCTGTTCAGAAAGCCTTCAGTGGCCTTCCATTATCTGTTGATGAAGTGCCAACTCACCCTGCCTTTGCATCCCACACTTTCCAGTGATAGCCCAACACCCTTTCTCACCCAAGCTTCCTCCAACCAAAATAGACTCTGTCCTGTTCTCAAATATATGCCAAGCTTTTCTGCCTTTCTGTTCTGATGTATGCTGTCCCTGATATCTTCTTCTCCAACACTCAAAAGGACTTTCCTCTCTTCTTACAACTTAGGGTCTTCCTGAGTATTTGTGATATTTATCATGTTCTACTCCTTGTTTTTATCTGTCTGTTCCACCTCCTGAGGTAGAGGATGGGCTCCATACTTGAAGCACCTGTTTCCCCACCACACTTACATACCTTGTGCACAGCAGATCCTCATTATACTTTTGATGAATTGAATTCAGTTGGGGCTCAGCAGCTGTGTAAGAAGAACCAAGTTTCCAGGACCCTCTCCTCTCCTGAAACCAGGCAGATATTCTATTACTTGTCCCACTTTCTCATCTTAAAAATGGGCCTCTGTTTTTCCCTTATGGTCTGAACATCTACCGTTTACCTCTGCAAGCAGTGAAAAGTGGTCAGATCTTTGGAACAATAGTCATAGCTACTGAGCACTGCCCATGTGCCAGACACTGTTTGAAGCGCATACATGTTTTAACTTCTTTAAACCTCTCAGCAAACTTGTGAAATAGACACTGAAATTCCCATTTTACAGATGAGGAAACTGAAGCACAGACAGGTTAAGTGGCATGTCTAAGCATAAACAGCTAGTATGGAGGGAACCAGATTCTCAGGCAGGCCCCTGGCTCCAGGGCCTATGCTCCCACCATTTTGCTATAAGGAAATGCAGATTTGAAAAGAGGAGATTTTACTTGTAGGTCTTGATGACCCCAATCCCAAAACCCAGAGCCTGGTTTGGTCTTCACAGGTTTGACCTAATGTGTACATATGTGTATCTGATTGTGAGTGTATGTGCAGTGGAATTAGGGGAGAGCCACCTGTCTTTGCACTCTGCTCTTTAGCTGGTGTTGTTGTGTTTGACGTTATTTCCCCAACACAAGCTTCCTGGAAGAAGACGGTATCTTCCATGATTTTACTCTCCCACTGGAGTCTGATCTAGCGCTTGTCATCTAGCAAGCGACCCACAAGTTTAAGGCTGAATCACATTTTCACATATAAAGTCAGTGCCCAAGCCATGTCTCTCATTTGAAGCTTCTGTTGTCTGCCCCCACTTCTCCCAGCCTCCTGACACACACCCACTCTCTCACAGAGCAGGTGCACTTCAGCAGAATGTAAGCAAATCAGTGCTGAATGTCAAAACGGATTTTACTCAATTATTAAATTGCGAGAACCAGGAGAAGAGCAAATAAATATCCCAACAAAGTTATGCTATGAAATATGTGAAACCCACCCAGATCTAATATTTAATTTAGACTCAACTGTCTCAACAGCTTTCTACCATCCCAGATTCCAGCCAAAGGCCATCAGACATGGCTTGGGGTGAAAACTCGGTAGCTATACAGGCCTAATGCAAAGACCAAGGCTGAATGATGGGCCACCCCTCAGGGACAGGTGCCCACAGGCCAGAGGCTGAAAAGCTTCTCCAAAGATGCCAATTAGCTCAAGCACAAGAACCAAAGCCTGAGCTCTGACATCTGCATAAGTCAGGCTGCTGGGAGCTTTGCCTAATGATTCTGCAAGAAGAGGGGCTCTGAACCAGCATCTGCCTCCTGCTGCCCAGCTTCCTCAGCCAGCCAGAAGGGAGATACAAGCACCACCTAGTGCTGAGGTAAGGGGACCGGTCATTGACAGCTGCTCACTGGCTGTGATGATATTTTAAGTATCAAGGCTACAGTGAATGCCGAAGAGGAGAGGGGAGGGAGAATAGAGGAGTGGAGAAGCAGCAGGGGAAATAGATTCAGAGCATGAATTCCCAGCTCATTCAACTCACCCCACTGCACCCACCAGTCCTCAGCACTGGTGTCATAGCACCATCCTCAGAGGCCAGGAGGCTGGCTTCCTGCAGCCTCCAGGCCTGGTGAGCCCTCCCTCTCCCCCAAGCTTTTTCCCAGCCTGTCTGGCAGACATGCGGCATGTACTGCTGTGCTCACGGCCAGTAGACCCCTGCTTCCCCTCCTGTAGTGGCTCTCTGAGAATAAGGATGTGTCTGCCCTTGGCTCAGCATCTCAAGCACATAAAGCAGATTCTGCTTCCAGAACCAGAAAATACATGACAGTTCAAGACACAGAACTGACTCTCTCAGTCACTCCATGCCGCTCCAGCAGAGGGCTTCTCAGGGGCCAATGGAAACCAGCCACCAAAGGCTGTCTCATCAGGCTGAGTCCAGACCACCCGAAGGGAACCCATACCACCCAGGCCCCACCCAGGGGCAGACCCAGGACCCAGGCAGGTCCTGAAGTGCTGGACCACTCTGTCACAGAGCCAAAGTATGGGTATGGGTTTAGCTGTCTCCCATGGCTGCTCAGCCTGCAGAGCCTACTGAAGGGCCTATCCAGCTACCAAGGGAGGACATGCTGCCAGTGAGCTCCAAGGAGCCCTGCAGCAGAGCAGGAAGGGGCAGGGGAATGCTCCCACCCACCATCAGCTAGGGCTGGAACTCCAACTCACTCTGAGCACACTGCAGCCTCCCAAGTGGATGTAGGTTACTCTGGATGTAGGTTACTCCAGGTGACACATTCTTTTCTACAAAATTTCTTTCCAGATCAAATCTAATTTTATTTTATTTTTATTTTATTTTACTTATTTTTGAGACACAAAATATTTTACTTATTTTTGAGACAGTGTGTTGCCCACACTGGAGTGCAGAAGTGCCATCACGGTTCACTGCAGTCTCGACCTCCCTGGGCTCAGGTAATCCTCCCACCTCAGCCTCCCAAGAAGCTGGGAATACAGGCATGGACCACCATGCCTGGCTAATTTGGGGTTTTTTTGGTTGTTGTTTTTTTGGGGTTTTTTTTTGTTTGTTTGTTTGTTTTTTTGTGGAGACAGGGTTTTGCCATGTTGCACAAGCTGGTCTCAAACTCCTGGGCTCAAGCAATCTGCCTGCCTTGGTCTCCCAAAGCACTGGGATTACAGACATGAGCTACCACACCTGGCCTCAAATTTGATTTTAATGAGCATCAAGAGAAGCTCTACACCAACACCTTTGACTTGGTCATTGGGAAGGGCCCAAGGAGTACTGCTGCATGGCCCACTTATTTCAGAGTTCTTGGTGGCTGTCCCTCCTCTGTAGTCCTGGCTACCACCAGGTCATGCAGCCCCTCTGCAGGCCCAGCATTGGTGATAGAGCTCCCAAGGCTACCTCCTCCACTGTTGGACAGCATTTCACCAGCTAAGAGTTGGTGAGCGCTCATGGTGTGCTTCCCTCCTTGCCAGCCATTTTCCAGGAGTTCTTTAACTCATGGTAAGTATTATTATTATTCTCATATTCAGATAAGGAAACTGTGGCTTAGAGAAATTGACTCCTTTCTTTAAGGTCACAATAACTTAAAATTGGCAAAGCCAGGTTACAAACCCTGGGTTCTTAACTAGAAAAGGGTTGCAAACTACAATACCTGCAGACACCTGGGAATCAGCGAAACTGTGCAAATGTAAGAAAGGTGGAGGAAGTAGCACTTGTGAAAAACCACAGTGCATCTGCTTTATTCAGAAGAGGCAGCTGCCACCCACGTACCATTTATTGTTACATGAGAGAGTAGGAACTTGGGTGATCAGATCCTCCGATTTTTAAAAAGAGGCTATCCATATAGATTTGTAAGCATAATCTCCCAATTTGTGCTGATGACTGATGCAAGTTTTTTAAATCCCAGGGCAGAGCAGGCCAACACCAAGTGGGTTGCAGACCCACATCTGTGAGCAGGATTCAGGGTGGTGCCCATTGTGACTCTACTCTAGAGTCCAAGATCTTAACCATTAGACTTTACTGTCTTAAAATATCAGCTAGCTTTATCTCTGGTGAGTCACAATTTTTCTTCCTATTATCTCCATCTATTGGCCTCAGTTCTGTCATCTAGAGCAACAGGGATTCAAAAAACACTAGCCTCCTATGCCCTTTTCTAGGCTAAACATCCCCAGCCCCATAAGCATCCCCATTTTGGCTTGGTTGCAGGACCTTTACCATGCAGGCCCCATGATTCTAGGCACGCTCCAGACACACTCCCACCAGCTCACAGGACTCCCCACATCCACTGTGGAACTAAGTCCTACCCATCATGTCTGGTCTGTGTCAAGCAGAGCAAAGCAGGCTTCTAGCCCACTAGGACTCATCTGAGACTAGAACCCAAAGTCACCTGGCCTCCTTGGCAGCTAAGAATTTGCCTTAGTTTAATTGAAGAGATACTGACCCCCCAAACCCAGTGGGAGGCTTCTTGGCCTCTGCAGTGATTGTCAATTTGTGGGAAGTGACATCCCAAACACCAGCACTTTCCCATCATTGTCCTGATGGTCCACCCCTATCCTTGCAGGGACTGTTCCAGGGTCAGCCCTTTAACACCCATGGTTTTCAGGCCCACACCTGACCGATCTTCCCTTCTGAGAAGACAGCCATGACACCAAGAATCCCTCTTCTTATAAAACAAATCTCAAGCTCCTTCCAGTATCTCTGTCTCAATGTTGAGAGATTTTCCCACGATTCATCAGACCCACTCTAAGATTCACCCCCATTTCCTGATTCTCACTGTCCAGAAAATGCCATGTGCCAGACTATGAACCTGGCTGTAGCCACCTGTGGATCAGAAAAAAAAAAAAAAAAAGGGCGATGAGTCAAAGTAAGGATCCAGAGGGTCAGAGAAGTATCCCTGGTGGCTTAGCCAAAACCTCCACACCCAACAGCTATGGGCTTCACCATCTGAGTACCTCTTTTGATTCCAGTCCCACTCTCAACTTCCCTCATGAAATGAAGAACTGCAAATACGGTAACCTGCTATGGAAACTGAGAAAAGCAAAGCAGCCTATCTTTTATTCTCGCTCTGCCTTCTGGTCCTTCCCCGGGGCCACTGGGGCTGGAGCTGAGCCGAGCAGCTGGGTTTTCCCCTGAGCAGTGACTCACAGATGTAGTTTCTCTGGCACAAATCTTCAGAACAGTCCCAGCTGGGAAGTCTTCCTGGTGGCCAAGTGATCCCTCACAGCTGCCAGCCTGGCAACAAGGGATCCCAGCTGGTGCTAAGTGATGAAGAACAGGCCTGGGCTTTGTTCCTCAGCTAAAGAACCTGTCTGTTCCACTCACTGGATCCCAGATGTAATTCATCATCAAGGTCACTGAGGAGCACCCAAGCCCTTGGCCCATCAATACCACTTTAGTAAAGTCAGATTTCTGAGAGGCGTCACAACTACCACTAAAGAGCATCAGCTCATTGCCAAGTGCATTACAGAGGTCCTGGCACTACCCATGTTCCTGCCAAGTGCTTAGGCATTAAAATTGACTGGGGCAAGCAGAAGGGACACACTGCCAAGGATACACCCTCCAGTACAGGAAGGCAACAGGCTCACGCAGTGTCAGGGCTAGGCAAGATCATGATTTTTCACAGTTTTAGGCAGCAGAATCCTCTTTCCAAACAAAATCTCATGCAGAAGTCTAGAATTCTGGCAGATTCAAGGGTAGCTGCTCAGCTGGAGACCAAGGTGGGGCCAGGAACTGATCCCCTGCAGATTCCCTGTAATCTTCCCACCCCCCAGCTCTGCAACACCACCCAGGTACCTTTAGCCTCTTTCACTGAATCGCTGGGGTCCACCTGACAAGGCTGAAAACTTGCCACTCTGGTCAGCCTCTTGGCATTCAGAGGGGGAAACTGAGGCTGGTAGAATATGACATGCATTTCCCAAGGTCACATGGTGAATATGTACTACAAATTCAGGAGAATAAAAAGTCTTGTCAACCAAGCTTTTAGTGAACCAGAACATCTGTACAGACCGGCAGTCCATAAGGGTTGGAAGAGTAAGTGATTACAGACATAAAGTTAATTTTTATTTTGTCTCAGCCACTTTTTTGCTGCCTGTCCTCAGGCAAGTCACCCAAGTCCAGCTGGCCTAGGGCTGGATTACATCCAGTGGCCTTTTGAGGCATCCCCTGCTCATCTTTCATTATCTAGAACACGACAAGACCCCCTCTCAGAGCTGCCCACCCATTCCCTCCTCAGCCATCAAAGGCCTTGGCACCTGGCTCCCAGGCTTCCCCTCAAATTCAGTTATCACCCTGACATCCAGAATCCTGGGGACCAAAACCTTTGACCTTTTCCTCTCCAGGCTCCTACACCCTGACTCTGCTTGGGGACCCCACTCAAGGCCACATCCTGAACTTTGACGGGACTTGCACTCCTTGGGAATTTTAAACTCAAACATCCCACTCTCACCTCTCTGCCTTCAAGTTTCTTGCTTCTGAATCCCATATGCATGGTCTCTGGCATGTTTTTGATACCTTCCACCCTTGAGCACTGTCTTCTCTCCCCAGCCTATCAGTGTCCTGCTGTCAGCACTCCCACCAGTCCAGTAGCCCAGAACCCTTAGGCATTGCTTTAAGTACTTTCTTGCAAGATTTCCAACTCCAGCAACCCCCTTCCTGCTCCCTCACCAGCACAGTCCCACCCTGCATCAATAACATGGTGGCCTTTTCACTCCTTTACCCAGTCTAGGGGTCCCAATAGGGAAAATCCCATAGCCACAAGGAGAGGAAGTACTGCCACGTCCTTCCTTTTCACCAGGATCTGGGCAGAGTTCGGTCTGTCTTAGTGAAGACCTTTCAGTTCCAGGTGCCTGAGGACCCTAACCTCAGCCAGCCTCTGTACTCTCAGCCAAAGCCAATCCCAATCCATTCTCACCTCCTACCATCAAAGAAGTGTCCCAGGTCTGGGCCAGGCGAGGTGGCTGACACCTGTAATCCCAGCACTTTGGGAGGCCGAGGCAGGTGGCTCACCTGAGGTCAGGAGTCCAAGACCAGCCCGGCCAACATGGTGAAACCCCATCTCTACTAAAAATACAAAAATTAGTCTGGCATGATGGTGGGCTCCTGTAATCCCAGCTGCTTGGGAGGCTGAGATAGGAGAATCGCTTGAGCCTGGAAGGTGGAGGTTGCAGTGAGCCAAGATTGCACCATTGCGCTCCAGCCTGGGCAACGAGAGCAAAACTCCATCTCAAAAAATAAAATAAAAATAAAGAAGTGTCCCAGGTCTTATCTGAGCATGGCCCCTCCACCTGTGCTCTGAATCCCTTCTTACTTCTGCCCTCCAGGAATTCTCTCTCCTTATTTTCCTGCATCTTCAACTACTCATTTTGTATCTATTTCTCTCCATAAGTTTCTTCCATGTTAAAACAAATGAAAAACCTTAAACAAATAAAACCTTGTTTAATCCTACATTCCCTTCACCTACCACCTAATTTCATCATTTTATTTACAATCAAATGTCTTCAAAGAGTACCTATAAGCCCGTTCCTGCCTCCTCATTGCCCACTCACTCAACCCATGGAGCTCCGCCTCTGCCCAACATGGCTCCACTGAGACTGTGACCTCCGTGTTGCTTCCTCCAAATGACACATTCAGTCTCTTCTTGCCTGACCTCTCAGCTGCCTTTGAGCCAGCCTTCATCTGTGGCTTCCAAGACATCACTCTCCCCTGATTCCTCCTCTATCTATGGCTGTACCTTCTCCATTTCCTTTTCTGGCTCCTCCTTGTCTTTAGGCTTTTAAATGTTCCCACTTTTCTCTCTTCTCTTCTACATGCACCCCTACCCCCTGCATAATCTCATACATCTCAGAGGCCTCATCCGTACAGACTTCTAGATCCAGCCCAGGCCTATCTCCCAAGCTCCAGGCAGGAACATCCAAATCCCACTGCACTCCCCACTCAGGTATCCCATGGACCCCTCAGACTCAACAGGTCTACAGGGCTTGTTTAGCCTACTGACTCCATCCCTGCAGTATCTCTTTTCAGTTCATACCCACATCTTCTCTGTCTGGACCACTGCAACAGCTTCCCGGCAGGTGGTCTCCCTACCCCTGCAGTCATTGCCCCCTCAGCAGTCCATCCCCCACAGCAGCCAGAGTGATCTTCCTTAATAGAAAAATCCAGTCATGTCACCTCTCTGGCTTAAAATCCTTTAAGTTTCCCCTACCTCCAAAGTAAAGTCCAAATAACGTTGGCAGAGCCTTCTAGACCTTGTAAGATCTGGTCCCTGCTACCCTCTCCATACACTTCTCTTTTATTGCTTGCACACTGAGCTCCAGTCATAATGAATTACTTGTACGCAACTCCCTTCGCCTTCCCTGTTGTCTCCTGCCATGTTTTCCAAGTGCTGATTGCTCTTTCTAACTCTGCATGGCTAACCCACCCCTGCTAGTCTGCAGTGCTCAGTTTCTGTTTTAAGAGAAAAACCCGTTCTTGCACTCCCTGGCTGGGGTGACAGGAAACACCTGAAGATTGTTGATGAAGCATCATGCAACCAGGTCACCTAGAACCTGAAACCCTTTGAGCGCTGACCAAGAAAGGAAGTGGTGATGGGGCACATAGAAGAGTGAGCCATCATCTGGTTTCCAGCGCCAAGACTTCTGCAGGAGAGCCTCCGCTGGGCTTTCAAGTTGGTGAGAGAAGAGGAGGGGCAGCAAGGGTGAGCATGCATGTGTGGACATAACAGGCAGGGAATGATGTGAGCAAAGACAGAGAACAGGAGGTGACTGGTAGGCCATTGCTGGGGTGCAGCAAAGAGTGAGGCGAGCTGCGATGGGGAGACACCTCAAGGGCCAGACAAGGGATTTGACACCTTCATGAAAAGCAACCCGGGGATCAGTAATGGAATGGAGGCTAAAGGAAGGCACTCCAGGTACTCTGCGAAGGATTGTGAATGAGGACCTTGCAGGTGTGAAGTGACTCTAGGGTGAGGGGATGGGGTCTGAGGCTTGGAAGTGGAAAGGAAGGGACCAATCCCAAAGCATTAAGTGTAACTCCCAAACAGCCGACCAAGGCCAGACCTGTGCTTGAGACAGCAGCCCTCCTGCACGGGGCGTTGTCCATCCGTGGGCTTTGTGCTGCCATCTGGTGGTGGTGGAAAGGAAGACCAGGCTTAGTGGTTCCGGGGCTGGCTGCCTGGGGTGTGGCCAGGGGGACAGATGATTGTGAGTGAATACTGGAGTTTGCTGAGGCTCTTTGGGGAGTGAGCAGGGGGAGGCAGTGACAATGGGGTCCTCAAATCCATACAGCTTTTGAAAGATGCAATTTCTTGGCACTTTTGATTGTCCCTTTTTGCACAGCACTTAGCATAAGGTCTGTTTCAAAGTAGGTGCTTAGTGTCTGTTGTTTTTCTCAATTATAATAATGACTTAACAATTACTGAATGCCTACCATGCGCCCAGTGCTTATGTATTTTATCTAAGTTATTCTTCATAACAACTTTGAGATGAAGATGACATGATGATTTTGGGTAATAGGAGAAAGAACTGAAACCATGAATCCATTGAACAGCTTGGTAAATATTTACTGAGCACCCATTCTGTGTCATGCTGTGCTGGGCACTGGGGACACGGAGGTGAGTGCCACAAGTAGGTTCTGACTTTCTAGAACTTGGAAGAGAAAAGGGATGCTATGCAAATAATACATAGTAACTCATTTATTTTAATTGTAACTAAATATCCTAAAAAGGAGAAAAAGTACAGAGCACTGGCCGGGTGTGGTGGCTCACACCTGTAATCCCAGCACTTTGGGAGGCCGAGGTGGGCGGATCACCTGAGGTCAGGAGTTTGAGACCAGCCTGACCAACATGGAGAAACCCTGTCTCTACTAAAAAAAAATTACAAAAATTAGTCGGGCATGGTGGCGCATGCCTGTAATCCCAGCTACTTGGGAGGCTGAGGCAGGAGAATCGCTTGAACCCAGGAGACAGAGGTTGCGGTGAGCCAAGATGGCACCATTGCACTCCAGCCTGGACAACAAGAGCAAAACTCCGTCTCAAAAAAAAAAAAAAAAAAAAAAAGTACAGAGCACTTAGAGATGTTAACTCACTTTTGAGTCCATTTGATTTAAAAAAACGCTTCTTCCAGTCAAACCTACCCACCACTGCATTACATGAATTCAAATGATAAATGAATACCCTTTTCTTTCTTTTATTCTTCAGCTTTTACTTCCCTGTGTTTAATTCGGTCTCCTCGTTTTTCTCTCGTCTTAATTAACTCCTGTTTTCTGCCAATACCATACATTTCTGTCTGTTACTATCATCATTTGTTGAATGAGTATATAAATTAATGAGTGAATTCACTGACACATTTATGCCACAAACAGGTGTCTGTCATCCACCGAGGGTCAGACACCAGATGCTCAGTGTGCTTATAGATACACAGTTCCTGCCCTCAAGTTGCTCACAACTAGTGAGGAGAAAAACATAGCAACAAATAATTTAAAGTGCTGAATACACACAGGGGAAGGAGAGAGTAACTGTGCTGAGGAAGAGGTGCCTCACTGAGCTGCTTCTCAGGGTAGTCTACAAACGTTAACAGCATCTGGACAAATTCCAGCTATCACACCAGATCCTTTGATAAATGTTCTACAGTGGCACCTCCATTTATGTTGTGTCAGGGACATAGGTCTCATTATTAATTTTCTGATATATTGAGACTTATTCAATTTCTATAATAAAAATGCATTTCCAAAACCAGTAGTTCCCAAACTTTCATATCCATTGGGGATTGTCTGGAATGATGATCTTGGGGCCATTGGTGGGGACCTTAAAAATCACTCGCTGATTGGGGATCATTTGGTGATTTGGTGGTAATTGGGGATCACTAACAGCCACTAAACTCAGGCTCTCACCCCAAGACATTCTGATTTAATTTATCCAAAATGTGACCTCAGCACTAGAATTTTAAAGCTTCCCCAGGCAATTCTAATATGCAGCCAACATTTGGGAGCCATTCTTGAAGATCCTCAGGGATCTAGCCTGGGACATGAATGATATCAAATGCAAATTTGAGGAGAACACATCAGGTCTTGCTGCCAAGAAAGAGGTAAAACCAGGCATGGTGCAGCACCACCATGATTCCCAGGGGAATCAGCTCTGCTGAGCTCTAAAGCAATCTACAGGATTATGAAGCTGTGTCCATGTATTCAATAAACAATCATTTAGTATCTACTTTTAGCACAAGTCAGTCCATCTCTGCTCTGAAGGATCTGGTTGGGGGAGAGAGGCCTAAAATGTACAGACGAATTCTGTGGGATTGGTGATAATGTGTGGGAAGTCTAGAGTGTCAAAGAAGCACTGCAGTGGGGCATCTAATCTGACCTCCTGCCTTCTTTCAAGTCATCACCTCTTGTCCAGTCCTCTACAGAGACGCCTCAACCAACAAATATTTATGGGGCACCTGTTTAAGTCAGGCACCAGATGCCGGACACTGGACAAGGCCCCCATCAGGCAGTACAGAGATGGACACAATGGGTCTCTGCTCTCAAGGAGTTCCCAGTCTGGGGTGAGGGAGTTTTGCTCTCTCATTTCTCTTATGCAAAATAGCTTTGTGTGAGTACTGTCACCAAGTGGAAACCAGTGGAATACGGAGGATGGTCAGGCCCATTCTAACACCCAGGAGGCTTCTTCACAGTGAACCTAACAAGATGAATGGCGTTTCAGAGGGCGATCATGGAAGAAGGGGACAGCATTTCATTCCCCACCCACTTTGCTGCACTCTCCCACTGCTCCCTCTTTTTATAAAGTCCATGGATCAAAACTGGATGCAAACTCCCAGTCAAGATATACCCAGTGTGGAGGACAGAATGGAGAACTGCTTCCTGGCCTTTGCAGCACCCAGGACCATTAATGCTCAGGGCTAAATACTGTCTTTTCCCCCATCAGGGCACAAGAACAACTTGTGATCAGTTAAAAGCCCTTCAACCATCACCATCATCTCCAAACAATAAGACTAACTTGGGAGTTAACAGTGGCCTTTTAATCATCCATATCTTAGTGAATTCAAGAAATGAGGAAATTCAGTGTTGCCCAAGAGTAGTCCCTCTAAATATGTTTCCCGCATTGCATTGCACTACTTTCAGTACCCTCTTTTCCCACTTCCTATTCTTGCTATGTCACTTCCTGTCCACCTCATAGGAGTTTCTCCCTCTTCACTTTGTCCCCATCAAGCCTGGCATTATTATTATTTTTTTTTTTTTTGAGACAGGGTCTCACTGTTTTTCCAGGCTGGAGTGCAGTGGTGGGATCGTGGCTCACTGCAATCTCGAACTTCTGGGCTCAAGGGTTGTATTAACATTTTTTATAATTATGTTAGTCCTAGATGTCTCTTGTTTTATTTTAGATTCCTTCTTCCTTTTTGTTTTCCTTTCTTACCCACTTTCTTCAGACAAAATCAATAAACATTTATTGAGCATCTACTAAGTGCTGGGTCCAATGAGGGAGCACAGAGAGAAACCCAGGAGCTAGCCCTAGCCCTGGAAACCGTTATGATCTAACTGATGAAATAAAGACAAATGGAGATAGAGAAAGATAACATAGCATTGGCTGGCATGATGTTGTCCGTATAAACAAGAGGCTTGGGTGGTTAGGACTTCACACTTCAAGGGAGGGAGACTTCAACATGGGCAGTGGATAAAATCTGGTACTATAAGGACTTTGTGACTAGCCAATAATTGAACACTTACTATGTGCCAAGCGGTGTGCCGAGTGTTTTCTTTCCAGCGTCTCATTAATCCTGAACAACTCCATGAAATAAACATTTTAATTATTCCCATTTACTGATGATTAACTTAAAGCTTCCATAGATTATGTCACTTTCCAAGGTTACCGAGCCAGAAAGGAGCTGAGTTGGGAGTCTAGGCCAAGCCTGTCTGACCCTAGACACGAAGGTTTTGGTCGTGGTGCTGCACCATGTCTGGTTTTACCTCTTCTGTTTTCAGTTTCCTGTGTGTGTGAAACAGAGACAGCAATTCCTCCTTCACGTGGTTGACGGTAAGATTAAATGAGATGCAATAAAGCACTTAGTGCAATGCCTAGCAAAATAGGTGCCCAGTAAACAGAGGTATCATCATCATCGTCATCGTCATCACATTCTTCTTATACTAAGACTTCACTGGAGATGCAGGAAGAGGGCCTTGAAAGTTATTAACTGGTAGGGGTGGGAATTCCATGCAGGGAGGTGGAAAAAACAAAGACTCAGGTCCCAGAGCACATGGTGTTGTCACGGAACCAGAACCAGTCTGGTCTGGCTGGTGCCTGAGGCTTGTGTAGAGGTAAGGGCTGAGATAAAGCTGGGAAATTAAGACTCTTGAGGACAGGTGTAGGAGTTTATACTTGATTGTGTGGACTGTGGGAACAACACTTCAACATGGTTGTGTATATACGTTTTCTAACATGCATTAATGGTGAAATTTAAGAGATTTTTACTTTTTGCTTTGAATAGTAATATTTCACATAAATCAAAAAACCAAAATAATAAATTATAAAAGGTACACACTGAGATGTCTCATTCTCACTCCGCCCTGTCCACTCCATTCCATAATCCCTGTAGATAACCACCGAGATTCATTTCTTGTGTATCGTTCTAGTATTTTTTGTGCAGATATGAACAAATACAAATATATCTTTCCCTTCCTCTGATTTTTGTACTCAAAAGTAGCACACTAAATACACTGCTTTATCTTGCTTTTTTTTCACTTTATAATATATCCAGAGCTTTTTTCTGTATCAAAACATAGAAATACTCCTGCTTCATTTTTATAGTAGCATAGTAGTCCATGTATGGCTATAACACAGTTTATTTTACCAGTCCCCTAGTGATAGACACTTGGGCTGTTTCCAGTCTTTTACTATTACAGATCATGCAGCAATGAATGACCTTGTGTATATGTCATTTTAATATACTTAGGTGTATTCATAGAATAAATTCCTGGAAATGTGATTTCTGGGTCAAAGGGTAAATGTATTTGTAGTTTTGAAAACTGTTGCCAAATTGGCCTCCATGGGGCTGAACCAATTAACACTCCCACCAACAATATATGAATGAGAGGGCCTGTTTCTTCAGAGCACAGAAAATAAATATATGGCTAAACTTTTGAATTTTTGCCAAATCAATAGGTCAAAAAATATGATGTCTCAGTGTAGCCTTAATATGTATTTCTCTTAATTATGAATGAAGGAGTGTATCTTTTCACATATTAAGGAGCACATGCACTTCTTTGTCTGTGGACTGATTGTTCATTGCCATTTCCCACTCTTTTATTGTATTGCTTACCTTTTACCTTATTGACTTCTTTCAGCTCTTTATATATGAAGATTAGCCATTTGTCTGGATAATGAGTTACAGATATTTTTCCCACTTTATCATTTTTCTTTGAATTGTCTTACCATATTTTTTACTGTGCAAAAGTTTTGTTGTTGTTGTAATTGAATTTATCAATTTTTTGTTTTATGGCTTTAGTTTTATGAGTCATATATTGACAGATATTCTTTATGATTATAAAATATTTCCCTGAGATTTCTCCTAGTAATAGAATTTTACTTTTTACATTTGAATATTCAGTCTATTTGGAGTTTATACTGGCAGAGGGTGTGGTGTGGCTACTCAGTAGTCATTATACCATTTATTAAAAAGCCATCCCTACTCTCATTGTTATATGAGATGTCACCTTTATGTATACAAATTTATATATGTCCTCAGGCTATGTCTGAACTTCCCATTCAATTCCATTGGTCTGTATATTTATGTGCTGGGACCACCACACTCTTCTGATTATTGAGGTTTTACAGTACGGAATAAGTAGTGGGGCATTTCCCTACCCATTACAAATAATGTATTTACACTGCTCTGGGAAGATTGAAGGGGAAGCTGACTGAAGGTAGCAGACCCGTTAGAATGCTTCTGCAATGGGCCAAGGGCTGAGTGAGGGCTGTGTGGCCAGAATGGGCAGAAAGAAACCAAAGTATCCTGACTCTAAAGGAAGAGTTGCCAAGACTTGGAGATGAAGTCTTAAAAATGAAGGAGGAAGAAGTCAGGATGATGCCAAGGTTTTTCTATTGGCAGCCCCAGGCTTATTGATTTTATTACTTCTGAATGGCTGTAGGACCTATAAAGAATCTTCAAAATAAGAATGCCTTTCCAATCAGACTTTTCACCGATATCAACCTCCATCTCCAAGACTTGCCACTATTTATGGTCTTACAAAATAGTCCTGAATTCACTCTTGTTTAAGTTATTATATTTTTCATGATAAATGTAGTGCAGATTATTGAAAATGTAAGAAATAAAGAAAAAAATCCACTCGCAACACAATCTCAACATAACCATTTTTGGTATGTTGGCACATTTTTCCCATCATTTTTCCCAGCATGTGTAGTAGTTGTTGTTATTGTGTAGTTTTAACAGCTTTATCGAGGTATAACTTATACACTACAAAATGCATTCATTTTTAGACTAAGTATTAATGTTTTGGTAAATTTATAGATTTATATATCCATCACCCCCAAAAGTTCACTCCTGCCACTTGTCAGTCAATCCCTACTCCCGCCCCAAGCCCCAGGCTACCACTGTTCTGCTTTATTTCTCTATAGATGTGCCATTTCTGGCAATTTCACAGGAGTGGAGTCATATGATATGTGTTTCTTATGTCTGTCTTCTTTCACTTAGCATGTTTGAGGTGCATTCATGTTACAGCATATACCAGTAGTCTATTTCTTTTTTATTGCTGAATAGCATTCCATTGTATGGATATAGCACATTGTGTTAATCCAGCAGTTGGTGGACATTTGGATTCCTTTCTGTTTCTAGCTATATTGACTATTCCTGCTATAAGTATTCTCATATAAGTCTTTGTGTGGACATATGTTTTTATTTCTCTTGGATGGATACCTATAAATAAATTGCTAATATAGTAGGTATATGCTTAACTTTGTAAAGAAACTACAAATTATTTACCAAAGTAGATTCACCATTTTACATTTTCACCAACAATGAATGAGTGTTTCAATTTCTCCCTATTCTCACCAACAGATGTTATCCTCAGTCTTTTATATTACAGTTTTGTAGTGTGTAGTGATATCTTTTTGTGCTTCTCTTTTTTTTTTTTTGGCTTCACTGTTCTGATCATTATGCTTTAAATTTGTATTTCATAATGACTAATGATGGGAATATCTTTTCATGTGCTTATTATCCATTAGTATATGTTCTTTGGTGAGATGCCTATTCAGTTATCTTGCCCATTTTTAAATTTGTTTTTCTTTTTTACTGAGTTATAGAAATTCTTCATATATTCTGCATGTGAGTTCCTTGTTAGATGGAGTGAGAAGAGCAGAGAGGGCCAGGTGCAGTGGCTCATGCCTGTAATCCCAGGATTTTGGGAGTCCAAAGCGGGAGGATTGCTTGAGGCCAGGAGTTTGAAACCAGCTTATGCAACATGGTGAGACCTTGTCTCTACAAAAAGTAATTTTTTGTAGGATTTGCTAATATGTTTTCCTAGCTTGGATCTATGTTTTCATTTTCTTAATGGTGTCTTTGAAATGCAAACGTTTTTAATTCAGCGAGGTTTAATTTATCAATTTGTTCTTTTATACATCATGCTTCTTTAGCGTCATATCTAAGAAATCTTTGAGTAACCGAAGGTCACAAGGTCAAAACATTTTCTGTTTTTTCTAGAAATTATATAGTTTTAGCTCTTTTGGTTAGGTCTAATGATCCATTTTGAGCTGATTTTTGTTTATGACATTAGGAAAAGGTCTATGTACATGTGTTCATGTTGCATATAGCTGTTCAGTTGTTCGAGCGCCATTTGTTGAAAGACTTCTTTCTACCTTTGCATCTTTATCAAAAATCAATTGTCCATATACGTGTGAATCAATTTCTGGACTTTCTTTACTACTCCATTGATCTATTTGTCTATCTTGACACCAATACCACATTGTTTTTATTACTGCAGCCTTGTAGTAAGTCTTGAAATAATATAGTATTAGCCCTCTAATCTTGTTCTTTCTCAAAATTGCTTTGGTTATTCTAGGTTCCTTGCAGTATTGTATAGCTCAATTTGTCAATTTCTGTTAAAAATTCTGCCAAGATTTTTATTGAGATTCTATTGAATATGTGGATTAATTTAAGAAGAAGTGATGTCTTGACAATATTATCTTCTGACCTTGGAATGCAGTCTATTTTTCCAATTATTTAGGTCTTTCATTTCTACCATTAATGTTTCAGAATTTTCAGTGTATAGGTCTTTCACATCCTTTCTCAGATTTGTCCCTAAGTATCTTATATTTTAATGCTATTGTAAATGGGGTTTTTAAATCTCAATTTATAATTGTTTGTTGTATTTAGAAAAATGATTGATTTTTGTACATTGATCTTGTATTGTGACATCTCTCTAAACTCACTTATGAATTCTAGTAGCTCTTTTGGTAGATTCCATTGGATTTTCTACATAAATAACCATGCCACCTGTGAATAAAGATAATTTTGCTTCTTCCTTTACAATCTAGATGCCATTTATTTCTTTTCCTTACCTTATTGTGCTGGGTACAAGCTCCAATAGAATCTTAAATAGAAATGGTGAAAGCAGAAATCCTTGTCTTCTTGATTTTAGAAGGAAAGCATTCCGTCTTTCATCATTAAGTATAATGTTGGCTACAGGTTTTTTTATAGATGTATTTTATTAGGTCAAAAAAACTCCCTTTATTCCTAGTTTGCTGAAAGATGTTATCACAAGTGAATACTGAATATTTTCAAACATTTTTCTCTGTCTATTAAGATAATCATGTGGTTTTGCTTTTTCATATTTTTCATATGGTGAATTACATTGATTTCTTAAAGTTAAACCAACCTTGAATTTCTATGACAAACTCCATTTGGTCATGATGTATTATTCTTTTCTTATTATTTTGTATTTGATTTCATACGTCTTTATTCGGTTTGTACGTCTATGTTCATGAAGCATATTGTCCTGTAGTTTTCTTTACTGGTGATGTTTTTGTCTGGTTTTGGTATAAGTGTAATGCTGGCCTCACATAATGGATTGAAAAGTATTATCTTTTCCATTTTCTAAAAGAATTTGTGTAGAATTATTTCTTCCTTAAACATTTGGTAGCATTAGTCAGTTTAGCATCTGAACCTGGAATTTTCTTTGTTTTTAACCAAGAAAATTAGTTAAAACTAAGCAGGTTTTAAACTACATATTTATTTTTTAAATAACTATGGGGTACTGGGTTATTTGTTTCCTTTGTGTGAGGTTTGGTAGTTTATGTCTCTCACGGAATTTCTCCATTTCAACCAAGTTGTCCAATTTATTGTCATAGAGTTGTTTAGAATTTCCCTCATTGTCCTTTTGAGGTCTGTAGAGTTAATAATAGTAATGTCATCTCTCTCATTTCTGATATTGGTTATTTCTCTTTTTTTCTGGTTAGACTGGCTAGATACTTATCTATTTTATTAATCTTCTTAAAGTACCAGTTTTGATTTCATTGATTTTATCTATTGTTCTCTGTTTTATCAATTTCCATTCTAATCTTTATTATTTCCTTCCTTCTGCTCATTTTGGGTTTCACTTGCTCTCCTTTTTCTAGTTTCTTAAGTTGGAAACGAGGTCATTGATGTAAGATCTTCTTTTCTAATATAAGCATATAATTTTATCTTCACTCTGCCATGGCTAGAAATCCTACCCCTTGTTGTTGCTTTTTAATGAAGTTATAATCAGGCTGTATATACAATTTTATGTATTTTATTGGGCTAAGGCATTATGCCATGTGAAGCTATGGTTAAAATTAGCACACTAATCCATTTTTTATGGAAACCGTTAAAAATATTAGCTAATGAACACTTACCCACCCAGCAAACAAGGAGTGGGACTCTGCAGGACAGAGCAAGTCAGACACCAAAGCCAGTATCCGCACCCAGGAATCCCCAGAGATTGGTTGTCCAAGAGGGTCATATGGAGGCGCTTCAGTTATTTTAGAATTTCAAGAAGCCTGAGAGAAAGTCACACTATTACATGTGACAAGCCTGCCCAGGCAAAACAGAATGTCAAGTGACTCTACTTGGGGCTGAATTCTCACACTTTAGTGAGAGTGAGGCAGTCCACAGCCTCTCACGCCAGCCAGAAGCTATGTTGGTTGTTACAAATGTTCAGGTTGTTAACGGTGGATAGACGCACTCACTCATCATTACATAATAAGAGCAGTTTGTTTTGCAGGCAAGATGATCCAACACACGGGGCCGCTGGGGGTGTGTGGGAAGGATATTTTAAAAGGAACTTTCAGTGATAATGAACAAAACTCAGGAGCTATGTGGATGACAGGAGCACCTAGATGACCGACTTTACCCACTTCAAATGCTACCTTGACCCTAGCACTCTCTCCACCCTGCATCCTCACCTCAGACCATCTGTTGGTTAGGCCAACAGCTCACCATCAATTCATGCCCTGCCTAGACCAACAGCTCACTGTTCATGCCCTACCCTGCCCTGCCCAGCCCTCCTCTCTGGCCTTCTGCCAAGTGGGGTTCTTAACAGCACAGCCTTCACCTCCGAGAAGGCGCAATGGGAAAGACAGGTGAGACGATGGGCAGCCATGCCTGGGAGACAGAGTTTGCTGGCTACGGTGGGCAGACGTTCCCACCAATCACAGTAGACCACAAAACAACAGGAAGACCTGGGCTGTGGATGGGGCGGTGATCAGTGAGTTCCTGGAACCCGTGTTTGCCGGGTGCACCCAAGAAGAGTGAGGGGATCTCTAAGACACTGTCTACACTGAGAGCCTCCAAGGCTAACCTGCCTGACATGGTTCACACAGAGGGAAAGGAGAAGAGAGGGTCTGAAAGGAGAGGCCGGGATGTGTGAGGACAGGGGTATGTTAGGGATATCCAATTTGGTCTGGGGGCTGAGAAGTCTTACCCACCAAATTTCTCTCTCTCTCTCTCACTCACTCTCTCTCTCTCTCTCTCTCTCTCTCTCTCTCTCGCTCTCGCTCTCTCTCTCTCATTAAGCTGCTCTCAGGAAGCTCACACAATCGCAGTTCACAGCAGCATTTGCTACAGGGCACGTGAACAGGGAGAGGTGGTCTCCTAGGACGTTAAGTCGGCTTGGAGAGACTGGGAGCTGTCCAGGGGAGGGCTGAGGAGTTTGTCAGGCAGAGAGTGTATGTTACTTAACCACACTAAAGCTTCTGTTTCTGGGTTTTGTATTTTTAGAATGCGGAAGGGGAGGTGTTGTCAGAGAGGTGACCTCAGGTGACTGAAAGTGCTGGGGTTTAAGGGCTTAACAAATAGGTGGCGAAAAATATCAAACCCTCAAAATCTCCCCTGACCTTTTATCTCTTAGGACCCGGGATACGGGATGCGCAGGGAGCCAGGCGCGGCTGGTTAAGAAGCCCTGCCTGTGGCTGTCCACTCCCGGTCTCTCCCTGCTGCGTGGGCGTTGACGGCCGCAGCCCTCCCAGATTGCCGCATTGCCGCCCGAGCCACAGTGTGCAGATACCGCTGCATGTGGCGCCCCCTGGCGGCCAGTGGCAGCTCGTGCGTCTGTCTTTTCTGCAGAGCTGATTTCCACCTTGTATGTGTAGGAGGGGCCTCCTTTACAAAGAACCAGCCATACCCTTGGGAGTGGGAGCAGATTTCATAGCCGAGACAGGAGACCTTGTAAGAACTTCCTATGTGCCAGGCACAAGGTTAAAACCGGTATTATCATACATGCATTCATTCGTTTTCCTAGTGTGTGCCAGGCATCTCCTAGGAAGTAATGTGTAAGCAGAGGCCCCATAAAGGAATTACATAAAGTAATGTGTAAGCAGAGCAAGTCATGAGCATGTTTGGGGGTACAGTCTCCCAGGGAGTGGGGACAGCCAGGCCACAGGGATGCATTCTTTGGGTGTGGAGACCAGGAAGGAGGCAGCTGCAGAGGGTGGTTGGAAATGAAGTCAGAAAGGTGTCCAGGGGACAGACGGTACAGAGCCTTCTGGGCCATAGGACTTCAGGCTTAGTTCTGAGAGTAGTGAACAACTACTGGACTTTGAACAAAGGCATAAAACAACTCGATTTATGTTGTTTATAAAATCACTCTGGCTTCTGCGAGGGCATGAATAGGAACAGGGAGGCCTGTGAGGAGCCCAGGTGAGAGTAGAGCATCTGGGGCCAGGTTTGCTTCGCCTGCCGGAAGAGATAAGACATCTGGTTCAGAAGATGGTCTGAAGGCAGAGGCCATAGGAATCCCTGTTGGATTAGCCAAAGGCTGTGTCCCGGGGTTTGGGCCTGAGCAACTGGATGAGGGAGGAGTGGTGCTACTCAGAGGGATGGGGGTTCAGGTGTGGGGGCATGGGAAGGAAGCAAGAATTTGGTTTGGGATGTGCCATGTTTGAGCTGCCAATTAGACTCTAAGTCATGATGTTCGGTGCACCTGAGCAGGGCTCTCTACCCTCTCCATCCTCTCCTTATGTTCCTTTCGTGGCTCTCCTGGGTCTTTTTCCCATCTGAGGGCCACCCAAGCTGCCTCATCCTACCTCCGAAAGGAAAGGAAGCCCACACAGAGCAGCAATTCCACAGGGAAAGAACTGAGGGAAGGCAGCCACATTCCAGGGCCACACCCTAACTGGACGGCAAGGTCAGAGGCAGTCAGGGTTCTAGGCTCCACTCTCCAGAGAGGAATTAAAAGAGGATAAAATGCCTTTTCTCACACACTGACAGGTCACTCACATGTCAGCCAGGAGTGCAGTGGCACGATCATACCTCACTGTAACCTCGAACTCTTGGACTCAAGTGATCCTCCCACCTCAGGCTCCCAAGTAGCTAAGACTACAGGTGGGTGCCATCATGCCCAGATAATTTTTTTAAATTATTTTTTGTAGAGACAGGGTCTCACTATGTTGCACAAGCTGGTTTCAAACTCCTGGCCTCAAGCAATCCTCCTGCTTTGGCCTCCCAAAATGCTGGGATTACAGGCATGAGCCGCCGCACCCAGGCCCTCTCTGCTCTTCTCACTCCATCTACATTCTCATCCTGGGGGATCTCATTCTCACCCTTGGCTTCAATGACCCCTCCATGATGATGACTTTCAACTCTCCATTCCCTACCCTCTACCTCTCTCCTGAGCATCAGGCCAGCATTGCCATCTGCCCTGTTGACAAGGAACAGGCCCATCAGAGCAGCCCCACAAACCCCCATGTATGTCAGAACTGCCCACCATGTGAGCTCCATCCCTCGACACATGCATGAGTGCACACACACAGGTGCACATGCACTTCGCACACCACCTCTCTGAAGCCCTGTGGCGGCCCCTCCACACTCTCTCTCCCTCTCCCATCTCGCTGATCACTGAATCCTACACTCCCTGTAATGTCTCCCTTTTGGTGCTTTTCTCTTCATCACTGCCTTCATCCCTTCTACCGTTCACCTATTGAACAAATGGCCTGAGTCCAGACCCTTGACATCTCTGAGGGGAAGCAACCTCCTCCTTACCAGTTTCCTGCCTCTGCTCTTAGACCCATCCTTTCCACTATACTCCACATTTCCCAAGTTATCTTTCTGAAACATAGATTGGATCCTGTCTCTCCCACTCAGAACTCT
Organism: Homo sapiens; assembly: GCF_000001405.40. Lineage (NCBI taxonomy): Eukaryota > Metazoa > Chordata > Mammalia > Primates > Hominidae > Homo > Homo sapiens. The sequence continues at coordinate 110,617,456 of NC_000001.11, read as the reverse complement.
CAATGGCTCCCTATCACCTACAGGACAACCTGAACTCCTCAGCATGACTTCAAGGCCTTTCTCAGTCTTCCCCCATCGACCTCTCATTTTACCATGTCCTCCCACACTGCTCGCTCCTGGCACTCCATCTGGCGCAGAGTCCCTGGCACAGGTGAGGCTGCTTCTCTGGTCTGTCCCTGTTGTGCCTTTTTCCTGGAATCCACTCACCCATTTGGGTATTTAGCTCACAAATATGTATTAAGCTCCCAGTGTGCTCCAGGCACTGGGGGTACAGGAGAGAACAAAATCCTCAAAATCCCTCCTCACACAGTGTGAGATAGGCTGTTGCAGAGAGCCCTTCTCCAGGGAGTGAATGAATGAAGCAGGCAGTGAGGCATGCAGATTGCCCATGAAGAATGCCCAAGCTTCACTTCAACACCTCTTTCGGGGTCTTTGGACATTCTGCTCCTCCGTAAAGACATCTCTCAATTTCCATCCTTGGTGAAGGCTTTCCTCTTCTTAGGTGCTTTTGTACTTTATTCTTCAATTTAAGCCAATTCATTCTGCCTTGGGTTAGAGTCAATTGTTGACAATTCTGCTTCCTTATCCATCCTTCTAGGGAAGGAACTAGTATTTATCAAGCACCTCCTCTGTGCCACGCTCTGTGTGTCCCCCACAGTGCTTGGCTCGATGCCTGGTTTAGAGCCGGGGCTAGAGGACAGACCATGACTCAGCTCCTGCCTTTTGCACCCAGCTGCTGGCTATGTGGCTACAGGCAAGCCACTCAGCCTCACCAAGCTTGTTTCTGTAACTGTTGAATGGGAGTGAACATAGCACCTGCCTCTGTTAGGAATTATCCTTCTCACATAGCCTGGAGAGTTTCAGTTAGACCCTGGCTCGGTTGTTCCCAGGCTCTGTTGTTTTTTCCTTAGGAACCATGCTGGCTTATTTATGATCTAACTCTGGGGTCCCATGTTTCTTAAAGAAAGAACTTTTTCTTATTTCCTGAAAGCTCCTGGACTTTGGAAAGGTGCAGCTGGAAGAGAAGGGAAGTGATGCGCAGCCCCCTATGAAGTCACTCCACATTCTGACTTCCACCCTCTACCCCGCTGTCCCACAGAGCTGACCTGACAACTGCCACGGCCCCTGACCCTGACTAGATGAACCTGGGTGGTGGGGGTGGGGGTGGGGCTGCATTGCCAGCCCCTCATCATCTCAGGAAGTGAAGCCTGGGCCAGGGGCTACAGATGCCCCATCTCTCCAGGCTGACTTGGGGATCTGCAGGTTACAGAGTCCCTGATTTAACCCAGCAGATTCTAATGGCCAGAGTTCAGAGAAGAGAGGAATTCCTTTGAGGCATGCAGAACCCTTAAAGCATGGCTCTGCCCAGGTCCAAAGACCCCTGGAGAGCCCTATACCACATCCTCAAGGCAGAAAGAAACTCAGGTCTCTCTTTTTCTGAATTGGTGAGGCTCTTTTCTCCTCCCATCTGGTTTCCACTTCCTTAGGCACGTCCCTGCACCCATGTGGCCATTGGGTGGCACTGTTGGATGAGCCTAGAATTTCAGGTGAACAGCAAGCATCCCAAGACTCCTGGTTGCGAGTGTGAGAGGGACAGGAAACCACAGAGGTTCTCCTCCCCAGGCGCCCCGACCCTCTGTCCCTCCTCCTAGCTGTCGTTTGTGCCCCAGGCTCTCTTCCACTCCTAAGTCATCTTCCCTGTACTCTTCTAGATACACGTTGGTTCTGCAACACCAGGAATGCCAGGATGATTTAGCCACCTCCTCACTTGTCTACCTTTCCCTCCCCTGCTTCAAAGACTTGGGTCGATCGAAGCACCAAAGCATCACTGTTGCTGACACTAACAAGTAGTGCCAAGGGATTGCCTTTAAGGAAGATCAGGAGCGGAACATCTGGTGGCAAAGAAAATCTTTCTAATAGCCCCATTCTAGTGACCACCTTCAACCTCCTCATAGCAGGAGAGTTTGGGAGTAGGGGACTTAGGATGTTTTGTTCTTTTAATCAATTCAGAAAATATGTATGTTTGAAATAAAAATAAAAATACTTGAGCCAGAGAGGCTGAGTCACTCCAGAGCCTCAGATTTGAGTTCCCAGGGCAAGCCCCACTGCCTGTCCACACAAGAGTTTACTCCATTCAACAAACACGTTTTTTTATCCAACTGTTTTCTACCTAGTCTTTCATGCCTCTAATTCTACTTCCTTAGCATTCAGGTAAGGCCCTAGGTAAGTGGTGTGTGGCAGGCGGGCCCTGCTGTGATCTTACAGGTCGCCTTTGGGTGCCTTAGGCCATGAAACTTCCAGTAGGGCCAGTCATTTTCCTCAGGTTGAACTTCAGGAAACTCCTCACTGCAATTTCAGCCCCTTTCTGCAAGGCCTCAGAGTCAAAGATTCCCTGTGTTCCCTTTGTAATGACCCTTCTTGGACTCAGAGAACATCATTAAGATGCACTGAGCATCAGGTTTGCACTGTTTGGAATGTTTGCAGGATTCGTTTTCAAAATGATTTGGCATCTTTGAAAGTCCTTTCTCCCTTTTAAACAGGCAGTGACATGTGTTGGGGTAACGGTTGATGTGGGGATCAGCAAAGTCTGGGCTGGAATCCCAGCTCTGCCACTTACTAGAGCCATGCAACCTTGAGCAGGTCCTATGACCTCTGAGCCTTGATGTCCTCTCAGCAAAATAGTGACAGTAGGAGGACCCATGGTGCCAGTGGAGATAAAGGAGGTATATGCATTCATCTGCTTAAGGCTCCCATTCCTCAGCCAGGTAAAGTTGAAGAACGAATCATAGAATAAGAAGTAGCCCAGCTTTCCCATTTTACAGATGAAGAAACTGGGGCCCAAAGAGGGGAAGTGACTTACAAGGTCACCTGGTAATAAAGTCAGGACAGAAACTGGCAGGCCAAGGGCCTTTCCATGATATCAACTTGCTTCTTGTTTTTCTGTTCTATTCCTCTTCTCTATTGACCAAAGGCCATAAAAGGGAGAGAAGAAGGACGTGGGGCTTAGAGTAACCTTCAGGCCCAGCTAATTCAGCCACATAACGCAGACACTAGGGAGTCAACCTGTGTTAGGCTACTTTTATGAAGCAAAAACAGTGATACTGTCTGCACTTCTGGGATAACTGGGCCACACTAGGGTCAAAGTGTTCTCCTCTGGAGACTTTGATACATGGCCCACTTTGAAGTTAGAAAACTTCCGAGGATGGCCAGGGTAGTGCAAGACCTCAAGCCACAGCATATAAGGAAGAGTTGAGGACCTGGGAATAATGACCTCAAAGAAGAGAAGCCATGGAGCTCCTCGCCACTGTTTTCAACTTTGTAAAGTGCTGATCTCTGCAAGGTGCAGGGGAGGGGAGGAAGAATTGCTCTCTATGGCCACAGGTGGGACGCCTGAGTGAAAGCTTCAAGAAGGATAATTCCAGGTCCACAAAAGGCAATTGAAAAGTTAGCTCTGTCCAAAGTTGGAATGATCCTTGGTAGGAGGCAATAAGCACGTGTGAGCAGAAGCTGGAAGACCACGGGTCCTTAGGAGAGCTTAAAGCACAGAGTGACTAGTGGACAGGACGAGGTCCAGCCCACAGTATACCCACTCTATGAGAACAGCACAGCAGGATGGATAGGAGCATGAATTCTGGAGCCACAGTGCCTGAGTTCAAACCGTGGTTCTTGCCTGGACTGGCTGGGTGACCCTGAACAAGATGCTTAAGCTCTCTATAAAATAGAGAGGGAGCCACCAGCTCTGGGAAACCCTCCTCCCTGCCCTGCTATCCTCTGATACAGGGGTTGCCTGGTGCATCCTCCTCCTGGTAGTAGTGACTGGTGCAAGGCTGGTCTTCCCTCTTGACCCCTCTCAGCCTCTTGGGCAGGAGTCAGAAATAGCCCCTGGCTGGCCCTGTGGCAACTCAAGTTTCTTCAGAAGTGAGGGCCCTCTAAGGACACCAAGTCTAGGGCTGAAAGGCAAGGAGAGGCAGTTAAGCTGTGGGCACCATAGAGGCTGTGCATCTGCTGGTGTTTGCTGGTTCACAAACACTGCCAGGGCAGCTTCTTTGTGCCCAGCCTGGAGCAGATACCAGTATGCAAGGGCAGAAGAGACATGGCCCTGCCCTCAGGGTGCTTCCACCTAGTGGAAGACTGCGTGCAGATGGACACAGGCCCCTCAGGACCTGGTGTGACAGGTCTGTGTCCGGAGCATATTGTTGGTGGGTGGAGACCAGGAAGAGGGTTAAGAAAGGCTTCGTGGAGGATGTGACATAAGTTGAGTGTCAGAAGAAGTCATTGAAGTGACAGGGAAGGAGGAAGGTAGGGCATTCTGGCCAGGGGGCTGCTGGAGTCAAAGCAGAAACACCTGGAGCCATCTGGAAGCTCACGTTTCTTGACACCTTCCTGGAAGTCACTGAGATAAATACCTTGTGCCCACTATCTCATTTAATCCTCAGAGCAAGCATTGGGCATTATTAATCCCATTTTACAGATTGGAACCTGAGACTCAGAGAGGAAAAACACCCCACCTAAGGTCATGTGAATGGCAAGCAGTGGAGGAGGGGCTCCACCCCAGGCCTGTCTGACTTCAAGTCTTAACCTGACCTGTCTGTTTTAAGCCAGTTAGAGCTTTCGAGGCAGTTTAATGTGATGCCAGTGTGGACTTCCAGGATGGAGGTTTAGAGGGAAGACAGGGGAACATCAGATCATGAAAGGCTTTGCTCGCTTTTTAGGAAATGCAGGTTGATCCTAGCAATAGGGCACCAATGAGTAGTTGAAGAGGTGATAGATCCTACCTGCACTTTAGTGGGGTCTCTATAGCAACTGTGGGGAGAAGAGACCAGAGGGGAACAAGTCTGAAGACAGGACCAACAGGGGTTGCAGTGACCCAGACTGTGCCTGCTGGTGGCTTGAACCAGGGCGGCGTGGGGAGGGAGAGGGAATCAGAGAGAAGCAAACAGACACCAAGGCCAAGTGATTGGCTGCATGTGGAGTGTGTCGGGTGAAGGAGGAAGAAGACAGTTGATAAGGACATCCAGGCTTCTGGTTTGGGCAACTGGGTGAATGTTGTTACCAGTGTGTTACAATCACCTACACTATTCAGCACAGTAACATGCTGTACAGGTTTGTAGCCTAGGGCAAAAGGCTCTACCATACAGCCTGGGTGTGTGGCAGGCTATGCCATCTACGTTTGTGTAAGTACACTCTACGATGTTTGCACAACGATGAGATCACCTGACACATTTCTCAGGATGTGTCTCCATCGTTAGGTGACGCGTGACTGTACTTCCACCACCTTGCTGTACTGCCTTTGAGTATTAGCAGCAGGGGGCCTCATGGTAAGACAACGAGCACACTGCTTGAACCAGAGCAGCAGCTCCAAACCATGAGGGAGGGACTACCCTCATTAGCCATTCCTTAACATGTTCTTTTATTTTATTTATTTATTTATTTGAGACAGGTTCTCACCCTGTCACCCAGACTGTCGTGCAGTGGTGCAATCTCAGCTCACTGCAACCTCCACCGCGCTGGGGCTCAGCTGATCCGCCTACCTAAGCCTCCTGAGTAGCTGGGTCTACAGGCATGCACCACCGTGCTGGCTAATTTTTGTATTTTTTGTAGAGATGGAGTTTCACCGTGTTGCCCAGGCTGTTCTCAAATTCCTGGGCTCAAACAATCCACTTTCCTCAACCTCCCAGAGTGTTAGAATTACAGGCATGGACCACTATACCCAGCCTTTTTTTTTTTTTTCAAGACAGGATCTTGCTCTGTCTGCCAGGCTGGAGTGCAGTGGCACAATCATGGCTCACTGCAGCCTCAAACTCCTGGGCTCAAATGATCCTCTCAACTTAGCCTCCCGAGTAGCTGGAACTACAGGGACATGCTATTATGCCCAGCTAATTAAAAAAAAAATTTTAGAGGTGGAGCCTTATGTTGCCTAGGCTGATATTGAATTCCTGGCCTCAAGCAATCCTCCCACCTCAGCCTCCCAAATTACTGGGATTATAGGCATGAGCCACCTTGTAATAAAAGAACATATTCTTTTATTTAGCCAGTATTGCGGTGGGATGAGTGTGTAGCAGCTCATTCAAGACAGGAGCCAAGGCCCAGGCCTCCATGAAGGGGCCCCTTAGAGGCAGCTGAAGTTAATCTGAGAAGCCTTCCTGCAGGAGGCTGACCTTGACTTTGGAGGTAAGTAGTGGGCTGGAGTGGAGGCCCATGCCACTTCCAAGGGAAGTTCTCAAATGTCAGGCAGATGCACAACACAACATCAGCAACAACAGTGACATTAACAGAGTCCTGTTCCACACTGACCAGGCTTTGCTTCTCCATGCACCTCCATGGGTATTATCCTCTGTAGTCCTAACCAATGAGATGTTAACACACACTAACAATGAAGGTCCCTTTCCTTCCTTCCTTCCTTCCTTCCTTCCTTCCTTCCTTCCTTCCTTCCTTCCTCATTCTGTCTTTAAGCCCTATGAAGCAAGGGGGTGGGCGGGGCTAGTGTCCTACCTATTTTATAAGTAAACTGCTACTCAGAAAGGTCAAGTGAGTGAGCTTGGGTCGCACAGACCACGGCCCTGGTCAGATGCCTTGCCTTGTCCTCCCCTTTGGGAGCCTTTGGGTCCTGACTCTTGCACCACCACTGCCTCAAGTCCCTCAGTTAAGGTATGAACAGTTAATCACCAGCACCAACTCCCTTCTAAACCAGATTGCCTGTGAGGTCAGGTTGCCTCCAGGAGAGACGACCCCTGGGGAATCTCTGTTCCTGAGACCAGAAATTGAGCCCAGAGGCCTGGCACTGAGCTAACAGTAAAAGTGGGCAGTAGAATGGCATGGTGACTTATAAAGTCACACAGTCTTGATCTGTTCCAGCCTCACTACTAACCAGCTAAATTACCTTGGTCCTCTCTGAGCTTCAGTATCTTCATCTGTAAAACAGAGACAATGATATCTTTCCCACTGGCTGGTTGCAAGGATTAAATCAAATGATCTCTGGAGGGCTGTCAGCCCAGTGTCCTCCTGCCCTGCCTACCTGTGAGTGAGTGGGGACTGTGCCAGCACATGGGTGGATGGGCTGGTGGGGAGCATCAAGCAGAGGCAGCAGTCATGCCAGGAAGGGGAGCTGGTTCCCTGGGAGTGACACCTGAGAAGATTCACAAATGGGAAGAACTAAGAGATTCTCCCTCCAGTCCCTCTGTGTGGGTGTGGGTGTGTATGCATACACAGTCATAAACTCTTCTTTTAAGATGACTGTAGTCACCAGTCACTCACTGTGACAGCCACCACAGCCCTTCCCTCTGCTGAAGGCAGGGCCTGGCTCTCAAGCAGGAAACCAAACCAAAGGGAAGGGAGTGGTCTTTGGGGATTTTCACCATGCCCCAGGGAAAGGATCAAAGGACACTCTGGCTGCTATTGTGTGGCCAAAAATAAGAAATGGAGCCCACCATAGAACTGGAAAGGGGGCTCAGTTAAGTTAGCTGGCTGTCCATTCTTTATAGCTAATTTTGTCCTTACTACCCTGTAAAGTAGCTTTGCTCTCCCATTCGACCAACTAGGAAACGAACAGTAGGAGGCTCAGAGAGTGTCAGTAACTTGCTCAAGTTCATACAGCTAGCAAGTGTTAGTGCCGGGAATACGGCCTGTGTTCTTTTCCTATACAGCACTGCCAAACCAAGGTACTGACAGACACTTTTCAGGGCAGAAGCCCTGAAATGTGCCTAAACAACTGTTATGATGGTTCTTTTTTTTCCCCCTTCTTTAGTTAATTTCTTTTTTTGTCATTGTTCACATTTAAGTTTAAAGGATAGAGACAGGACAACATACCCCTGAGGCCAAGTCACAAAATAGAAGCAGAGGTCAGAGGAAGATCTCAAAGAGGGAAATGAAATTCAAGAGCTGCTCATTCCACCTGCACAGTGTGGTGTGGGGGCTAAGGGCACATGTCCTAGAATCACAAAGACCTAATTCCAGTCCTAGAGTCACCATTTATTAACCTCAGGCAGGTGATTTCACCTCTCACTGCCTCCATTTCCTTTCCAATGAAATGGTACTAATGTATACATTGACTTCTAGGGCTGTGAGAATTAAATGTTGCCCTGGGTAAGAAGTGCTTAGCACAGGGTCTGACACATGGTAAGCCCATGTCACCAATTATGACGATTGATTTTCCTTCAAGGGCTTTTCTCTGTCCACAGCTTCTGTTTTCAAGAAGGAAGGCAAAGGAAATGTATACATATGATCAGATGGATAGAGTATCTGACTTTGGCCACACAGGATTATCTGACTTTAAATGACACGAGAACCCAGTGTGCCAAATAGGAGAAACAGAGCCCCTTGGTGCTGGTCAGGGGAGGCTTTCAGAAGGAGTATATAGGGAAGGGAACTGGAGGTCAATTTGGTAGAGGGGTGGGAATGGTGAGATCTCAAGGAAAGTAAAGGGCGGGGCAATCTGGGAAGCAGAGGGAATGGGGCAACAAGGACCTGGTGATTGGGAGCCTAGAGAAACACCCCAGAGCTAAGCTGGAAGCTAAGAGCTATGAGGAGAGTTTCACAAGGAAGCAGAGCAGCGAAATCATCATGCATTCAGTGTCTGCTGGATGCTAAACTCATTCAACAATTAAAACCTCACCACACCCTTAGGGGCATCCTGATTTTTCAGAGGAGGGCACTGGTGCCCAGAGAAGTGAAATAACTTATCTAGTAACTGTTAGGGAGTTACGTTTCCATCTGACTGCCTCCAAAACACCCAAGCCGTTCACTGACTGGGACACTAACAGGCCAGGTTCAAGGTGCTCTAAACCATACCAGCCCTTCTCTATAGTCATCTGTCATCCTTTGGGCCCACGGAGGTCACTGCCCTCCCAGACCACCCCCTGCAGCTCTAGGCAGGCTCCCAGTCTTCAACCACACCTCACAGACTACCACGATGAAACGCCAGAATCCGGAGTCCCGCTTCATGGGCTTTCAGGGCTCTCCCCACGAGGTACACGCATAGAGAGGAGGGTTTCCCGGCCGGAGGGTAGGGGGGAGGGCCCAGTGGGGACTTCCTGGTGCTAGAGCCCATCTGAATCCAGAGCTCCGTGTCTACCGCAGTCTTATCTCAAGGAACCACCACTGTTTGGCACACCTGTCTAGGTGACCCTGACAGGGACCTGGAGAACAGAACTAGCAGGGGCTTGAGGCTGTCGTCTGCCTCCCAAAAGCACCCTGGACCTTCTCGGATGCCCTATCTAGGCAGAAAGTAGGCTGTGCCTCCCACACACATTTCCCGAAAGCAAAGGGCATCCTCGTCTGCCCACCTAGGGTGCTGTAAGCTGCACTCCTAAGTTCAGAGCCCTGTGGGCCACCTGGCTTTGCAAGTTCTGCCAGAGGGCCCGTTTTGTGAGTAGCTGACCATTCCCAAGGGCAGCGGCGTGTCCCCCAGCCTTCCCTGCCCGGGCCCTGGGGGAGGGAGTCGGGGAGTGGAGAGGGCCAGCCCTGCAGTGCTGCCTGTTCCTGCGGCTCCTCTCGGTGGGGGCGAACACAGCAGAAGAGTTTCTGCCACACTGCGGACCGCACCTGCTGCATTTCCCTGCGAAGCCAAATCTTTGCTGGGTAACAGGGAGGTGGGAAGCCGATCTGGAGAAGGGGTCGCGCTGGCGGGAGAAAGGGCAAGAAAGGGGTCTGCAGATCCTGTCTGGAGGCACCACAATAATAGCAACACGTCTCTCCCGGGGCTGGATCCCGCTGTGGGCCTGGGGTAGCTGCTATTGATTATCTCCTCCTTGCCTACTTCATTACGTTGGCAGGAGCCTCTCACCAGTGCCCCTCAACTTCTGCCCTCCCCCATCTCCCCGGCCCGGCAGCACCCAGCTGAGCTCTCCTGGAGGTTCTGGTTAGTAAGTCGGGCTCTGCCAAAGAATGTTTTCCTCGCGGGGCGGGGGCTGAGGCCCGGGGGCCCAACGAGGTGACGAGCTCGGTGGCGGCGGAGGGCAGCTTGTCGCCCCGGCCCCGGCCCCGGCCCCCGCCGGCCCCTTTAATTCGAGTTCGCCGTCGAGCCAGGTGCGGCGCTGCGTGGCGCGGTGCGGCTGCGGGCGGCGGCCGGGAGCTCCGTACGCGCCGCCCGCGGGACTGCAGAGCCGGCTCCCGGCTGGCCGCCCGCACCCCGCCGCCGCCCGCTGCCGGGGTTCTGCCGGCGCTGGCCGTAACCTAGGAACATGGAGGCCCCGGTGCCCATCCGGAAGGGTAAATCCGTGTCGGGGCGTTGCGCGGCGCGTGCTGCCTTCCCTGCCCGGCTGCGGCGCCCAGAGGGGCTGCGGGGCACCCGGCGGCGCAGCCTGCAGCGCAGCAGGCTTGGGCTGAGTCCGCGGCGGCAAGCCCTTGCCGACCACTGCCGTCTGCTCGGCAGGTCCCAGACCGGGGAGATCAAGGGGAACTTGCACCCTGCTCAAGAAGAGTGCACAGAATGGGCTCGGGACCCTCTGGGGTTTGCGTGGCGCGGGGCGGAGGGCACGGAGAGGAGCTGGTGGGTGGTGGGAAGTGCAGCTGGCAGCATAACCATGTCTGGTAAATAGCGCGGGTTGGTAGGACCTGAACCACTTGGGACGGCCGGGCTGCATTCGCCTCTTCGGCACAGAATAACAAACGGCTTTGCTGCAGAGAGGGCTTTCCCCTTCGCTGGGGCCGTGGGCTGCCGCCGAGCCCCCGCGCTTAAAAGGAAGCTGAGATCTGGGGCGGCAGCCTGGCGCAGGCTACTCCCCACCCCCAGAGATCAGGTTCCGGGATTTTGGGTTGGACACTGAGCCTCGGCGGTCCCTCGGCTGGACGCCGGGGGCTTAAGAGCTGAACTGCGCTTGGGCCCGCAGCAGGAGCCGACCGCGCGGGCAGGAGGGGGTTAAGGTGGCGCTAGCGGCCGCGGCCAGCGGGAGGGTCTGGTCCTCTGCGCGGAGGCGAGCGCTGAGTGCGCCGAACGGAATCCCGGCCGGAGCCCGGGGCGATGGGGAGAGGGCCCAGACCCCTCCCCGCCCTGGGGCCGGCGGGATTGGGTCGGCAGGGGGCCAGTCCGGAAGCCGGCTTCCTCCAGGCTCCCCCTCTCGCTGCTGCCAAGCCGCCTCGCAGCTAGGCAGGCGGAGCGTTTATTCTGTGCTCCCTGCCGAGGAGATGTGAGGGATTTTCTCTTGGGGGAGAAATCAGTGGTCGAGCGCCTGCCCAGCTCAAATGCCACCCGGCTCAGAGGGAGGCCTGCGGCCCAGGGATCCCGGAGGGAGAGTAAGTTCATCCAGTTTTCGTACAGTGCAGACTTTGTTGTGTGGGGTCTCCCTAGATGCGCTCTGAAGGAGTGTGTGTGCTGGGGGGTGGGGTGCTTCTTTTCCAGGACTGGCTGAGGTCAGAGCTTGTAGACAGGCTGCAGTGAGCTAAGCCCTCCTCTTGGGAGCTGCTGTGTCCTGACATGTGGGGGTAGGAGTGCTTCTTCCAGAGTCCTTCCTGAGAGCAGCTGGGGACTAGCAACCTGGATCAACCCAGGGAGGCCCCTGGAGAAGGCAGGCCCAGCCAAGCCTGAGTCTTGCTCCCTGGGAGAAAATGCTTCAAGCTGATGGGAAGCCTGCCCAGAAGAGGCAAGGAGGCTGAGGGATAGTCCTCAGGCCTGGCATCAGAATAGAGGATGGGCATGGGGGCCTGTTACCTCCCATGAGGGAAGCTGCCAGACCCTCCTAAATCTTGGCACCAGCTGGTTCAAATGCCCTGGTTCCACCTTGCTGCTGTTTTTTTCCAGGCAACGTCACACCTCCTGAGGACAGCCAGGACTCCAGCTTTTGCTGAGCTTTGCATCTTGCCTCCTTCCTTCAAAAGGCTCCAGGCCCATGCTCGGCTGTCTTCAAGTCCCGCATGCCCCTGGCCAGGCACCTCACCGCCCCTCCAGCCCAGCCCAATCCTAGAGCTCACCTCCAGGACCCAGAGTCTGCCCTTCTGCCCAGAATGACTCACCATTATTTCTAGCTCGAGTGAGAAGACGTGATGAGGAGTTGGGCTGCCTGTTGGTGCATCTCAGATTCCTGCAGCATCTGATCAGCTCTGCAAGGAAGAGAGCTTCACGTCTCTGGTCAGGTAAATCAATCTATCATTTAATAACAGCCTTGTGTAGAATCACTGGGGTGGAGGCCAATGAGAAAGACCCAGGCCCAAGCTCCCCAACCATGAATACCTCCCTGGGTATGAGTATCTGAGACATTAGTGCAGCACCTGGGAGAGGGTCCACTTTTAACCTATTAGCATGGGGTTATGCTCCATGAAGCCTGTGTGCTACAAGCGGGCCTGTACCAGCCACCTTCCCCCAATGCAGGGCATTCCAGAGGTTCCTGGAGAGATTGCTACCTGCTCCCCCTGATCCCCAGACAAGTTACAAGGTGAAAGTAAATTTTGCTTTGTCGTTGTGGTGGTGGTGATCATGTGTCTGAACTCTTGGCTGAGAGATGGGAGACAAAAAGTGGCAACCCAGGTCAGGCTGCCAATGCTGAGTAGCCTCATGTCAATAACTGCCTCTGTCTTTCAGCCAAGCGAGGCTGTCTCTCCAGCTCTCAGAGAGCTCTCGGGGCTCTCCTGCAGGAGACCAGGCCAATGCTCCTGTGCTTCCTGGGGCCAGTAGCAGCACCCTGAGCTCCCTGCCACCAGGCAGCTGAAAGGCATAGCGTGAGGTGCTTCTCTCAGTCCCAATTATGACAGTGGCCACCGGAGACCCAGCAGACGAGGCTGCTGCCCTCCCTGGGCACCCACAGGACACCTATGACCCAGAGGCAGACCACGAGTGCTGTGAGAGGGTGGTGATCAACATCTCAGGGCTGCGGTTTGAGACCCAGCTAAAGACCTTAGCCCAGTTTCCAGAGACCCTCTTAGGGGACCCAAAGAAACGAATGAGGTACTTTGACCCCCTCCGAAATGAGTACTTTTTCGATCGGAACCGCCCTAGCTTTGATGCCATTTTGTACTACTACCAGTCAGGGGGCCGATTGAGGCGACCTGTGAATGTGCCCTTAGATATATTCTCTGAAGAAATTCGGTTTTATGAGCTGGGAGAAGAAGCGATGGAGATGTTTCGGGAAGATGAAGGCTACATCAAGGAGGAAGAGCGTCCTCTGCCTGAAAATGAGTTTCAGAGACAAGTGTGGCTTCTCTTTGAATACCCAGAGAGCTCAGGGCCTGCCAGGATTATAGCTATTGTGTCTGTCATGGTGATTCTGATCTCAATTGTCAGCTTCTGTCTGGAAACATTGCCCATCTTCCGGGATGAGAATGAAGACATGCATGGTAGTGGGGTGACCTTCCACACCTATTCCAACAGCACCATCGGGTACCAGCAGTCCACTTCCTTCACAGACCCTTTCTTCATTGTAGAGACACTCTGCATCATCTGGTTCTCCTTTGAATTCTTGGTGAGGTTCTTTGCCTGTCCCAGCAAAGCCGGCTTCTTCACCAACATCATGAACATCATTGACATTGTGGCCATCATCCCCTACTTCATCACCCTGGGGACAGAGTTGGCTGAGAAGCCAGAGGACGCTCAGCAAGGCCAGCAGGCCATGTCACTGGCCATCCTCCGTGTCATCCGGTTGGTAAGAGTCTTTAGGATTTTCAAGTTGTCCAGACACTCCAAAGGTCTCCAGATTCTAGGTCAGACCCTCAAAGCCAGCATGAGAGAATTGGGCCTCCTGATATTCTTTCTCTTCATAGGGGTCATCCTTTTCTCTAGTGCTGTGTATTTTGCAGAGGCCGATGAGCGAGAGTCCCAGTTCCCCAGCATCCCAGATGCCTTCTGGTGGGCAGTCGTCTCCATGACAACTGTAGGCTATGGAGACATGGTTCCGACTACCATTGGGGGAAAGATAGTGGGTTCCCTATGTGCGATTGCAGGTGTGTTAACTATTGCCTTACCGGTCCCTGTCATTGTGTCCAATTTCAACTACTTCTACCACCGGGAGACAGAGGGAGAGGAACAGGCCCAATACTTGCAAGTGACAAGCTGTCCAAAGATCCCATCCTCCCCTGACCTAAAGAAAAGTAGAAGTGCCTCTACCATTAGTAAGTCTGATTACATGGAGATCCAGGAGGGTGTAAATAACAGTAATGAGGACTTTAGAGAGGAAAACTTGAAAACAGCCAACTGTACCTTGGCTAACACAAACTATGTGAATATTACCAAAATGTTAACTGATGTCTGATTGAAACCTATTACCGTACTCACAGCTCAATGGAACTAATGCAGATGTTGCATAATAGCCTGCATTGTAGTCAGTGTGTTCTACAGTGTGTATCTGGTTCTGCATGGAAAGCAATAGTTGTGCAAGTGACTTTTGATCTTTTGACTTTTGATTTAGAACACAGAATATCTATCATGGCTTTCATGCACATCCTCATCACCGGCTTATGAACTTCCAAAGACGGGAGTCACCTATCAAGCTAGGATTTCAGATAGACACGTTGAGGCCACCTCATATCCCATACACAGTGCACCATATCAGTGCCATCATTCCTTCCTAATGAAATGCACACAACATCCAAGAGATGCACTCCCCTCCCCACCATCCCACCACCTTATTTGAGCCCACCTGCCCTTTCACAGAGGAACACAATCATGGCTTAGCTTTAAATAGCTGGTGTTTGTTCAAAAGGTCATACTCATTTTTGCATTGAAAAGAACACACAGTCCTGTGTGTTGGAATTACTTTCTGTGTCACAGGCTGGAGTTTGTGAATTGCAGTTGCCAAGTAGATGCTCTGGAGGCTTGTGTTTCATAACGGAAAATGCTGCATTCTGCTTTTTCTCTGCAGTGTCGATGTGAGGGAAGCCCGGGGGAGGGACAGTTAGTATGACCGAATATGAGTTGTCAAGTTTCACATTTGTTCCCTTAGGCCTATGGGGAGAAGCTAACAAACCAACAGACCTCTAAGCCTCTGATTTCACCATTTTTGCAGGCTCCAGGGTCACAAAAACATGTCTGGTTTCTTACTGGAGTTTGCAGACATCTGCTTTCCCACTGATGTGGCCCAGCTACACTGACACTGCAGTGAAATTTACCAGTGATGCAATAGAGCTGCATGGGTGTTTGTTGCATGAATCTCAATATTTAAAACACAGGAGATAACCTATTTTCCTAGTAGCCTACACAGTGTTAATATTTAGAGTATTAATAGGCTTGGAATGGTCTTGAACTAGGGGTTTTTTTCCCATCAGAAGGCAAAAATCCCTCCATCAGGGGAAAAAAAATAGACTATTTGGAATGGAACTAAAACTTCTGGCCCCCCAGCCTACCTATCCCTGTTCTTCTAAACAGGAACGCAGACCTCTGCAAAGCCAGAAGAGTAAGCGGGGAAGGCAGCATCTGAACACCTCACATGACTGCACCTTAGGAATTAACCTAGTCGCGGGCATGACTGTACAGTGGACCAGGGCATCTGGTCCTGATGACAGGCAGGTCTGTGGATCCAGTGTATATAAATATATATCGAGTATCTCTCTTTCACGCGTTCCTCTACCTAGCTAGTGATAGAAAAGAAATTGCATTTGAACATTGTACAAGCTTATGCAATATTTTTGACAAAGGGCAATTTATGCATGTGTTTGACTATGTGCACTAGGGTGTATATATATACATACATATGTGTGTATATGTATACACACACACACACACACACACACACACACACACATATATATATATATATATTCATTTTCTGGAGTTCAGGTTCAGGAGCAAATCCACTGCTTGGTGGGTTGGCTGTCTAAGAGGCCTAATGGGTTAATTTGTCTCATTGGTAACCCCACTGGGCCTGGGTTTGCTGCCATTGCCTCAGACACTCCGGTATCCATGGATTCCTAGACGTTAGAATTGTCTTTCTGCCCTCCATGTGCTGCAGCTTCAGTTCCCATGGCTGAAGCTTGTCTTACTGAGTGCACAAGGGCCCTGTGGCCCTCACAGTTCCAGCTGTCCTGGGCCAGACCCACCCCGGGCCTCCTCTCTACAGTTCATCCTGTTCATCATCTCCATTTTCACCTCTTCCCTTGCCACTTGGATCTTATTATCATTTGGCTCTGCATCCGTCACTTTCACAAACCTTTCGCTAAAGAGCCAGAATGGATCCCCTGCTTTGAAACCAAGGACACCAAGGAGTAGGACTCCCTGGGACCAAATTCCACTGATCTGGACCTAAAGGGAGCCTCCTCTATGTGGAAATGTCTGAAGTCCGGGACTAAGTGATGGAGTCCCTAGATGATCCAAAGGCATCATTTTGATCTCCAGACCCAAACTCTCTCCCCATTAAACTGGCAACCAGAGCTGCTTTTTAAAAAGAACCAAAGGATGGGTAAAGAATCATTTCCCACCCCCCAGAAGAAGTAGAGTGCAAATGAGCACTGCACAGCCTAAAGGTAGACAGTAGGTTGACCCTGAAATGGCTTCAGGTAGGGGGCTTTTAACTCACCAGACTGGGCGTCTTTGCCTTTTGACGGAGTAGCTTAATTTTCCCAAACAGTGAATTGCAGGGGTCGGGCTATGCAGGGGTGGCTCCAGCCCAGGCCTCACTGCTGCCTAGTTAGCACCTACAGTTGTCTTGGGGCATGGGGCACCAGCTCAGGGTGCTAGGCCCAGGGTGCTCATTAGTGCCTGGTCACCCACATCCCCAGGTATCTGCAGGGCATCCCATGCCCAGCACAAAGCCTCTGTGCTTCTCTTCCTCTCCTTCATGGGAGGTGGTGCTGAATTTCCAAGGCATGGGGTGGGAGGGACACAGATCTTTGGAAAATAGAAGGTAAAGCAACCCATATCTGAGGCCTAGGTCAGGGATAGATATCTTATCACAGTGTCCTTGGCCCAGGACTCTAAAATGTTCACATACAGTCATGCACATTCACCACAAAATAGGTACACTGTTGTCACACACAAACATAAAACATGTAACGTGCAAAATACAGACAGACCAGGTTAACATAAAAGCAAACACAGAAGATATATGGTTATAATTGTATATAAAATGCACACTCTGCACAGATATAGAATTTACACAGAACATACACAAAAGACAAACATACACCACATACAAATATACAACCTGAAACTCAGATGCAAAATACATAAAAAACTACATGGACAAAATGCATATGCATATAAGATACACAAAGGCTACTTTACCATTGTTTCTACACATAAAATACACACAAACTCAGTATATACACACGATGCATTAACTTATAATAGGCATACAAGATACATAGCACACATGCCCAAAAATATCGCACAATACACATGAAATGCAGACATATACTCAGACCCATTGCCCTGCCCCCAGAGCTATGAATTAACAGGCACAAACAAAAGATCAGATGTAATCACCTTTGCCTGGCCTGTGTCTATATCCCCCAGGATCTTTCAAGGAATCTCTTTCTCTATTCTTTTCTCTCACTACCAGATTTCACTCCTGAGAAGTAACTCCTAGGTTTCAAGCAGGAGGATGGGCCACCACATCAAGCAGATATCTGACTAAGACCAGGAATTGCATGGGGTCTCTACCAATTCACCTTCCTCCCACCAGAAACCTGGGTGCAGGGTGTGAAAGTACCTGGGACAGCTGGTAGCCTAATATAGGCCTCCTTGCCATGACCCTTCCTTCCTTCCAGCAAATCCGCACAGACAACCCAATAGCCCAGGCTCCCCTTCTCCCAGCACCTGGGATCTCCAGATTCAGCCCTATTCTCTTAAAAGCAGTAATGGCTCAAGAAACTGCAGGATCTTGAGCCCAGGACCAGGGTAAAGATGTCCCCAACATTCTCTAAGCCCACAGATTTTATTGCCCTTCCATCCTTTGCAGCTTTGTTGGGGGCACGGTCAGGAAGTTGAGACCCTATAGAGACCTGTCTCTTAAAATGAGCCACCTTTACTTGCTTGTGGCATTTCACTTGCTCTTGTGCATAAGCCCAAAGGGGCCAACTCCTGATTCCCCTCTGGGTGTGTTCAATCCCGGGCACGCTCTTCCTTTTCCTCTTGTTGGGCTCCCCTGGATGCCCTGCCTCCCATCCAATTGCTATGCAACCCAGTTCAGCTTAAGTAAAAAGTGATTAAGAACATACATCTAAGGCTAAGCAAGCTAACACTTTTTAGAGGGCCTGACTTTATCCTATATTCTAAGGCCATATTTAAATACTTTCTAAGATTACCCACCATTTTGGATTACTCTTGGAGCTGGTTCTTCCCCTAAGTAGGACTAGCTGAGAGCTGAGTGCATTTTAGCAAAGGCTTCACCTACATCGGAAGTAAAGAGTTGCAGTCAGGCTTTGGATCAGGCCTCACTCCTGATTTCTGCTCCTGCAGCCATCCCGTTGTGTCTCACTCTCCCTTCCAGTGATGGTCGCAGCTCCCAGTCTCTACAGAAAAGGTAACAACAGTAGGGAGTGGACATATGGGTCCAAAACGTGTGCTTTGCTGGAAACTTGTGTTTCCAGGTCAAGGTACCATTCCTGTTGGCTTCATCAAGTGCCTCTGTGGATTCATTTTCAAGAAACTTGGAGTTTTCAGGAGACCGAAAAGGAATAGGCCCAGGAAAGGTGGAGAGATTGTCAGGAAGAGAGAGTGGCTGAGTGGGTCAAATTTCAGAGTAAACTTTTTAGGAGCCAACATTTAATTAAGAAAATAATTAAGGCTCTGTGCTTTCTGAAACTTCAGTAATATTTGACATGCTCTCTTCCTTCTTCTCTGCTTGCCTCTGTCCCTCTCACCTGTGTTTCTGAGGCTAGTGTTGGCATGTCACCATGAGGTTAGCCTTTTAAAAGGGGCCCCACGGGAGTGTGCCTCTAGATTGCGTTAGCCTAGTATGGAAAGGGCTCCCATGGAAGCTATGATGGCCTGAGACCCCAGCCTGGGTGTTCATGTTGCTGCTCCGTGTTGGGAGGGCCCAGGACTAGCTTGTTCTACCTATTCTTCCTGGATCTCTCACTATATTATAGTGAGGACTCTATCAGTATCAACCCATGTGGAGAGAGGACAGCACCCTCTGAAGCTCCTCAGGCTGGGGATTCAGCACTGCCCACAGTAGTAGAGTCACAGAGGCTGACTCCCCCCTAAGGAAACTATAGAACAGTGTGCAAATTGCATATGAAGGTGGCACCACTACCCCTATGTCAGGCAGGGGAGCACAGTGCTTTGACTTGTTTACTCAAGAGAGGGGATGATGGTGCTGAGCTCTGCTCCCCAGAGCTTTCCTGGGGCCCATTGTCATAATAACTTGTATGTGGGTGATGGCCGCCTCATCTGCGAGGGCTATAATATCCATGGTGCTCCTTGGTTGCACAATGGAGGTTCCCCTAGCCTTGGCAAGGTATCCATTGCCGGGTTTGAACTCATGACCTTAACCTCATTAACATCATCAGTCACCTGAGCCAACGCGCAGAGAGGGGGATGCTGGGAGCTCTCTCAGTAGCTATTGTGACCATCATCTATATCTTCAGACTTAGCCCTTGTTGAGTCCAACCCTGTTCCCCTATCAAAGCAACCAGCAGGGACAGATGGAGGTAGGGGCTCCCCTACATGCAGGAAGGTTCTCTTCCTCAAACTAACCTAGTTTACTTTTCCTTTTTTTCTGCTTCCCTTCCCACCAAATCTCAGCTTCATCTCTCATAGTTTGTGTTTGAATATTTTTAAAGAGGAAAAGTGCAATAAAATAAATAGTGACTGTTTTCTTTAGCAATAGCTCTTTCAAAATCTTGCTCTCAGGACTGAAAAGTGATAGATAGTACCTGGATTATCAGATAATGCCCTTGACTTCTGGGGGCTCATTCACAGTCTCTGTAGTTTCTTCTTCTTCCCACGTGTTCACATGACTCCTGTCCTCTTGAGATCTGACCTCCTTCTGGAATGGACACATATGCTAAGATGCAGTGTATGCACAAGGAAGGCCTGTGAGAGGGCTTTGTCACTTTGTCTCCTTCCTGTGTGCACCTCTCTGTCTCCATGTGTGTCTCTGTCCCCTCTCCCTCTGTCTCCCCATTTCTGCCTGCTGTCATACAGCATCCTTACAACCTCTAGGCATGAAAATCCTAAGTTTGTGTGACCTTTTCAGCCCATTTTGTTGACTTTCCCTCAGTCTGGCAGATGTAATGGAAGCCTACACGAAAGCACTTCCCAATAGATAAGAATAAAGCATCCTGAGCCATTACAGAAGATCATTTCCATGCACTAAAAGCCATTACTTGATCCTTTTGCTTCCCCTTCTCCCTTCCCCAGGGAGACGGATGCTGAGGGAATGTGGCCTGGAGGTTTGCACTTGGGATCAGTAGCCTGGGCAGATTTGGGAATTGCCCTCTGACTCTCTTTCAAAATAAGCTGACTTGCTCAACCAAAGGGACTCCGTGAGAGCTGCAGAAGGAAGCAGGTTCTTGTGGGTTTCAGTAGAAGTCTACAGGGATAGAAGTTTGGGTGGTTAGGGCATGACATTAGTGAAATAAAGACTCTACCACCCGCTAGAGTGTGCAGCTGCACAAATATTTGCACACATAGCCAGGGGCTTCAGAAGAGTCCCCTTTCCTAACATCTGTGAGCTTAAATGTTCAGACTGGACAATCAGGGAAGGCTGGCAACCCCAGGGTCCCATTCCATCCTTTTTTGATCTACCTTGCTCTATACACATATGTACAGCAAAACCTCAGTTAACTGATGGGGAAACCTCAGGGACAGGAACATCCTGATTGCTTTGCAATTTTGGTTATTTGAGTGGGAATGGGAAAGCATGTCTGGTTCAACCTTTGTTATTGAGAAAAATATTTCCTAAGTAGGTTAGCATAACTTTCCTGCCTTAGTTAAGTAGAGTGTTTGAAGATAACAGGGACCTTGCCTTGCTCAGGGTCAACATTGTAAACCTCAATGCTTATTGTACAGTAGTGGACATAGGTAGAGAAGACCAAAGAGACAGGCTGAATGGCTGCTGGCTACAAGACAGGCCTGGAAATGGGCCACTGGGGCACATCCTGGCTCATCGGAGCCCTTGCTGTCATTTGCCTCTTTCTACTGAAAGGATAGTAAGAAAACATAATTCTTGTCAATCGAGGTTTTGGTTAATTGGTCCTGAGTTTTTAGAGGTTTTCCATATATACATATATTTATGTGTGTATATATATATATATAGTATATGTATATATGTATACTATTTTTAAATTATAGAATTATACATTGACCAATCTCCTTAGTTTCACTTATGTGGAATAAATTTGGCAATCCAAGGAATAAACTGCATTTATGTGCATTTTTTGAATGACCTCCTTTGCATTCTTTTCACCTCTCCAGTTCTACTCTTTTTTTTTCTGCTTAGGGACCTCTCTAGAAGGCAGATCTTTCATAAAAAAAGAACAGGCTACAGGATCACCTCTTTCCTTTCCCTCCCAGGTGGCTGCCTGACTCAGGGATAAAAGGGAAGTCTGATCTAACAGCCAGGTGCTTTAGCCTTTCTTCTGTCTGCCCTGGTTGGCTATAACCTCATCACTGAGGATCAGAAAAGTTATTCCAAACTTTGTACTCGAGGGGAGTGGAAAGCTTGAAGACCTGGCAAAGGATTTATCTATTTAGCATTCTCTTTGTCATTGGTGGTGCCCTAGGTTTGAGGTTTGTGAGATCTGAAAGTAACATTCCAATGAAGAACTAAAGCACATCTCTGCCACACAGAAGGTGAGGTTTGTGGCAATCAATGGAACTAACAAATCCATTCTGTTTTTTATTATGACTAAACCTAAGTTGAGGGTGTGGGTATTAGAGCAGCTGAAATTCAGTTGCCTCTTTGGGGGTAAGCTGTACACATCACTCAAGAAACAGCTGGATGCAAGCTAAAACCTGCTCTCATTCTCCCTCTTGCCTGCTAGTGTGTTAGATCCATGGAAGACAGTTTCTCTCAGCCTCACCTCTTGCATTTGACTGTTGCTTTCTACCTAGATGGGAGTGGGAGGGATTTTTCACTGTATCTGGAGCAATTGAAGTGGTGCAGGGGTGTCTGCCATCTCCCCACACCCACAGAAGCCCTCCAGTCTGGCTATGTTAGTTGTGATCAGGCAGCAGAAGCCCATAACCCAGACTTGACATGACCAGCTGGTGCACTGAGGCAGTTGAGGTGGCCTGTCTGGATGGCTACTTCTTGTACTTCATGAACCTCAGCATGGAAATGGATATAACTTTCTGTGCTCCTCTGCACTCCTAAAATAGTCTAATATGTTCCAGATGAGTTTGCAGCTGAGAACTCCCTGCATCATTCCACTGATGGATGCACAGGGCATGATTATGTAATAATGTGGACAGCTACTGCAACATCTAGATCATTGAGGGCAGTGTAGATGTGGCTGTGTGCTAGGACCCTTGGTAGCTATCCAGAGGACTCAGTCTGGTGTCTTTCTGAGTCTCTGTGAGAGGCCTCTAAGCCCTGCTTCTCCTTGAAAATGATTCCCTAGACACCGAATGCCTTGTTTGTATGAGTGAATAAATGCTCTGGGCTGCTAGAGAAAGCAATAGGAGGAGCTGGGAGGAAGAGAATATTCAGGGGCGCACTTTGCTACCAAACAATTTCCATGTCAGCTGCTAACATTACTGCCTTTTTAGCCTATGAAGTGTAGGGCAAGGACTTTGACCTGCCAGGTGGGGCTGGAAAGGAGCACATCAGCTCCAGGCTAAGAAATGGGATAGAAAAGCAAGAAGAGAGGCCTGGCTGGCTTTGGCGGGGGTGAGTCTCAGCTCCTGAGGGTTTGAACATGCTCTGTGCTTGCCCCAGTTCTGCCTTCACGTGGGATCCAGCGACCCAGTTTCCTTTTGTTGTCGTGCTTGGATGGTTCCTTCATTTGAAGGGCCCCAGGAAGCTGGAAAGTCCCATGATCAAGCTCTAGCCTGCTGAGCAAACAATACCCCAGCCAAATTGGCCTCTTCCTGGTTTTCTGCATCCCTGCACCCCTCTCTCCACTAAGGATAATCTTGGAACAGTTGCGATTAATGGTGCCAGCAATCAAGGAAGATTCTCTAGTTTTCATCAGGGACATAGCTGTAAAGCTCATGAGTGGAGGATGCTATTTCCTTTTCCAGACCTGTGTGCTTATGTGCTTATATAGGCTGCCTCTGGAGACTTTATATTGTGTGTGATGTGTGTGTATATATATATACACACACATATATATATATATGT
This sequence comes from Homo sapiens, assembly GCF_000001405.40. Taxonomy (NCBI): domain Eukaryota; kingdom Metazoa; phylum Chordata; class Mammalia; order Primates; family Hominidae; genus Homo; species Homo sapiens. Next base: position 110,594,306 of record NC_000001.11, on the reverse strand, counting down.
ATATATATATATAGAGAGAGAGAGAGAGAGGAAATGGCCGCCACTCACTTAGGCTCATGCAGCACAGACTCCAGTTAGGGTTTGCACTGGCTTCCTTGCTGCTTGTGCATGAATCTTCAGCTGCCCTCCCATGTCCTGTCTCTAATAATTGCTGAAAACTCAAAGAGGTAGATAAATAAGCCTCCTTGGGATCAATAGCAGAAGGAACTCCAAGGCTGATGGTAAAGCTTCGTAAGGATGATGCCGAAAGGGAACTGGGGTCTCCATGGTGATAAGAGGCTGGGGACCAATGAGAGCTGAAGGCGGAGCAGGACTTGCGGGGAAGACTCATGGGAGTTGGGAGTCATTTAACTATTTGTTTGCTTCTTGAAAATTTAGACACCAGCTGTAACTACATTGCACAGGATGTATTGATATTATCATTCTTGCTGACATATTCTGGAAGCTTTCAGCCCCACCAACACTGCCCCACCCAGGACTTCTGCAGCTGAGAGTTCCTGTGTCAGTAGGGTCTGATATTTGTACATAGGTTATACATATATGTGTACATATGTGCCTCAATGAACATTGCCTGTCCACCTGATCATGGGTGTACATAGACTTCATAGAGCTCCACAGTCTTTTGTAAATATTGACACAAGTAAATAAGTATATAAATATATATTACTGGGGATTTATTTTAACATCATTCTGTGTGATATGAAAAAAATAAAATTTTTGACAGACACTGATGGTTTTCACTTGTTTCTTGCCTGCTGGGATTATCATCCCTACAACATGCAAGTGTGCTTGCCTCACTCTCAGCCTAGTTTCTGTGGCCATGAGGGTCCAGGCAGAGACCAGGCAGGATGGGAGAGGGTCCTCCTGGATGCATTGGGTATCATCTTGGTGTGTGCCTGCCTGCCCTTGACTGGGAGCCCTGCGCAGACGAGGCAGAGTATGTGGATGGGAGGGTGGGTGGGTGCGTTTGAGATCTCCCCAATTACATCAACACTTCCTGTATCTTCCATGGAGCTGGAGGATGTGTGGGGGCGGGGTACCCAGTTTGAAGACCAAACACAGTCTGGGAATCATTTAAATGCAGCCGCACCCACATTTGCAGGCCTTGTCCTCAAACCCACCCCCACCTCTGCCCATTACTGCTGGCCCAGGGGTCTGGACCAACCGTGCTGTCCACTCTCAAGTGAGGAGAATGTCTATCTTGGCCTCCTGAGATGGAGACACAGCAGCACCTTCGTGGAGAAGGTCCTAACACACACACACACACACACACACACACACACACAGACACTGCTGAGGCACATCTATGTGATTTCCTCTGAGGGCTAATCTAGTCCTGAACTCCTGCAAATTTAGAAGGCTCAAAAGAGGCCATGGTGTGGAGTATGAGCACAGGGAAGTCGGTGCCTCAGCCACTAGCAGGCACATCCCACCCCTGACCACCCCCCTACTCCAAACACCCAAATACCCAGGTATCTTATTAAAGATATTTAGTTTTACCCCTTCACAATCTACCATGCTCTGCCCCTAGGAAAACTGACCAGCCAAAGCAGCTGGGCTCCCCACCCTCACCTCACCTTCAGAAGGATGTGTTTCTGGGTGCAGGTACTGAGGTGACAAGGGAGAGGGTGGCAAAGAGACAAGAAACATTTGGGGCAGCTGCTGCTATGGGCACCTTCATATTGGGCATTTCCCCCACCATAGTGGGGCTCTAGACCTCTGCGGAACAGCCTCAGGCTGACTAATGGAGTGGGGCTCCCTACTCCAAAGAAATGGGAAACTGAGTCAGGCTCCCAGGCCTGGTCCCTCCTGCTGGGACTGCGCGAGGAATTCCTGCCTCCAAGAAGCTGGGATGCTGGGAAGATGGGAGCTGGGAAGAATTTTGTCTAAACAGTCCCTGACTGTTTAGATCTTGTTAGGTAAACTGTTAACTTAGCTCTTGTTAGGTAAAAGCAAGGAGGAAAGGGAGGGAAAGGGAACAGGGACGTGTGGAAGCTACAACATCAAGATCCGCATTCTTCTCTCCACTTTGGTGAGGAGAGCTCAGCTAGTTCAAGTGTAGTCCACCCATGCCACCTATGCACACCGAACCCTCCCCACCTGACCTGAGGCACCTGCCCTGTACACACTCGACCACCCTGGGCTCACCCCAACCAGTAGCTCCCGCTTAAGAGGGGCACTTGATGGGGTGGGGTATAAGTGGGGAGCTCTCCTAGTCCAGGGGGCCAATGTGGTGGACAGGGGGAGCAAAGCTGATTGGCACAACTGAGAAACAATATTAACCCTGGAGAAAGAGAACAGCTCTGGAGCCAAAGGCTTGGGTTTTGAATCCCAACTCTGTCACTCACCGGCTCTGCAACCCTGGGGCACACTCTCTTTGAGCCTCAGTTTCCTCACTTCTATAAAGGGAATCATGACTCCTGCCTTATCTTGTGAAGACCAAATGAGCACCTGGCGCATAGTGGGAGCCAATAAAAATATATGAGTGTGCCCTTTCTCTTGGATTCCCATGTCCTAAAGATCCATGTGGGGCAGGATACTCAGAAATCTGAAAGTTGAAGGATTTTCAACCTTTTCTGGCCCAAGGGTTTCTAATCTGGAACAAGGGGTACAACGATCAACTCCAAAGGGTCTAAAAGCCCCTGAAATGATGTATGACATGTTGTGGTATGGTTATTTTTCTTGACGTGTCCACAGCCCCCAAAATTTAAAACTATTGGTCAAAAGTAGACACCTTATCTTCTCCTCTATATCCAGGAAGGAACAGTGATTTGTCCACAGTGATTTTCATATATTTAAAAACATTCCTTTATTCAGAAAAATGTTTTTGCATTTGATGCTTAGGATATTCTGCCCTTGTGGGTTTTCCAGACAGGAGAAGAAGATGGGAATTTACCCGCACCTGAGTTAGTGGCCGGCACAGAGCTAGACCCGGCTCCTGCTCCAGGACTTCTCTTTCTATTAATCTATCCCATGTGCAGTAGCTGTGCTTGAGTCTCAGGCCCTGGAATCAAGACCTGAAATATCCCCAGGCTGGTTTAGCACAGCAGTGGGGGAAGAACCACATATTTTGAAGTGATTAATGCTAGTTAAATGACATGCAAATGAGGCAGGTCTGCATCTTTTTAATCCATCAACTGGGGCATTTCTCAATCTATCAGCTCTGGTTATCCTGTCCTTTTGTTTTCTTAGGCTACCTCCTCACACAGACTCACACACCCTAACTTAGGTCAGTAAACAACACACTCACAAATCACTGGCTTATCAAGAAATGGTCAAGGCTCTTTGGCCTTGTACCTATTCCAACCTGAACACTAGCCAGGACTTGTAGTCACAATGGTGCCCAAAATATCTATGTCTTAGAAAAGCAGAGAAATGGCCTTGTTCTAGGACCCCTCACCTTGTATCTTTCTCTGGCCCTAGAAGAGACCTCTCATCTCAACTTCTTGGGTCAGACTGGCCTTTAGGTGCAGCCACTGCGAGTCACCTGAGTTAAATGGCCTGTGGTCAAGGTGCCACACATCTCCTAATGCCCTGTCCCACAGGTCCCATCGAGATTGCCCTCCAGAGCCTGCCCAACACCACATCAGCCCTAGGACCAAACCCCTCCTCAATTCCAAGAGACTAGAGCTCCAAAGAGTTCCTACAGGCTTCCCAGATTCTAAGGATGGTGAGACTTGTTGCCTTAGGAAATGCTGGGCCTTGGAGTCAGGGTTGGGTTCCATCTCTGGCTCTACGGTATAGGCTATTATCTATGTGACCCTAACAAGGGAGTTAACATTCTAAACTTCAGTTTTCTTGTCTCAACTTAAGATTAAAATGCCTACCTTACAGGGTCAGCATGAAGATTTTAAAAGGCATTAATATCTATATAAACACAAAGTACCATACGTGTTATAAGAGCTTACTTTGTGCCAGACTGCAAAGTATATGACATGCATCATCCCATTTGGTTATCATTTGGTTATTTGTCCCCACCCAAATCTCATGTTAAAATGTGATCCCCAATGTTGGAGGTGGGGCCCGGTGGGAGGTGTTTGAGTCATAGGCACAGATCCCTCATGAATGTCTTGGGTCATCCCCTTGGTGATAAGTGAGTTCTCACTCTTAAGTTCACACGAGGTTCTGGTCATTTAAAAGTGTGAAGCACCCACCCCCCTCCCTCTTGCTCCTGCTCTTGCCAAGTGAAGTGCCTGCACCAGGCACCATGAGTAAAAGCTCTCTGAGGCCTCCCCAGAAGCAGATCCAGGTGTTATGCTTCTGGTGCAGCCCACAGAACCGTGAGCCAATTAAACCTCTTTTCAATACAAATTACCCAGTCCTGGCTACTTATAGCAATGCAAGAATGGCCTAATACAGTAGGTGTTATATCTATATTTTAATCAGATTAAGAAACTGAACTTCAAAGAGGTTGCATAGATAGCCCAAGGTCACACAGCTAAATAACTGGCACAGCCTTTGCGAGGTCCAAGCCCATACTCTTTATGAGTATTACAATCAATAGATATTAGTCCTTCTGTCATCATTGGCTTCTTCCCCCAGGTGATTGAGGGTACATAGATATTTCTTTTTTTTTTTTTTTTTTTTTTTTGAGGCGGAGTTTTGCTCTTTTTGGCCAGGCTGGAGTGCAATGGCACAATCTCGGCTCACTGCAACCTCCGCCTCCTGGGTTCAAGCAATTCTCCTGCCTCAACCTCCTGAGTAGCTGGGATTACAGGCGCCCGCCACCATGCCCGGCTAATTTCTTGTATTTTTAGTTGAGACAGGGTTTCACCATATTGGCCAGGCTGATCGCAAACATAGATATGTCTTAAAAGAAGGCAAGCAAAAGAACCTCATCTGCCCTAAGGAGGCTTAATATAATCAAAATAGTCCACCTAGCCTAGGGAATGGCTTTGATCTTGGCTCTAAGCTCCATCTTGCTGAGCCCTGGTAAGTGGCATCTGAGATCTGTGGGATGGAGAAAGGCGCCAACCCAGGGAAGAACTGTCTCACTCTTCTTGTGGTGGAGGAAGCCAGGCCAAGCAGAAAGCCACTGTTCTAACCCCAACCCCAGAGGTGTTAAGTGAGTAGCCTCCTCCCACACGCTGGCGGACCCCAGCCAAGCCCCACCCTGTTCCTAGAGCCAATGCCCCATTTGTACCTCTAGTCACCTAAGTGTCCAAGGTTACAGTTATCAGGCACCTTGCCAACTCATTCCACAACCCATCCATCTAGACCTTGGTGTGCCCAGCATCTTTGCTCCAAGTGGGACCAGACCTTTTAGCAACTCTGTCCCACCTCCCTCCACACCCCTCCACCAGCTCTTAGTGCCCCTTCACACCCAACGTGCTTCAGATGGTGGCTGTGGCTGAATGGAGTTCTCCTCCTCCTCCCTCAGAGAGTAAAGGGGGAATAGACCTATCTTGGGAAAGACACACACACACACACAGAAGCACAGTCAGAGAAATATAAAGTCCAGGACCTGATTTCATCATTCTTAGCCTAACCTTGCAAGCTACTAAATCAAAAGTAAGATATTTCTTATACAAAGGAGGTATTCAGTAAATACAATGGCTAAATAAATGTTTCAAATTCAACTAAGAGATAAGGACCATAAACCATGTGCAGGCATTGCACTGGGCAGTTTGCCTGTATTATCTCTCTTAACTCTTGCAACAACTCCATGATATCATTGTCATTATCTCAATTTTCAGATGAGAAAATTGAGGCTCAGGGAGGCAAAGTAATTGCCTGTCCTCAAACAGCTAATAAAAAGCAAATCTAGGACTGAGCTCCAAGACAGCACGAAGCCATCTGTGATGGTTGCTATTAAGTGTCAACTTGACTGGATTGAGGGATGCCTTGATGGCTAGTGAAGCACTTTTTCTGGGTAGTCTGTGAGCGTCTGTCAGTTTCCAGAAAAGATTGATGTAAGTCAGCGGACTGAGAGAGGAAGACCCGACCTCAGTGTGGGCAGGCACCATCCAGTGGGCTGGTGGCCCAGCTAGGACAAAGAGGGCAGAAGAAGGGGCTATGCTTGGGTCTCACTCCCCATTTCCTCCCATCCCACTCCCTCTCTGCCTCTTTCGCTCTTTCTCTCGCTCTCTCTCTCTTCTGGAGTAAGAGGCCTTTGTTTCCTCTTGCCTTTGGACATCAGACTCCAGATTCTTGGGCTTTTGGATTTGGGACTTGCACCAGAGGCCTCCCAGGGGCTTTCGGGCCTTTGGCCTCAGACTGGGGGCTGCACTCTTTGCTCTCCTTGTTCTGAGGCTTTCAGAGTTGAACTGAGACACGCTGCCAGCCTCTCTGGGAGCCACACTACTGGCTTCTGTCATCTTCCAGCTTGCAGAAAACCTATCTTGGGACTTCACCTTAGCAACTATGTGAGCCAATTCCCCCTAATAAATTCCCTTTCATATTTATCCCAGTGTTCCACCCCTCTGGAGAGCCCTGACTAATACACTGTCAAAGCCTTTGGCGTGAAACCAGAGCCACCATCCTGGTGGGGTCAACACTCAGCTGAGCCTTACAGGGACACTTCAGCAAAAATCGCCAAGGACTCTGACTCTGTTTCCCCAACCTCTTACCCCTGAAACTCCAGGAAAATATAGGAACAAGGCATTCTGGGGAAGATAAGGAAGTCTAGGGATTATGAGGTACAATGGAATGGGATCACCCTCCTCGGGTATTTTTGTCAATGGGATTCATGAGGCTGCAAGGTGTGAATGAGCAATTGCTATATTAAACGTTCCTGAAAAAGCTGTCTTCCTTTGGGCGTCAGCTCCTGACAGACAGAGAAAGCCTAGCGGGGGGTCTGAACTTCTTCCCCAGCCTCCTTCTTCATTCCTCCCCATCAGAAAGGAAAGGTGTAGAAAAAAATTAATTGGGAGAGGGGAGGAAATGAACCCTGAACCAATAGTAGCCCATAAATAGGCAGGAGCCTTTAATAAATGATTGCAAAATAAATGAGTAATTCTAGGAATGAATAATAAAAGAAAACGCTTATATATGGCACATACTCTATGCCAGGCCCTGTTCTAAATAAGTTTATCAATCCTTACAACCATCCTATGTCTAAGGCCCTAATTAGCCCCACATTATACTCAGGAGAACAGAGGCACAGAGAAGCTTACCTGACTTGCGAGGAAGTTGTACATAACTTCCAAAGGCAGGATTTGAACCCAGGTTATCTGGCCGCAAAGCCCGTGCTACTAACTCTCCCTCTTATTCATGACCCAGACTCCAAAGCAGTTTCTTATCCACTGACCTTCACAGTAAATCTGTGTGGCAGCCGTCGGGTCAGGCATTACAACACTCAGTTTATAGACAAGAAAACCAAGGTGCTGAGAGGATGGAAACTTGCCAAGGACACATAGCTGGAAGTGAAGAAAAGAACTCGGGTCTCTTGTCACCTGGTCCATGCTTCCTTATGTGACAGTTGCCTCCCAAGAATAAGGCAAGGGGTGAGGAAGTTGGGAGCAATAGAATCCTGGCTAGTCCAGTCTGGAAAGGGTCTTGGAGATCAACTAGACCAATTGCCTTATTTTGTAGGTGAGAAGATTGAGGTCCAGAGGAGGCCAGCGGCTTGCTTAAGGCCACAAGTGAATTGGCAACTAAAATGCCAGTCTGCCGACTGCCAATCAAGCCAACTGCACCATGCTCTTCTTCCAAAGAAGTCAAGGGTCACAGCATTTGGCAAGGGAGAGATGCACTAAGTCAGGCACCATGAATTAAGCTCCTATTATGTTCCAGCACCTCATGCAAATGCATAGAATGCAAAGAATTGTATCCCCTTCCTTGCTATTGGGGAATATATATCTGTAAACAAAACAGTCAGAGCTCCTGCTTTCATGGACTTGACTTTCTGGTGGGGGATAAGTGAGAAAGAAAATACTATTAATAAAATCAAAGCAAGATTGGGAGATGAAGAGTGACAGTAGGCGGTGCACTTTTATGCAGGGTGGGCAGGGAAGGTCTCTTGGATAAGGTGACATCTAAGCAGAGACCTTTAGGAAGTCAGAGAGTTGGCCATACAGATTCATGTGAGAAGATCATTCCATGCTCAGGGAGTGCAAGGGCACAGTCAGTGAGGCGAGGTGGAAGAGGGCATGCATTGAGGCCAGTGCTGCAGGAGCAGAAGAAGCAAGGGGGAAGACAATGGGAAATTAAAGAGTAAGGTTGGGAAGGGGACTTGCAGATTGTATAGGACCTTGTAGGACTCTGGACTCTGCTCTGGGTAAGGTGGGAAGCCATAGGAGGCTTTTCAGCATAGGAGAAACTTAACTGGACATATTGTTTTCAGATCACCTCAGCTGCTGTTTTGAACAGACTCTAGGGGGCAAGGATAGAGTCTGGGGCCCAGTGAGAAGGAGACTGCAATCATTCAAGCAAGGAGCACGGAGGCTGGGATGGTTGCAGCAGAGAAGTTGGGGAGAAGCAGTTGGACTTTGGATACACACTAAAGGCAGAAGCAATGGGATTTGCTGGTGAACTGAGTATGCAATGTAAGAAAGACAAAGGCATCCAGCATGACTCCAAGTTTTAGGTCTGAGCCCCACCCAAGCATAAACCCTCTGCCCTCAGCAACAAATTCTGGCCCGTCCTGGGAGCCAAGGGCAAGGGCCCAAGTAGGCAGGCCTGGCCCTGACTTAATTACAAGATCAATCCAACCAGCTGCCCTGCCAGAAGGAGTGCCCCTGGGCCTCAGCTTGGCCAGCCCCTGGGGTGTAGCTCCTGGGCTTGTCAGAGGGAGTTGGCCTCACACCATGCCCTGGGTCCCATCCAGCAGGCCTGGCTGGCCCTGTCACTGGCTACCTGGAGCCCAAGAAAAGTCCAAAAGTCCAGTCCAGACTAGGCCTAGGCTATAAGATTTGGGGCACTGAGCCTACTGGGACTTGAATATCTAGGGCTCCTGGGAAGGATGAAGAACTGTGAATAGCTGACCTGACTCTTGAGGAGCTGACCGAGCTGCTGGGCTGGGGTGGGGGAACACTGAGTGCTGATCCATAGACTCAAGCCGATGCTCATTACCCAAACTAGAGAAACATGGTGGGCACTCCAGAGAAGGCTGATTCCAGAATGCCAGGCTCATTCCCAGCATGATAGACTGGAAACACTGCTCAGGGACTAGGTTGGGTCAAACCTGCAGAGTGCAGAACCTCAGCTCTCCCCACAAGGATCAGGGTGGAAGAGGAGGGGACCAATGACTGCGGTTTGTATGATGAGGAGCCTGCCTTGAGTTCCTCCCTGAGCTCCCCGCTGCTATTGTCCAAATGAGCTTACTGGGACATGGCATCTTTCCCCAGATCTAAAATGGGACCATACATAGTTCACAGGGCCTTCCCAGGGTTAGATGTCATGCAGATTTTCCAGGCAGAGCGTCTCCACTAGGCCCACAGCTGCCTCCCTCCAGAACTCCCCCAAAGATAATTCACATCCCCTGTGTCTCCCCAGTTGTAAAACTGCTTCAGGGCTTAGGTGAGCTCTTGGGGCTTAGGGGAGTTGGCCCGGCTTCAGAAATAGAACATCAGGAGCAGGTAGGGACCTTAGAAAGCATCTGATGCATTATACAGATGGGAAGGCCGAGGCCCAAAATGGAAAGGAACTTGTCCAAGAGCACAAAGTAAGTAGGTGATAAAGCCAAGAGCCCAGGGACTGGAATCCCAGTCAGGGCTGTCTCCATGATCCGTCATTCATCACCAGAGCCACGTGACCTCCCCTCACCTCCAACATTTCTCCCAATTCCGATAGCCTCATGGAGCTGAGGAGCTTCTCAGTGCTACCCGCCTGCCAGCAGTTCCCTCAAGCTTCCCACGATCTTCTGAAATGGAGCCATCCTATTTACAAAACGGTGTGGGGATTCGCCTACACGCAGCAGGGACCCCGAAAGTGTGATCGCCCCATGTTCTTTCCAGTTCTACAGATGCAGGTAGAAACCCGAGTTCAGGTTTCCTCAGGATGAATGATCCAGACACGGACTTCAGCAAGAGTCATTTGGCTCCACTGAGTGCACCTTTGGAGAAGCAGCTCGAGAGGTCCCCACCCTCACCTTGGGAGTGGCACCAGTCTTAGCCCATGGCCAGCGTGTCTTCACTCTGGGCCCTGGTATTCCCCACTGGTTCTCAGAAAACAAGCTGTTTTGGGATACCTCTCCTCTGCCGGCTGGTGGAAGGTGGGGATGAGGGCCATCCCTGGCCCAGGAACACAACCTTCATTTCTGCCCCCACTTTGCAGCACTTGGAGTACTCCCACATTCGAAATCTCATCTGAGCCTCACAATGACAGAGAGGTATGTATTGTTATTCCCTCTTGGCAGATGATGAAACTGGGCCAAGAGACACAAAAAGACTTTCTGGGGCCATGCAGCTGGTTGGACGGAGTACTGGGTCTAAGCAGAGTTATGGAAAGCAGTTTTTTATGCCCTGATGTGTCACAGCCATCCTGGAAGACAGAATGACCAAGTGGAAGAATCACCAAGAACCCTTATATTCCCTGACCTGCCAAGGTCACTGAGCATGAGGTAGCAGGGCGAAGATTGGAACCAGGACCCTGGTTCCCAGCCTGGTGCCTGCTCTATCTTACCAGCCTTGGTGATCTTTGCGGTTAGCCACAGAGGATCGTATCTACCATGCAGCCTCATTATGAAAAGTAATGTAGGCCCTAGGCCTGGATCAGAAAACACAGTGACAATAACCATAACAGGGGACATCTGTTACCTGCCAGGCATTGCACTGGGTACTTTGTATGCCCTGTTAACAATCCTCGCACCACCGTCTCAAGGGAGATATTATTAGCTCCATTGCACAGATGAGGAGACCAAAGCTCAGAAAGAATTAGTGACTTGCTCAAGGTGACACAGTTAACAGGTGCTGAGTCCGGGACCCAGAGCTGCTGGATCAACCTTCGTCACTGACAGCATTCTGTTCTCAGCTTAGACATCACCATCTCAGGGGGGGTCTTACCTAAACAGCTCCCATCTAAGTGGCATCTGCCCTCTCTTCGTTTTCTTCAGAGCATGTGTCACAATCTGCAATTCATTTCATCTACTAATTCACCTGTTTATCTTCTGTCTCTCCCACTAGAATGTAAGCCCCAAGAGGGCCAAGACCTTGTCTGTCTTGATTACTGCAGAATGCCTAGAACAAAACCTAGCACACCATAGCACTCACCAGGTATTTACTGAATGAACAAACGAAGACTCTCAATGTTGGCCAACAAGAGCATGCCCAAACAGCAGTGAGTCTGGCAGTGCCTGGGTGTGTAGAGGAAACTGCAGGCCTAGTGGTGGAGAGAGCATGAATTTTGAAGTCAGCCTAACCTCAACATTTAGTGGTTGTGTGGCCTTGGGCAAGCTCGAGGCCTTGGTCTTCTCATTGGTTAAAAGGCAACAGTAATACTTGCTTTCAAGGACTGCTGTGAGGATTAAATAAGATAATAGAAAGCAAGCACCCAGAAAGGATCCTGACGTATCCAGGCTCTAGTACAGAGCAGCTCTCATCCTCTTCCCTGCTAACAATGAATTTCAGGACTCCAAGCTGAGAAAGGTCTGGGACCCCACTTGCATTAGAGGCGGCGGCTGCTGGCCCAGCCTCAGAGCCTGTCACTGCTCCCCCACCCTGTGCATGCAGCAGCCAATTTCAAACTATGTAAATATGCCAGGCTGCCTCCTCAGCAAGGGAACAGCTATACTTAGTGCAATTTGCATGTATTTTAAGCTGACTTGTTCCAGGCAAAGAAGCCGATTCATGAATTTAATAACATTCACAGAGTCCCAGAATGTCAGCACTGGAAGAGACGTCAGAGACCATCTAGCCCAGCCCCTCCTTTGGCAGAAGAGGATGCTGAGGGCAGTGGCATGGTCCAAGGTCATGCAGCTGGCAGGGAACAGGGCCAGCATCAGACCCCTGGCTTCTGATTCCATGTCCAGGGTTCTTTTCAGGGCCATCTGTATTTCGCTCTATCCCCTCCCAGCACTCATTTAAGCAAGGATTGAATGTTCAGCCCTCAGATCCTCATGCTTCCTGGACCACCTTAGCTCAAGGGGAGAAGTCTGGCCTCCAAGGCTACCTTGAAGGTGGGAGTGAGACTGTGGGTGTGGTCTGGAGGCAAGCTGGGGACTGGCCGTGTGCAAAGGACAAAACAGATCAATGGAGATCCAGTCCATGAATCCTTCCCTGGCTGGGCACTGAGTGACCGACAGAATGAAATCTTGCAAGCATCCTCACTCCCCACAACAGCCCATTAAGATGCATTAGGTCATCCAGGGATTTACTTAGAGCATATTTTTAACTCTAGTTGACAGCTATTGCAATCTGCCTGCCCGGCGAGCCTTCTCTCTTCTTCTGGTAACAGCACACTTCTTTGTTTTATGGGAACAGTCCCCCTGCATTGATTCCAATGGAGCTGTCAATCAAAGGGCCCTAAGACCTTGCTGCAGGGCTGGGCACGTGACCTGCATGGAATCTGGTTGGAGGTTCAGGGGTAGTCATGTCATCCAAACAGTCCTTTTAGGAGAGTGAGATGCATGCCCAGGGGGAAAGGGTGTTGTTCTTTTCTCTAAAGCAGCTGTGGAATGATGCAAGCTGGTGCAGACAGTGGCTAGCTTTGCCACCACGAGGAGAAAGCCTGGCTGAGAAAGAAGTTGGCACAGTGGAAAAGAGAGCTTGACATGAAGAGACCGTGTACTGATGCCATTATTGAAACGTCTGGATCCAATCGTGCCTGAAGCCCATCTGCACTCCCTTAGGTTTCCCTATTTTCTCAAGCTGGTCTAGGTTGGATTTATTCCCTTGCAACTGAAACACTCCTGGGGAAGGCACTAATCAAGATTATCTCCTGAGGTGATCCATCCCATGAAGTGGCTCCCTGCCACAAAAATCATACTTCTTTGCAGGAAGGGTCCTAAGCTGTCCTTCTTAAGCTTTATAGGAGTCTCTTCATTTTAACTGAGTGTATTTGGGGCCTACACTGTGCCAGGTGCTAAATGTTTAGTTACCCCACCAATCTTCTGACAAATATTGTTATTGACCCTATTTTAGAGGTTAGGAAACTGATGCTCATAATGGTCAAATAACCTCACCAGGGTCACATAATAACTAAATGTTTGAAGTAGTCTCAAATGTAAGTATTTTGACTCCCAGTGCATTAATTAAAGTATCAAACAATGATGATGATGATGATGATGAAGCTCATTGCTACAATTATTGAGCACGTATTGGGTGCCAGACAGTATGTTAAACACTTCTCATATGTCAACCACTTCTCCCAAAAACCTTAAAACTTTACAGCAGAGGAAACTGAGGCTTGGAGTGTTTATGTAACTTGCCCAGCTAGTAAAGGGGAGCTGGGGCTGGCCCTCACCAGAGCCCTGCTGCCTCTCATTGCAGGATCCTAGATGATAACCTCAGGGCCAAGTGTGTTCATGCTGCTCAGACCCTTCCTGAATTCACTGACTGGATTCTCACTTCCTCTCCCCTCAGCTTCTGTCTCTTTAGGCTAAGGAGAGACCCTATTGTTGTAGGGATGGCTCCAGTTCCTCTGTGTTGTCCGGCATCCCCCCAAGTCAGGCCTGGGCTGGCCAGGCTCCCTGAGACACTGTCATCTGGATCCTCACCCTCAGGAGCCAAGGCCAAGCCAAGGGCACATTTATAGCCCCTCTTTTTATTGCTGCTCTCAGGGAAGGGTGGACAAAGGACCAAACAAGGGTGGCAGAACCCTTGCCAGGGGCTACCTGAGGTTGGTATGAGTAGGCTCCAGGTTCTCCACCTCTCTGGCCCTTGTGGCTCTGCTTCCACCTCCCTGGGAGCCCCGCTTGGAAGCATACTGGACTGCTGGTCCCCTGGGGACAGAGGCAGTGGCTCCACTGCATTTATTTACAGAGCAAAAATGGTGCCTGCCTGGAACACTGGCACACTGCCTACCTTCCATGAATAGCTCTATGACCTAGGCCAAAGAGTCCCCTTATTTGGGAGAGGGAAAAAGATCTTTACACAGAACAGCAGAATGGTGCAGAATTGTTATCTTTTGTCAAGACCACCTCTCCCAGACTCTAGGCCCCATTCTCTTAGGACAGGCACTTCCTGCCCACTGCCAGACCCTGTAGATATTCCTCAGTGTGACAGATAGTCCAGATAGTCAATGATGGGCGGGGCTTCTGTGGGCTGTGCCCCACCTGAGACACCAAGGGGAGACATGGGTACCCGCCTAGGTGGGAAGGAACTTGTCTTTTGGTCACCTAGTCAGCCAGATAGCTTCCCAGGCTGGGACTGGCCTAAAAATGCCAAGTCAGCCTTGGGAGGAAACACCTAGGACAGCAGGCACACATGGCTCCATCAGGGCTGTATCCCTGAGGTTCTCCTTCAGTGTCCACTGGGGCCATTTTGTCCAGTCCTCTGCTCTTGATTCTTCCATAAGTGAGAAGTTACATACACTGTTTCATAAAGCATCACAGGGAGAACAATTCCAAGGATTCTCCCAGCCCCTCATCCAAGAGGTGATTGCCCTTCGGCCTCATAGGAGCCTGTCTTTGACCAAACTTCAGCCTTCCTTCCTCCTTGCCCTTTTTCCACCTCCACTCAGTGTCCCCTGAGCCCTGAGTCATGCGGGGCAGCTGTTGGAGTAGACAGAGAACCAGCTTTAGCTTCCAGCCTGGGTTTAAATCACGGCCTCCCAATCAATAGCTGTGTGGCCTTGAACAGACAGCTTCTCTGAACTTTGGTTCCCACATTTGTATAAAAGGGATAACTCCCTCCTTGCCAGGTGCCTGTAAGGCTTAGAAAGTATGTATATAAAGTTGCTGTCCTAACTGTTTAGTAAAAGATAGCCACTATTGTTTTTGCTGTTATTTTCAATAGCTTATCCCTCTAAAATCCCAGGTCCTCTTCCCCATCAGATCTCACACCCACAGCTGCTTTCCTGGACAAACACTCCCTGATACTCTGTTCTTATGCCCACCCCAAGCTCTCACTTTGCTGAGGCTTTCTGGAGACAATGTTCCAGTCCCAGGTGTCATGTCCAACAGTGAGAGAGTTAGAGCCACTCATACCCCTCAGGGTGTCTGGCATGGAGATCTGATTTCTTCTCTCTGTCCTCATTAGACCCCTAGAAAAAGCCCCATGTGGCCAGCAAAGGCCTACAACCTAGTCTCAAGCAAACCCCCTCAGAACACTCATGAACCCTCACAGTGAATACAAAATTTAACTCAAAATGTATCATAGTCCTTAAGGTAAAACATAAAACTATAAAACTTCTAAAAGAAAACTGGGGAGAAAAATCATTATGACCTGGGTAAAGAGTTCTTAGAGATGACACAAAAGCAAAATCCAATTTTTAAAATGATAAATGGAACTTTGTCCAAATTAAGAACTTTTGCTCTGCAAAAGGGACTGTTAAGAGAATGAAAAGACAAATCACAGATTGGAAGAAAAATATCAGATTGGTACAAAAGTAACTATGGTTTTTGCCCTTGAAAGTAATGGCAACCTAATATTTGTAAATTACATATCTGACAAAGGACTTGTATTCAGTATATATAAAGAACAACACTCAACGCTAAGAAAACAAACAACTTTTTCCCAAAATGGGCAAAATATTTGAACAGACACTTTATCAAAAAAGACATATGGGTGGAAAATAGGGACATTAAAGAAATGCAAATTAAAACCATGATGAGGACCACTAAACACTTATCAAAATGGTTAAAATAAAAATTCCTGACAATAGCAAGTACTAGTGAGAATGCAGAGCTACTGGACTCATATATTCCTGGCCTCAAATTTCTACAGCCACTGTGGAAAACTATTTAATAGTTGCTTTTAAAGGGAAACATATATGTAGTATATAACCTAGTAATCCTACTCTTAGATAATTATCCAAGAGAAATGAAAACTTGTGTTCACAAAAGAAAACATTACATGAATGTTTATAGCAGCTTTACCATAATCACTAAAAACTGGAAACAATGCAGATGTCTTTCAGTAACTTAGTCACTGGATAAACAAACTGGAACACCCAAACAATAGAGTACCATTCAGCAATAAAATGTAATGAACGATGTATACACACAATGACATGGATGAATCTCAAGTGCATTTTGCTAAGTGAAAGAAGCCAGATCCAAAATATATCCTTATATTTATAGAAGCATATAATATATCCTTTTATTTATAGAAGTTTCTGGAAAAGGCAAAATTATGGGGTTAGAGAACAGATCAGTGGTTTCCAGGGATTACAGTTAGCAGCAGGGGAGGAATCAGCTACAAAAGGATCACAAAGGGATTATTCGGGGTGATGGAACTATTCTGTATCCCCGTTGTGGTAGGTATACAACTCTATGCATTTGCCAAGATTCATAGATCTGTAATCCACAGAGAGTGCATTTTACTGCATGTCAATTTAGAAACCTAAATCTAATAAAATGATTTTAAAAACAAAAAGAAGAGACTATAAGTAATAAAAGGAAAAATAAGCTAGCAGAGTTCAGGAAACAAATGAAAGAAAAATAAAAATATTGTAAAGGTGAAAAAAATAGAATACACATAACTAAAATGCTGTCAACAACATGGTAGACAGGATAGAAGAAATTATAAAACAATAAAGAAAAGAATAAAGATATGAAAATATTGCACAAAACATTAAAAATACAAATGACAAAGAAGATCCAGAGTCAATAGCATTGCTGTTTGTGGAGAAGGGAACAGATAATAGGATAGATTAAGTATTCGAAGACACACTAAAGTAAAAGAAAACATTCCTGAAAAGCCTGCATGTCAAAAAGGGTACACAGTGCTTTAGGAAACAAAAAATCTGTGAAGAACAATCTATATCAAAACATTTTGCTGAAATTATTCAACTTCAAGGATAAAGAAAGAATCACAGGGACATTAGAAAAGAAAAAAGGTAAAATACAATGTGAAAAATATTATTTTGTTAGTTAACTCATTAGTTTAACCAATACATATGGTGCACCTACAATGTGCCAGGCACTGTTAGGTGCCAGAGTGATAAATAAAGCAAAGTCCCTAATTTCATGGAGCTTAAATTCTGGCAAAAGGACAGTCAATAAAAAACATTTATCAGTTATGGTATGAGTTATGAAGAATGATAAGCCAGGATGTGGGGATTAAGACTGGTAAAGACATTTTATTTTTATAGGTGGTCAGAAAAGATCTCCCTGATAAAGTCACTTTGAACAGAGGTCTGAAGGATGTGAAGAAGGAGCCATAAGGATATCTGAAAGGTAGAGCATCCCAGAAAAAAAAAATCAAGTGCAAAGATCCTGAGGTGGGAATCTACATAAAGGCTCAAAAACAACAAGAAGATTGTGGCTAGAACACAGTGAGTGAGTGAGTGAGTGAGTGAGTGAGTGAGTGAGTGGTAGAAATGATGTCAGAGAAGTCATCTGGGCAAGATCTTGTAAAGTCTTCTAGGATATAAATGCTAAATGTGATAGAAAACCATTAGAGGGCTGAGAACTGGGGAGTGGCATGATGTAATTTTAAGATAATAACTTGGTATTGTATGAATTACCTGGAGAATAGAATTCAATAGGATGGGTGGGGTGGGATGGGATGGGATGGGATGGGATGGGATAGGATGGGATGGGATAGGATAGGATAGGATAGGATAGGATAGGATAGGATAGGATAGGATAGGATAGGATAGGATAGGATAGGGTAAGGTAAGGTAAGGCAGGGTAGGGTAGGGTAGGGTAGGGTAAGGTAGGGTAGGGTAGGGTAGGATAGGATACAACAGAATTGGATGAAACAGAAGCAAGAAGTCTCTTAGGAAGTAATTACAACAGTGCCAGAGAGAAGTGTGATGGCTCATGCTAGGGTGGAATCAGTGGAGGAAATGTGAAGTAGTGAGAATCCAGATATATTTTGAAGGTAGAGTCACCCTTTTTGCTGAAGGACTGAAAGTGAGATATGAGAGAAAGGATAATTCTAAGGATTTGGCCTGGACAACTGGGTGAATGGTGGTGCCATTTGTTGTACTGGGAAATGATGGAGGAATAGTTTTGGGGAGTTGAGCTTTGGTCATGTGAACTTTGCCCAGCCCATTAGCTATCTCAGAGGAAATGCCTCAGACTTTCCCTTAACAACACAGTCCCAAAGACAGGGAAATCATGCCTACAACATTCCAAGAGAAGAAAAGCATAGCTTAAACAGGCATGTCACCTTCAAGTATAAAGCCAGTGGACAGATACCATCATACATGCAAAATAAGAAGACTCCTAGAAAAAATTATTTGACTATAAATCTAGCCAACCAAATAGTAAATCAAAATAACTTGAAGATCAAATTTGTGGTTTACAAAAACCAACAACAACTAGTATTAAGCATTCCATAGTCCACAGTCCATAAAGATTTACATAGAACAGAAAGTAAATGTCATTACTTTGGACAATGTGAAAGTAATGCATTTAATAAATATCTTGTGTTGTGGAGGAGGAGAGGGGAAAGAGCAACATGCTGATTTACTCACTTTCATAGCAGAGAGTCATTAGATAGTGTCTAAAATTCGAAATTTCACTTAAAATTTACTCTACTCTCTCAATACTTATTTTCTCTTAACTCTGAGGGCTATTTTACGAACTAATATTTCTTGTGAAAAAAACATTTATCTGATGTTCAGAAATTCCATGTCAATTCCTTGAGTTTCCTATTATCCCAGTAAAGCTTTCAGTTAAATTAAATTTACTACATTTTAGTTAAAATGCTACATATGGTGTGATTCCATCCTGGTGAAATTATTTCTCTCTCTATCACTTTGTGCCCATCCATCTACTCCTCTCTATGCATATACACATAAAGACATGACCAAAATAGTTACCACAGATTTTTAGTGATGATTCCTTTTGAGTAATACGAATAGGGTGATTTTTTTCTCAATCAAATATTTTATTTTACAAGCTGGGTGCAGTGGTGCAGGCCTGTAATCCCAGCTACTTGGGAGGCTGAGGCTGGAAAATTGTTTGAGCCCAGGACTCCAAGACCAGCATAGCCAACATACCAAGACCCCATCTCAAAAGGAAATCTTTTAAAACTAGCTATTTACATGTAAATACAAAAGGTAATTAATTTTTAAAACTGAATAGCAAGCACAAACTCAGCTGGGTAAGTAAAGAACAATATGTGACGTCTCCAGGAAAAGGTAAATGGAAGAGTCCTGTGGTCACTATCTGGTTCCAGCTTCCCTAAGGATTTGCACGAGCCCAACTGGGGAGGTAAATGGTCAAGGTCGTGACTGAGTCTTGGAGAACCTGGGGCTTCCCATACTAGGGGGATCTGGTGGCACTGAAGTTTGGGCCAAGGACAAGCATGTAGCCATGACACTGCATGGTGCAGAGTTGGGGAAGGAAAGGAGGGTGGTCAATTTTGTTTCTGAACTCACTATGGACAATTTCCAGTTCATGTCCTCAGGTACTAGGCATGTGGGCTTTCAGAACAGTAAGAAGCATCTACTAGAAACCCAATAGGGTCTCAGAAAACAACACTGCCTAACTACCAAGGTTATTTTGTGATGGGCCAGAAGAATCAGTATGTTCTGATATCAGGAAGGCATGCAGCAGAGCTTCTCTCACAGACCTGTGGACAACTTAGAGAAATCTCAAGGAAGGGTGGTGAGGGAGGCTGCAATAGCACCCAGTGTTGACGCTGTCCTGATCAGCATTCCCACTGACGATTTGGATGAGGACACGGACAGCATGCTGATCAAACCTGAGAGGGCATGACCCAGAACAGATGTCACAGTCCATCTTAAGAGATTCTTCAGGCAAAGACTTTGGAGCTTTAGTTGGCTTGTCTCCGTATTAACCAATCGTGTGATATTACTCCAACAAGTCATTACTTGGAGATCTCCACATTGTCTCTGCTTGGGCTTTGTAGAACATGTTGTTTCTTCTGCCTAGCTATCCTTCACCTTCTTTATTAAGGTATGGCTTTCTCAAAACTCAGGTGTCAGTCCTCAATGCCAGAAAAGCTGCCACTTCCCCAACTACACTTCTGTGCTTTCTAAACCATTAGTTCAAACCTACCATAGCTTTCACCAAAGTGCCCTGTAAACATGTATCTTCTTCGTCTGTCTTTGCAACTAAACCCTAAGCTCCTGTTCTGAGCCCTCTGTATCCCCATCAGTGAGAAGACTGCCCAGTACATAAATGCTTGCTAAATAGATAGAAGAATGGATGAAGTACAGTTGACTCTCCCGCTAGAGCAGCAAAACCTAGGGACAAATAAATGGACAACAATCTGTGACTACATCCTCTCTAGATCCAACCTCCGAATGTTCAGTAACCTCAGCACTAATTCCAAGCTTGAAGAACTCAGGATTGTAGATGCTTCTGAGTTTTCTAAGCAGAACTCAAGCTCATAAGCTCAGTTTGCTCACTGGTGAAGTGGGCAGATTGGACTGACAGCTCTAGCTAGGGCTTGGATGTACAGAGCAGTTGCACAGGGCCTCATGGTCAGAAGGGCCCACTCTTGGCTTACAGCTCTGCAATTGCCACCTTGAAATTATTAGTTTTTGAAAAAGGAGCCCTACATGGTTCTTTTGCATTGAGGCCTGCAGATTGTGTAGCTAGTTCTGTTCATCTATGAGTATAAAAGAATCCATTTTATTTTTATTATAAGCAAAAACCATTTGATAAATATTCAAACCTACGGCAACTTGCATCTCATCTTCATCAATTCATTGAACAAATACAGGTCCATGTTTTGCATAGTTGTCATCAGAAAATACATACTACTTAGCCCCTTTGCCACTTCTTGTTTTGTATGTACACATTTGTCCATGCCTTGACATTGTTCCCATATTTGTCATTCTTAATAGCTCTATCATATTCTAGAATGCAAATAGACTGTGAGTTTCAAACCAAACCCCAATGGTTGGGCATTTGGGTTGCTTCCAATTTTTAAAAATAGCATTTCTAAGAACAAGTAAATACAAATTACTTCCTTTTGTCTCTTTTGGGGTATTTCCTTGGAGTATATTCTGAGAAGTGGAATTCTCAGGTCAAAAGGTAGGAATAACTTTATAGCTCTTAAATATTACTGGATTGCTCTCTTGAAAAACTGAACCAATTTATGGAGCCCTCATCAACAGATACATGTAACTGCTTCTAAAGTTCTGAAATAATTATGTTTTACTAGTTTAATATGCACATAATGATATCTTAACATTGAAAATAGCCTAAATGTTCAACAGTAAGGTATTGAGTTTTAAAAGCTTGGTAAGTTTGTACATTTTTTCTATACGATCAGTACAAATCAATTTTTAAAAGCACCCAAGTCCCCTGGCCTGGCTCACGGTCAGTCCTCGCTCTCAGCCTTGGCCACTCTGTGTTCAACAAGATGACCTTAAGTATGGATCTCCCACTGGGCAGAAGGCTTTTGCCCAGAGCTGTGCTACAGAGGCAGAGAGGACAAGCTGGGTCCTGGGGCCACCACTTCAAGCTGTGCACCTCCATGAACCTCTGGCTTTTACCTGGGAGCTAGGGGTGATAACCAAGTGCCTTGCAGGGTTAAGGAAGGATTTCATAAAATAATGTAGGAAGCAGGCTCCCTGAAAGCCTCCAAGTCAGTTGCTGTCATTATTTTCTAAGAAAGTTGGCTGTGCAGAGCAACTAATCAACACTGACTCGCCCTGTGAAATCTCAGCCATCCTCAGAGAGGAAGAAACAACTGTGAACCCCTATTACATCTACAAGCTGTGCACCTTCCAGGTGGGAGGATTACAATCTGGTACCCACTCCCACCTCCCCCAAACTTAGCAATAATACATATTTATTTAGCAAACATTTAGAAAGCACTTACCATGTGGCAGGTACCCTTCCAAGTGTTTCACCAAATTAACCCACTTAATCATCCTAACAATGTAGTGAGGTAGGAACTAGCCCCATTGTACAGGTGAGAAAATAGAGGCAGAAGAGGCTGAGTGACTCACTCTCACCAAGTCATACAGACGGCTAGTGACGGAACCAGGATTCAAGCCAGGCCTTCTAGCTCTAGCTCGTCCTCTAGAGTCCACAGGCTTGTCCTCTAAGCTATACTGTCTCTAAATGAATCAAGGGACACCAGAACCAAAATAGACCCTGGAGTCTATTTGAAATAAATTCTAGAGTCTATTTGATGATTCTACTCTAACTCCTTCACTTTTAAGATAAGGAAACTGAGGGCTTTTCAGAGATGATGACCCACCCAAAAGCACACAGTGTGCAGTGGCCAAGCCGGATGGAAACCCAGGCCTCCTTATCCTTGAGGCAGCTCTTCCTACCACATCTTTTTGCAGCCCATCTGCTGCCTTGGATCAGTGACTGGGCAGATCCGTTTCCGTGGGATAACCCTCGCAGCCCTCTTCTCTGAGGGCCCAACCCAGAGAACTGAGCAGTTTCAATGCTGTTAAAAAAGCAGACTGGACAGGTCAGCCCTGGAAAAATCAAGCTGAGACCAGTGCTTTCTAAAGAAACACCAAACCCACCCTTTGTTCTGGCCAACAGAGCAGTTTTTTCAGGTTGTTTCTGTCCAGAGGAGTCAAGGGCTGGGCAAGAGAAGCAGCTAAATCACATTTCTTTTAAAGAACATAATGCAGAGGGACAGAGGAAGAAGGATTCTCCATCAATCCAGGAGAAGCACTTTCTGCCAGGATGGGCGCCAGGAGGGGCCCTCCCCTGCCCCCTCCCCCCAGTTTTATCCACCCTCTCCCCTCCCGACCCCCATGCCCAGTCGCCCCCACCCCCACGTCAGAACTCCACGTGTCTCCTTCTAAGATGAGTTCTGTTGCTTCCTCTCCCTCCTCCACCTCTGCTGATGTGCACCTTCTTTGAGCTTCTATGGTTATAAATAAATGATGTCTGGATTGATTAGAGGATCAGCTTTCCCTCTAGCAACAACCCTGAACTCTCATTTCTGAAATTTTGCTGCCCACTAGCATCACTCAAGTTTCATTTTGCACTGGGACTTTAGTGGAAAGAGTTCTCACCTGGGAATGCAAGACGATCACGAAACCTGGAGTCAGGAAATGCGGGTTTGAATCCTGGTCTTGCCACTGACTCTCTACGTCCTTGGGCAGATCACTCCATGATCTGCAACTCAGTTAGTGCCATTAAAGGGGATGGTAATTTCTAGCCACGTTCCTTACAGAATTATTGAAAGAAGTGAATAAGTGTGAAAATTCAGTAAACTATAATGCCCAATGCAAATGTCAGCAGTAGAGCCGCTCCGCCCTGCAGCTGGCTAGCTTCATGACCCTGGCACAGCTCTATCTATTGCTTTACTCTTCACTTTCACCTCCACATTAGGAATAGTCACACCTACTCTTCCCCAATGCCTCCTAACATTGTTCTGGGGACAAAAATGACATACACATGCAAAGATACTTTTAAACAATAAAATATTTCTTCTCTCTGATATTAGTGACCTTAAATGATGTTTATGGAGAGTTTTAAGTGAAAAATTCAGGATACAAAATTGTGTATATAGTAAAAAAAAAAAAAAAAAAAAAAAAAGCAAATCCAGAGAAGAGACTAAAAGAAAAGATAACAAAATGCTAACAGTAGATGTCTCAGATTTATTAGAATTCTTTATCTGCTTTATGAATTTTGTTTTTCCCTACAATGAGCATGTTTAATAATCAACAGAGAATTTTTTAATCAGGCTTTTTTTAAAAGTTGAGAAGTCTTGTTCTGAAGTTGCTCACACAGAGACACACCAAGAGCAGCCAGATGGATGCTGTAAAGCAGTTATGCCCAGTGTGTTAGAAAGGGTGTGGGAGAGGGGCCACCCGCAGGGAGGGAGGAGGGGAGGCCACCAGATAAACGGCCAGCCGGCCACCACAGAAGCACCTACCTGTGACTCACATGGGCCATCACAGAACAGCAGAGCTGGAAGGCAGCTCAGAAATCTTTAGTCATCCACAATTCCCCATCCCCATTTTCCAGATCAAAATTCCAAGGCCAAGACAGGAACAGTGACTTGTCTAAGATGCCAAGTCTCCCATCCCCTAGTACTACAGCCCTTCTGTGCCATCTCTGGGGGACTGTGAACTGTTTACCTGCCAGGCTGGTGCTTTCATTTCTTTAGCTGATACTCACCCCCACTTCCCAATTCACTGGTTGCCATATTCACCAGGGAATCAGAATCACTAATACGGTTGGGCACCATATAATTCAAGATGTGAATCTGCCATACTTCTGTTCAGAAAGGAAGACCATTAAAGACACAATGGCTGAGTAACAAAAATCATAGAATTTTGGGATTTTAGAGCACTGTTACATTACCTTGCAGGCGAGGAGGCTGAAGCACAGAGACATTCACGGCATCCACAAGGTTACACAGCTAGTTTGTGGATGTACCAAGTCAACACCCAGCTCTTTTTACTCCTGATTCAGTGCTCTTTTCCATTCTATTGTGCAGCTCTTCAAAAATAAATGAATGAAAGAAACCGAAAAGATGATCATCAGTGTTATAATTTAATAGCCAATCATTACAGACCGGAATTTCCAAATTATTTGGAACTTATATAACATTATATAAGTTATATAGAACTTATAGAACATTATATAAGTTATATAGAACTTATAGAACATTATATAAGTTATATAGAACTTATAGAACATTATATAAGTTATATAGAACTTATAGAACATTATATAAGTTATATAGAACTTATAGAACATTATATAAGTTATATAGAACTTATATAACTTATATAAGTTCTATAGAACTTATATAAAAGAGTTAATGTCCTAAGGTACAAACAATGCCATCAAATAAGTTTTTTTTAAGTGACAGCCCAATTTTTAAAATGGATAAAGGGTACAGAGGTAATTTATAGAAAAAGAAATACAAGGCCGGGTGCGGTGGCTCAGGCCTGTAATCCCAGCACTTTGGGAGGCCAAGGTGGGTGGATCACAAGGTCAGCAGTTTGAGACCAGCTTGGCCAATATGGCAAAACCCCATCTCTACTACAAAAATACAAAAATTATCCGGGCATGGTGACATGCGCCTATAGCTCCAGCTACTCAGGAAACTGAGGCAGAAGAATCGCTTGAACTCAGGAGGTGGAGGTTGCAGTGAGCCGAGATCACACCAGTGCACTCCAGCCTAGGTGACAGAGTGAGAAAGAAAAAGAAAAAGCAATACAAATCGCCAACAAATATATGTTCTATGTTTATAAAACATGTTTGTCATAAGAAATTCAATTCAATCGAAGTAGGATTGGAAAAGGAAGCTTGAGGGACCTTCATTTTTTACATCCTATATTTCTTCATTGTTTAAATTTATTGCTAAAAACATTTTGACATTTTTAAAAACCAGCCCTCTAAAATATAAAACTCTATAATCACATGATTTCAAAGGTAAACATTTTTTGATGTTTGGAATTATCTGTACCAGTATTTGCCTTTGTCTACCTACAGCACTGACATGCACCAACAACAATTAAACAATAGATTCACACCATTGATCAGATATGTAAAAAAGCCAAAAGTGAAAACAACTTGAAAATATTACATAAAATTATAGGAGAATGTTGTTTTTAGCCTTGGACTGAGACAGACCTTCCTAAATAAAACATGATACCTGAAAGCCATAAGGAAAATAGCTGACAGATTTGACTACTTACAAATGAAAAGTTTTACACAACAAAATACTTACAAATAAAGTTAAAAGGCAAATGAAGGGCATGGAAGAAAATATTTGCAATGTATTTAACACAAAAGGATTAATATTGGATTTATGTAATAACTTCAAATCAATTATAAAGACCAAACATCCAATGTACATTAAAATGGACGGAAGTTATAAAGAGGCAATTCAATTTTAAAAATTAAAAATAAAATTTAAATGGCTAACAAACCATTTTTAAGATGCTCCACTTCACTTGTAATCAGAATACCCATAAAAAGTTGTTTAAAATTATAATCCATTTATATTATAGAATACTACAGAGGCTTTTTTTTTATTAAGTCCTATTTGTATGTACATACATGGAAAGATCTCCAGATGCATTTCTTGGAAAAACATGCTCCAAAACAATGGAAATAGTACAATCCCATTCATGTTTAAAAGCTTTACATCAGCCAAGCATGGTGGCTTACACCAGTAATCCCAACACTTTAGGAAGCCAAGGAGGGCAGATTGCTTGAACTCAGGAGTTTGTGACCAGCCTGAGCAACATGATGAAAGTCCGCCTCTACTAAAAATACAAAAATTAGACGAGCATGGTGGAGCATGCCTGTGATCCCAGCTACTCAGGAGGCTGAGGTGGAAAGATTGCTTGAGCCCAGGAGGTCAAAGCTGCAGTAAGCCATGAACACGCTACCGCACTCCAGACTAGGCAACACAGCCAGACTCTGTCTCAAATAAATAAATAAAGCTTTGTATCCGTTTTCATTTATGTACATATACCTATAAATGCATGGGCAAAATTCTGAAAGAGTACACATCAAACCATTAAGAGTGATGTCCCTCTGGAAGGAAGTGAGAACGAAAGAGATAGCTTTGGAACCAAGGGGACTTTCACCATTTACTTTATTTGCTAATGTGTGCATTGTTTGAATCTTTTGTAAAACAATATTCCTGTATTCCTGTATTTTAGAAAACAATAAAATAATAGAGAGGTCATGATGGCTGTGATTTCTATGAACCAAACTAGCAGGAGTTGTCTAAATTTTAGAAATAATTTCCTGAGATAGAAATGAGACACCCAACTTTATAGAAGCATCAGGAAGTTTCTTCTAAGTCTATCCTCAGCTTTCTTGGTGCGTTATCTTGCTTCCACTTGTTCTATCCTCAGGGTGCACTTAGAAATCAAGTCCACTGATGGCAAGAGAAACCTTCAGGCTCTGATAGAGAAATGTCCCCACCTCTACCTGTTCCCACTTTTACCACTCCACCACAGCCCCAAGCCAGAGCAAATCTCTGCCTCTAACCAGTCTCCCTGCCCCTGGAACCCTCCAGTCAGAAGGACAGCTTCAGGTCCTTTGCAGCAAAGTCCAGTACAAAGTGAACTCATGCAACCCCAAAGAGAAGGTCTCCCAGAACCCCTGGTCAATTTCCACTACCCTCACCCAAGGGATGAGAATTTCTCCACCACAAGATGTTAAAAGATGTCAGGCTCAGAAAGTCATGGATTCACCAGAGTATGTGAGCACCTACTTACGTGCCAGATATTATACAGGGTCTTTCATTTCTGGTGCTTATTTCTTTCAGGCCATACCGTAATCCCAGGGTGGGCACTATTGCTTGTACACATTTTATCAATGAGAAAACCAGGATCCAAAAGGTGACATCATCAACGGTCAGTTCAGTTCCACAAACACACATTAATCAGGTGCTCCAGGCACAGCCCAAGGTGTTTGGTATTTATAGAAAAAACAATTGTGCTCCCTACCCTTGAGACTCTCAACAACAATGAAGAAATATTGGGGCAAAGATAATACCCTACAGAGTCCAGTGTTAGGCACAGCAACTTCCTAATGAAAACCAGCTTGACAGTTTGCCTCAGAAGTATGTAATTTCATCATATTGTACTGTGCGCAGTTCAGAGATGGAGATAAGCATTTGGTACCATGGAAATACAGGTAACCTAGCCTCAGGGTTCAGCAAAGGTTTCCCCAAAATGGCAAGCTGGGATTTGGACCCAGGTCTGTGTGACTCCAAGCCTCATGCCCTTTCCACTATGCCACAGTGCGTGGTGAAGAAATCTCGGGGTGCAGATATACTCAACAAGAGAGGTCAGTCAGACCAACATATCATACTGAAGACCAACTGGACACAGTCTAACTCAAAATTAGGCCCTGTAATGGGGTATCACAAGAAGACCAGCTTTCTCCTTTAGCTTTGAGCTTGGGAAGCTCAGCCCTTCTTCACTGTACCTCAAGTGCACCCTTGCATTCTGGGGGCTAACACTGCTCTCTCCATGGCTTCCAGAACCCCCCAAGTCCCATGGTGCCATCTCCCCTTCCCTGACCACTTACAGGCATCTTCCTTCACTACTCTGCCTCTGCTTGCAACTTTTGAGCCAGTCCTAATGGCTACTTCTTGCAACCTCAATTCGTTTATCAAGTGGTCTGATCTAATTTCTCCAATCTTCATCCCTGCCTCTGGGACTTCTCCCAGAGTCCACACAACTAGCAGCCCTCCCCACATCGTGGCCTCCCCCTCTGATATTGGTTGGGCCTGATATATAATTCTCACTCAGTGGACACATTAGCCCAGCCAAGGTGCCTCAGCAGGGGCCGCCATGCCTCCAGTATCCATGAGTTAATTCATCACTAGTTACTTTCACTACAAAACAAATTTCTGGTTTCCCCCTGCCTCAGAGCAGGCTTACCTCTCTTCCCAGGTCAGGCTAAGTGCACCAGCCACATAGTGGGCACTTTGAATACCAGAAAGGGAGGAAGTTTTCCTCCAATCACAGGCTAATCAGGAGTGGGTCTGGACTACTCTGGTTACTTACAGGATACTCCCTGCTGTCCCTCTTCCTTTGCATACCCCTCAGCACACACACAAAGCACATGCCTGCCACACAGACACAGCTCTACACAGAGAGGGGCATTGTACTTTGAAACAGTGGAAGCCAGAGCTGGCCACAGAGGCTCTTTCTCCAACAAATGCAGATGCTAGAGATGCAGCCACTTGGCCGCCTGCCTAGGAAGCTCCCCATCCTCTCCATACCCTGCCCACTTGGGTCCTCCAGGAAGCAATAGCCTGAAAAAAAGACAATAGCCACAGGCCACCCCACATCCCCTTCCCCAGCCCAGAAAATCCCATTCGAAGCAGACAAGGCTTTTTAACAAACAATTAGCTTAAATTTTTCATTAGCTGCTGCTTCCTCTGCAGTTCCTGCCTCCACCCCTTTCAAATCTCCAAGCTACGTATTTAGCTGGGGAGGCCCCAGCCAAAGGAGAGTCTAGCGGATGTATGTTCGGGTTGAGGCTCCCATAAACCCACCTCTGAAGTGGACCTAATAATGAAGCTGATTGTGAATTAAATCAATTACCTCCACACAGCCCATGTGTGGCCTACTTCAGACAGGCATTTCCCAGCACAGCCGCGAAGCCTATCCTGCCGTGAGAACTCCTGCTCTTCCCTGCTAACGAGGATGACCATGGTAATGAGATGAAGATGAAGAAGATGAAACTGGTAAAGATAAGGTAGATGCCTTACATCTGTGTCTTCTATCATCTGCAATGTCCTTCCACAGGCAGACTCTCATTTTAACCTCGGAACAACTCCATGAGTTTCCTGCAATCCTTATCAGCCTCCGGTTTTTAGAAAAGGCAAGTGAGCTTCAGAAGTGAAGTGACTTCATCTAATGACACAAAACAATCGTAAGGCTGGGGCAGGATTGAGGATGTCTTCCGAAGGCAATTCCAAGCTGGAATTTCAGAAAAAGAAGTCCGATTAGTTCCCTTTTCTCACCGGGGTCCAGATCTGGGAAACTGTCTAGATGCGTGGATGGATGGATGCTCAAGTACTGCTACTCTGACCGGTTATTTTGGAGATGGTTGAGAGGTGAGGTGAGACAACAACTTCTCTCTACTGTTGCATCATGAGATCCTATTAAAAAAACAAAAAAAAACAAAAAAAACCTTTCTTTGGTTCTAAATGTATATGCAGACCATGGGGAAGGAGCTCTCACACATACATATACACTCCATATGCTGACCTGTGGAGAGGAGGCGTCTGGCCTCTTATTCTTGTCTCCATCATCACTGCTAAGGATGTCTACCCATTATCCCAAAGACAGGGCTCTCCCAGGTATACTGCTTGCCCCATGTAAAAGGAAAATAAATCTTGGGACCCCAAAATTACTAAGCTAAAAGGAAAAAATCAAGCTGGGAACTGCTTAGGGCAAACTTGCGCCCCATTCTATTCAAAGTCATCCCCCTGCTCACTGAGATAAATGCATAGCTGATTGCTTCCTTTGAAAAGGCTGATCAGAAACTCAAAAGAATGCGATCGTTTGTCTCTTATCTACCTATGACCTGGAAGCCCCCTCCCTGCTTCAAGTTGTCCCGCCTTTCCGGACCGAACCAATGTACATCTTACATATATTGGTTGATGTCTCATGTCACCCTAAAATGTATAAAACCAAGCTGTGCCCCTACCACCTTGGGCACATGTTGTCAGGACCTCCTGAGGCTGTGTCACAGGTGCGTCCTTAACCTTGGCAAAATCAACTTTCTAAATTGACCGGGACCTGTCTCAGACATTTGAGGTTCACACCCTTTAGGACCAGCAGGAAGGCAGACTGTCCTGGAAGGAGGAAGAAAGACCACTTCTCCAGCCCTGCTCCCCACACCCTAAAGAGAGGGCCACCCGCCCACCTGTCACCCCCCTGTCAGATCTGCCTCATGCCTGAGTTGTTTCTAAGTCACCTCTGGGCCCAGGGTAGGAGCAGAAGAGCTAGTCATCTTCAGATTCACCTGTTTCTTCCTTGGCACCTAGTGGATGCTTGATAAATGATCATTTATAAAGGAAGGGGGCTGGCCGCGGTGGCTCACGCCTGTAATCTCAGCACTTGGGAGGCTGAGGAGGGCCAGTCACGAGGTCAGGAGTTTGAGACCAGCCTGGCCAACATAGCGAAACCTCGTCTCTACTGAAAATACAAAAAATTAGCTGGGCATGGTGGCAGGCACCTGTAATCCCAGCTACTTGGGAGGCTGAGGCAGGAGAATCGCTTGAACCCAGGAGGCGGAGGTTGCAGTCAGCCAAGATCACGCCACTGCAATCCAGCCCAGGCAACAGTGCAAGACTCCGTCTCAAAAAAAAAGAAGGAAGGAAGGGAGGGAGGGAGGGAGGGAAGGTTTGTAGGTAGGGTAGGTAGGTCGGTCAGTCAGGGAGAAAGTCACAGCTCCCACTCCCACCACACAGTCTCCTCCTCCATGAGCCTCAGCCTTAGTCTCATGGTACGTTCCCTGCTCTTTTGCTCTTCTCTTCTGTCTCCCAGCCACAGCTCCAAGTGGCTTTGAACTTGCCTAAGTAATTCCTCAAAAAAGTCTTTCTGTGCAACTGTGGATACACGTGGGAACTTGCTCAGCACACGTGCCTGTGTAATCCATAAGTTCAGGAAACCAATACCTTGGTGGTAACCCTCAACCAATGGGGTGGAGATGCCAATGCAGAAATCCTCCTTTAGGCTGATGCTCAGATGGACCATTGTGAGATGCATTCTATGTTCTCCCCAGACCATCTTGGTGGGATCTAGCTCGCATTCCCCACAGCAGTGTCCTCCATAATGCGCCCTTATAATGGATGTTCCTCTTTCTCTCACTTTCCCTGGGGCCTCTCAGGTCTACTACTTACACTACTTACCAGAAGAACTCTCTGAAGGTTCCTGGTACCCCTCTGTTGTTTTATTTCTTCCTGTTCTACATAATAATCTCAGTTTCTACCTCCTTGAAGGAAATTCCGCAGCCCCAAATCCAAAGAGGGCATAATAACAGTAGCAGCTGGCATGGCTGGGGCACTTATTCTGCATCATGGACTGGGCTCTGTACTTTATAGGCCTTACTTCCAAGCCTCACAACTCTCCTCTGAGGTAAGAATTACTATTCCCACTTTACAGATACGCATACCAAGGTACAGAAGAATATGACACCAGTCACAATGACAGATAAGCAATTAGTAGAGCTGGAAATTGGACCCAAATCTGTCAAGTGTCTCACCTTGACATTCTATAGGCCTGGTCCCAAAGCAGCTGAGTGACCCCTAGAACAGCTTAGAGATGCACACAGCCCAGAGATTGGTGTCCCCACCACCTCCTGGCAGAGGTGCAACTAAAACAGAGGCTGGAAGGTGGGAGAGAGCTTAGGGTTGCAGAGAACAATGAGCTGACTGCAGCACTGGGGAGCAGGCCACAGGGGCTGGAAAATGAAGCTGAAAGGCCCAGGGACCAGGTTATACAAAGCCCTGTGCACTGGCAAGAGGCAAGTGGATCTTCCCCTGAAGGTAACCTGGAGCTTGTGGAGGCTCTGAAACAAAGGAGTAGCCGGGCCAGATTTGTTTTAGAAAGATTCCTTAGGCTGTGTGGAGTCACAGAGTGGCTGGGCCAATTGTCCAGGAAGATGATCAAGGCCTGAACCAAGGCAGGTGACATGGAGAGGGCAGGTTGAGGAGAAGATAAACCCAAGACATAGTGTGGGAGATGAGGAAGAGAGTGGAGTTGACAACAACCTCCAGGGCTGGCTGCAGGCAGCGGCACTCCTTCCATTTCTCAGGATCCACTACACCAGCCACTTAAACCAGCCAGTCTGCAGAGCATGTGGCCCAGCACCCAAATCCTCACCAGAGGCTGCAAGGCCATCCCAGTCAGTAGTAGCTCTGGACAACCCACCACTCTCCAAGCCTGGGACTGGGCTCCTTTCCTGCCAGGGGAATGGTTGGGGGCCTCTGGGAAAGGGCGAGGCCTCCTCGAGCCCTATCTGGGAGTCTCTGCTGGGCCATCTCTGCCCCTTGAAGCCCGTGAAATATTTACAACCAGCCAAGCGAGGGAAGTGAGGGGGAGCTGGAGCATGAATTATTGACAGCTTCACTTTCATCCTGGCCCAGGCTGCTGGGCCGAGCCGAGACCCAGGGGAGCCCCCACGGCAATCCATGGGCATTAAGCAGAGTTCTTGAGGAAGCCAGGGGTACAGGATCCTCACTATCAGGAGGACCACAGGTGACCTGAGCACCACACTCCATTCTGACTCCTTGGGGTGCCCAGTGCTGGTGAGGGGGATGTGAGCAGAGTGATTGGAGAGAAGTCCAGTGGCCCCAGACCCTCTTCAGCAAGCCCAGCTGAGCCCTCTTCTCCCTCATTGGCTGCCTCCCAGACACCCCGAGACTGGGCCTGCCAGGGCTTCACTAAGTTCCTGCAAACTACTCAGCTACCTGCTGTTGGCATAGGTCTCTGCTTCTTCTGAGAAGATTCTGGGATATTGTCTCTAGTCCTGCAGGGTGCCAGTCCAGAATTGGCCCTGATGGGCAGGCCTCTTCCACACAAACCTCCACAAACATTCCCAAGGAAACGTCCTGTGGGTCAGCTTCTACCTCCTCACAGATGAGCATCGCCAGCTCTTCTCTGCAAGGAAAGAGCTGGATTGTGCTGCAGAGGAGAGAGCACTGGACAAGGAGTCAGAAGACTTGGGTCTGAGCCACTGCACCACTAGCCAGGCACAGACCAGAGCCTTCATTTTCTTGTTTGAAAATGAATCATGAGGGTGGCACCTCCCCAGCCTACCCCACGGGGCTGGAGGGCACCCCAGGAGATCGCACAAAAATGAGCTCTCCAGACAGAAGTGTCATTTTTGCCAAACCCAGTTCTCTCCCAGCCCTGGCTGCAGCCAGTACCTCAACCTTAGATACCGACAACTCGACAGCCAAAGTGACAGACCACCCAGCCATGTGATCCATGTGATCCGGCCCCAAGACCAAAGGCTTTTTATATTTTTACATTTGTCCTTCCAGGACATGTGGTGTTGGGAGCAGCAGCCTCTGCGGGGCTCCCTCACCACCTGCCTGCCTGCACATGACAGCTCTGTCCTGAGGTGAGGGAAGGAACCAAGATGGGGTTGGGAATGGGAGGATCTGGAAGCCCTCGCTGGACCCAGGAGCATCTGGGTAGCCGCCCCGCTCATCGCTGAGCTGGGAGCCTCACCCAGAGCCTGATGTTCTGCTGGGAGGTTCCCAAGGCCCTGAGTGATGGGCACATGGGAAGCTTCTCCCCCATGCGCCCTCCAGAAGCCCACCTCCTTCAGCCCTGGGGTCCAACCTCTCACTGCAAAAGGGAGCCAGACCCACAGGCAGACGGTGTTGCTACTTCTCACTTGCTTGCCACCTTCCTCCCTGTGAGAGAGCTCATGGCCCTCCACAAACTTTCAAAGTTGGCAACTCTAATGTCTTCCAGAGGAGAGGACAGGGAAGGGAGAGAGGACAGACCTAGAGGTCTGAGTGTGTGGAGGAGAGCAAGGCTGGAGACCTTGCAAATCGTTAGCAGACAACGTTCCCTTTGAGTAAGCACAGCATTTCTCAAAGGAGCGCTGCTTGCCTCTGGAGTGAGATGACTCTTGGCTGTGCAGGACTGGCCTTCCTGCAGGACACTTGGCTTCCCTGGTCCCAGGCCTTTTATGCAGCACTGCCCCTCCCCCATTCCCTCCCTGCTGTACTATTACAACCACCACTCCCTACCCAAATTTCCAATTGTCTGCAAGGGTGCAGTACCAACCCCTGAAGAACAAACCAGTGGAGCCTCCCCAAGCAGGGACCCTGCCTTGCTTTTTAGTACTCATCTCATCAACCAAGTGCACTCAGAACGCACCCCTACCCACCACCCAGCTGACTGACCCAACTGTCTGACCCCAGTGACTGTTGACAAACCTCTGCCTATCAGCCAGGCTTTTTTTTTTTTAGAATTTTTTTGAAGTGGAGTCTTGCTCTGTCACCCAGGCTGGAGTGCAGTGGCATGATCTTGGCTCACTGCAACCTCCATCTCTCAGGTTCAAGCGATTCTCCTGCCTCAGCCTCTTGAGTAGCTGGGACTACAGGCATGTGCCACCACGCCTGGCTAATTTTTGTGTTTTTAGTAGAGATGGGGTTTCACCATGTTGGCCAGGCTGGTCTCAAACTCCTGACTTCAGGTGATCCTCCCACCTTGGCCTCCCAAAGTGCTGGTATTACACGCATGAGGCACCGTGCCCCACCTATCAGCCAGACTTTAACTGGCCAAGTACCTGCTTACCTAACAGGCAGAAGAAGGCCAGATTTTTCCAGAACAAGAGTTCCCTAAACCTGATGCAGATCTGCACTCAGCCATGCGCTCTGGGGTGACAGATCCTCCACCCTCTCACAAGGTGATCTCACTCGCCCTGATTCCCCTTGGGAGTTCTCTGTCAACCCCCTTCAGGAACAGAGATCATTGCCTCTGACTCCAAGTCCCCAGGCTTTCTCCAGTAAAGCCCCACTCGGCAACAGCCCATCTCCTCCCCTGACTCAGCACCCTGCAGCACCTCCATTCTGCTGCCTCTATACTGACCTCAGGGATGTGTCAGAATGAGTAATGGTCCCCAGCACCTCCCCTGTGGGTACGAACATGCAGGAGCAGCATTTCCTGGGGCCTCAGTGGGCAAGATGGGAAGGGTTTTCTTCAGGTGCCCCTCCCCAATTCAAGCCCAGTTGGCTTGGCCTTTGTGAAATGTAAATGCCCTCTCCTATCTACCTTCCCTCCTGCCCAGACCCTGGCAAGTTCTGGCCTTCTTCCACACATGGCAATGTTCATCCATCAATCCCTTTCTCCGCTCATCTATCTGTCTACCTATCTGCCTGTCCCATCAACAATCCACCCATCTCTCCATGTATCAATTCATCCATCCAATATTCAGTATTTTTTGTGCAACAATGATGCCACACCTGGTCATTGTCAGTGAATCTCACTCAACTAGTTCCTTATTAAAAAACTTTAAAATACATTTTGCCAAAATGTATCCCTAGACACCTATTTCTCCCACTCATTCCACACATATTTATTAAGCTCCTACCATGTGCCAGGCACTGTACTAGATGCTATGGGTACAAAAATAAAGGAACATGGTACCTGCTTGCCAAGAACTTACAGATTGCTGAGTACATAAACAAGTAAACAAGCCATTGAAACAAAGCATGATCCATTTTAGGATCATGCACAGCACAGTGTGCCAAAGAATGGAGTCACAGGGAAAGCTAACACCTATCTAGAGCTCCCCACATGCCTGGCACTGTTGTGAGCACTGTACATGCATTAACTCATTTAATCAGAAGAGGGACACCTATTCTAGGAGGTGGGGAGAAGTGATAACTGAACTGGATCCAGAAAGACAAGCAGCAGCAAGTAAGGGGAAGGAAGGGGATGGGGGAGTTCCAAACAGAGGGAACAGCCTGTGCAAAGGCAAGGACGTCACAGTAACTGCAGTGTAGAAAACAACTGAGTGAGTGGCAAGAGATGAGGCTGAGGACAAGGGCGAAGGTCACATTCATTCTTTCCCCAAACATTCCTTCACCACTGTGCAGGACAGAGAGAACCCCAACCTCAAGGAGCTTACAGTTTAGTCTTAGTGGAATGGCAGAGGTCAGTGCACATCAGAAGCTCCTGTGAGTGGTTTGAAAAAGCCCTGGATGATTCTGAGATGTATCCTTCTCCCAGGCTGAGGATGATTGTATTAAATGATCTCAAAACTCACTTCTACCTCTAACTTTCTATAAAAGGGTATATCAGAGAGAGGGATCAAACCATCCTGCCCTAGAAGAATCTGAGGGGCCAGCACTGGTGTCAGAGTTTGGCAAGGTGCATCAGACTCTGCTGGGGGCCCTTCCCTGCCTCCATCATGGGGGCATCACCCAGACCTCCCCTTCAAAATGAAGCCACACACTCCCACAGCTGCTGGGAGTGTTCGCTGCCGACAACTCACAGCTGAGTCCCTCTCTAGGCACTGCCCTCCACTGAAGGGAGCAGCATCCCCTAAGGTTGTACCCCAAGGGCAGCCCACATCCAGTAACTGATCAATGAGAGGACATAAAGGCCTTGGCTTCCCAGCCTTAAGGGCCATCCTAGCTCCAAAGCTCCTTGTGAGATCAACTGAGACCTCTGCTGCAACTGCATCACTGTACAACCTGCCCCTCTGCCCCATCCCACAGATGATGACACCAAGCGCCCTCCCCTACAAACCTCCTGCATGCAAATCTCTGTCTCAGAGCCTGTTTCCCTGGAAAACTGACCTATGACCAGGGGCCATACTGAGCTGGGCCCTATGCTGATGCAGTCTTGACAACCTACCTGTTTGTTTACCCTCCCATCTAAACTTCAGTTCTGACTCGACAGCCCCGGGAAGGAGACCTGCTCACTATTTCTTACACATCACTTATTCTTTCAGGATCTCTATATGGCAAGAGCTACCACCAAATCTCTCCTACTTTCCACTGGTTATAAATTTGGCTGTCATGGTCTGAAGCTCCATCATCATCACCATCACCTTAAACCTCTTTCCTTAAAAAAAAAAAAAAAAAGCTGATTCTTCCTTCAGGAAACCTTCCTAGACTACCTTCTCCTAAATTTGAGGAATTCAGAATCCTGGAGGACTTGAATTTCCAGCTGTTGTTTTGAAACATTTATGTGTTTATAGATGGATATTTAAACCATGCTTATGGGTTTCTTGAAGCCTATATTTTTATATTTCTATGCCCTCAGGAATGTGTACTGTGATTCTTCAATAAAATGAGGAGGGGTGGAGATCCCCCAAGATCAAGGTCTTCCTTCATCTGTGTCTCCCCAAACCCTTCTGCTTGGCAACCACTTGGCTGCTTACAGAAGTGACCAGTGCAGCGCCTGATGACAGCTCAATCACAGCAACTACAGCAACCTACGTTAGCCCTTTATTCCTATCAAAGGCTGGTATGCACAGCCTCTGTAGAACCTCTGGCAGGGGGCCGGCAGGACAACTATCATGATCTCTATCTTACAAATGAAGATCCTAAGATCAGAGAGATAAAGTGACTTGCCCAAGAACCCAGGCCTGCTGACTCCCCACCCAGGGAGTGGGCAGCCCAGTGCTGGCGAGAACGGCAGCATGTGGGAGCTCAGGAATGTGGTCTGCAGTCACCCAAGGGCTGGGAGATGCTGGCAGGCACTTGCGGGGGCACCCCAACTGCCACTGTTTTCCCAGATGGCCATGTACAAAGAGCCCTTTCAGTAGACATAGTCACCAGGGAGGCCTGGGGAGCTACAGCTGCAGGAAGGAAACTGCAGAGTCCCCTAAGGACAGCACCAGAGGCCAGGCCCATCTGCAGAAAACAGGGATGTGACCGAGTACATGGGACGTCACTGCACTACTCAGCAAAGTCTCTGACCCCTCTTGGGCTTGTCCAGACCCTTGGGAGGACACTGAGGGGCACCAAGGGCTTACAGCATCTCTGGAAGTGAGACTCCAGAATCTTACTGAGCTACAAAGAGGGGCGGGAGAGTGCTGGGTCAGGACCATTCTCTGGCATGAGGCCCAGGAGTGGGCGGGCATTTGGCCCTGGCTTGTGGAGGAGCCATCAGAGCAGCCTCTGAGAGCTCAGGGCTCCCATCTCTGCTGCAATGAGGAACACTGAAGGCTCTGTAGCCTTGTCCTGAGCTTGACTTAAGGAGCCTCACTTTGCCTTTAAGGACTTTAGATGGGACTGAAAAGACACTAAGGTTAACAATAATATAGTTAACACTTTACACGCAGCACTGACCCTGTGCCATGCTCTGCCCAAGCCTTTACACAGAGAAACTCATAAAACTCACGAAGCTTCGGGGCAACCCCATGGGGCAGGCACATACTCTCCGGTGTAGGCGAGGAACCCAAGAGGCAGGGAGGTGGGATAACTTGCCCAGCAGTGCCCAGCTACAGCGGGGAAGGGCAGGGTTCAAGCCCAGGCAAGCTGGTCTCTTCTCGTGGTCTGGGGTATGCTTGCCCTAAAACTCAGTACCTAAGCCACTCTCCCACTCGGCTGCACATACAGGCTTTGGCGATGGGATTCGGACGGCAATGTGGATCCCCGTGTCCCAGGCAGCAGAAGCCCCCAGTTGGTAGCCTCTGGTCCGTCCCGCCCCGGCTGCCGGCGGAGTCCGTGACCAGGAAAGGGCATCCCAGGCAGGCTCCGCAGAGCAGGCGGGGCGTCCCAAGAGTGCGGCCCGCTGCGCCGTACCGCCCTGGCGCCCTCCACACCGCGGCGGCCGCCCACTGGCACCCGGGCCTCCCTTTGGTTGCAATAGCCATGACCTGCCCCAGAAGCCCAGCCCTCGGAGGACTGCGGCAGAAGGCAGGGAGCTCCGCGGGGACGCGGGGGCGGTCGCCGGCTGGGCTCTGCGCGGGTTGGCGCCC
The DNA here is from genome assembly GCF_000001405.40 of Homo sapiens. Lineage (NCBI taxonomy): Eukaryota > Metazoa > Chordata > Mammalia > Primates > Hominidae > Homo > Homo sapiens. The sequence goes on along the minus strand of NC_000001.11, from coordinate 110,555,458 downwards.
CACTCTTTCCCACGCAGTGACCTCTGCTGGTCCGACTGAGCCTGTGCAGCTGGGAAGGCGCCTCCAGGGCCCCCACAGACCCCTGCAGACCTCCTTCCCCAGGCCAGGGAGCGAGGACCCAGGTTTATTTCTACAGGGCTGCAGAAAAGTAGAGCCACGTGGAGAGACTCAGATACACCGGCTTCCGCAGCGCTGAGTTCCGACCGCCCCAAACAATACAAACGCTTGTGGAAGCCTCTGAGAGCATCGGTCCACCGATCTCTACAACGGGAATGCTGATTCCTAAGCCCAGGGTTATTTCAGGGTTGAATGTGGTGAGGTTTGCTAAGGTTCAGACTAATGTGTGGTGGTCATGGTTACAGGTCCCCATCCCAACACAGGCAAAGACCTAGCCCACCGTGCGGGGGCTGCTGATCCAGGCACATGGGGCTTCCAGCCCTGCTGCTCCTGCACAGTTCCCTCCCCCTACATAAGGGTACCCAGAAGACGGGGTCCTCAGGCAGGTCCTCCCAGGAAGGTTCTCTCCGCACTGGGTCGACCAATTCTCTAGATGAACTTGGGTAAATTAAGTTCCCTCTCTGGGTTTCTCTCTCCCCATCTCTTAAATGTGGGGGATGGATTTGTGGTTCCTAGGTACTAGACCATCAGTATCCAAAATGCCTGTAAGCTCTTTAGTAATCCAGATTCCTAGACCTCCACCTCCTGGGATTCTGATTCAGATGATGGTTGTAGAGGCTGGGAATTTGTATTTTAACACCCTCCCCAATTTACTCGGACATCCAGCCAGATTTAAGAACCACTGATTTAGAAGTTCATAAGGTCTTCTCCTGCTCCAAGATTCAATAACCTTAGACTTAAAGAAAAGGCCTGGATTAATGCCTGAGCCCCAGTCTCCAACCTAGAGCAGGCCACCCTCCTCTCAGAAGGACAGCTCAAAGACGTTTCTCCCTGTCTGCTTCTCCTTGGGAGGATTTTGGAAAATGATCCCTAATTAATAGACACTCAGTTGCCCTCCCAAAATTCGTTTCCCTTGCCTTTCTTGGTGAGAGAATTCCAGTTTTGTTAAACTATCTCTTAATCACAGAATGTGATATTAATTCTGATTTATCTTAGCCAGTTGTGGTAATTCCATTTCCTTGCCAGCTATTTATTCAGCAATCATGATGTGAACCAGTTTGGGCCAAGGAAACAGGAAGGGAAGTTTGTGGAGAGGGGTGGGGATTAGGAAAGGTTACTTTAAAACAGATACAGGCCAGGCAAGGTAGCTTGGGCCTGTAATCCCAGCACTTTGGGAGTCCGAGGCAGGTGGATCACTTGAGCCTATGAGTTTGAGAACAGCCTGGGCAGCATGGCGAAAACTTGTCCCTACAAAAAAAAATTAATTAATTAAAAAAAAAATATATATATATATAATTAGCCAGGTGTGGTGGTGCATGCCTGTGGTTCCAGCTACTCAGGAGGCTGAGGTGGGAGGATCACCTGAGCCCAAGAAGGTGAGGGCTGCAGTGAGCCATGATCGCACCACTGCACTCCAGCCTGGGCAGCAGAGTGAGACTCTGTCTCAAAAAATAAAAATTGTTTTAGAGAAAAAGAAATACACTCCCTCTTATTTACTCAGATAACTCATGACTGGGCATGATGTCCAGAACTTCAGCAGTTATCTTTCCAGAGTGAGGGGATAGTTTGAGGACAAAACCCCTAAGCAGAATGGAAAACTGGAAAGAGCCTGTTTCTTTCATTACATTGTACAGCTGCTAACTTAGCCAACATTGGAGCCATTTTTCCTCCGGGGCTGGGTTTTCTATTACAACAGAAAGCATCCTCACTGATATACTCACCTTCTCTAAAACCCTTTGCACAGTGATTGGTGGACGGGTTTTCTATACTAGGAATCATTCATCCTTCATGCAATCCATCTCATTCTCAAAGCCTATCCATTTATCTCCTAAATAATTCTCAAATTAATTCATCTTCCTACATCTCCACTGACACCATCACTATGGGAGCCATTGCATTGGCCTTACAACTGGTCACCGGTGTGCACCCTTCCCTCTTCCCAACCATCATCCACTCCAAGTCAAAGTGCTGACCACGTCACCCTCCTACTTCTAACCCTTGAATGGCTTCCTGTTCTTCTAGGACATAATCCATACTGTCTGCAGCCTGCAAGGGCCTGTGCCTTCTGCCTCTTCCCCACCTCTTCAGCCACACCACTGTGTATTGTTTCTCCCTCAGTCTCTGCCTTCCAGCCACACTAGCCTCCTTAGCACTTCCCAGGCCACCTTCACTGAGGAGCCCCTGATGTGATGTACCCTCCACCTGGAATTCTCTTCTCCACTGCAGTCTGCTTCACCACCCCTCTCAAACATCACTCCCTTAGGAAAGGAATCCACAATAGACCAGGGCCCCCTGTTCTCCCTGCTAAACTTTCTCTCAGCCTCCTGAACTTCGCCTTCAAAACACTCATCCCAGTCTGAAATTATCCATCTGCAAGATTATTTGGCCAAATTCTGTGCCCCGTCTAGACTATAAACTTCACAGCTCCAAGAACCCTGTTTTTCTTCCTGGTCATTTAACCCTAGCACTTCTCACTCTACCTAATAGCATAAAGCAAATACAGAATACATGCTTGTTGAATAAACAAACTCTCACTTTTCCAAACAAGTATGGTGCTAATTTTCAAACTCCACCCCAGAGCTTTAGGCAAATAACTCCTCTTCAGAACAACTCTGTTCTATGAAGTCAGAGAAAGTAACAGATGAGACACAAAGGTTTTTCAGATAAGCAGACCAAGGTCTCAAATTTTTCAGATTAAGCAAACCAAGTTCTTGGGCAGTCACTGGATTGTCAACCGTCCTTATGCATGCTCTTTCTGCCAGGTGCTGCTCAGAGCCGAGGGTCTATCGATAACTAGGGCACCGTCCCTGCCCTCACAGAGCTCCCGTCTGGTAGATTTTCCCAATGCTTTCCTCCTTTCTGCCCTCCCCTGACCCAGTTCTCCATCTGTCCTCAGAGGCACTAAAGGCAAGGCAAATGTGACATCAGGACATCATGGGGCCCTGTTCCTGCTTGAGGGTGACTTAGGGACCTTCTGACACTCTGGTTTGGAAGGACAGAGAGGTGTCCACTCAATGCTGACAAGAGGCCAAAATAGGAGGCTTCTGGCCACTCCCTCTTGCCTGTTAGCCAAAGGAATAAGGCATCACAGAGTGTTTCTGATGTATAATGGATGTCTCATAATTGCCTCAGTTTCCCCAACTTTCTTCCTCAGAAGCAGGGATTTCTAGGAGATAGTAGACGGAAATTCAAGCGTCATCTCAGAAGAAGATAAAAATTCTATGGAGTGCTCCTCAGTCCCCACCTTCAGTGCATCTGTTCTTCCATAAGTGGGGGCCAACTTCACTGGCCAGGGTGGAGCCACAAGAACCCCTCAGGCTGAGGTCAGAATGACAGGAAGACTGAGGAGGAGCTCAGGCAATGGGTGGGGTTAAAGAGAGACACTGAGGTCAGACAGCTGGTCAGGTCCCACTCTCATGAGGGAAGTGCCGGGAAAGGGTTGAAGATGTGGAGCTGAGAGATCCCTGGGCATCTCCCAACCATAGACTCTTCAACTGGGCACAATTACCCCAGCCTGGGCACCACAGTTCAAGCTCCTGAGTCCACTAGGGCCTTTTTTTGCCCTACCTGCCTCAGATGTCCCCACGGAAGATGCCCCATCATCAAAGAAGCCTCACAGATCAGCAGGCACTGAGGGCTGGAACCAAAGGGAATGTGACACTGGAGAAAATGCCATGGGCTCCTTCCCCTGAGACCTCAGGTGATTAATCTCTGCAAGGTGAGCTGGGGGTGGCAGCCAACTGGGAGAGAAGGAAATTGGGAGAGAACATTCATTCAAGGAAAGAGGTACTCTGTAATTTCCTTAATGTATTCTCTCTCCTTTCTCCCTCCTCCTCCCTCCCACTCCCTCTTCCCCATCTTTTCTCCTTGCTTCCACTCTCCCACCTTACTCTTCCCATCTCTCCCTCCTCTCTCTCTCTTCTGTCTCTTTCTCTCTCTCAGCTTTCCCTTCCAGCACAGAAAGTCTTTATACAATTAAACTAGGACAAGAATGTTTTCCAAGGCTTTAAAATATCCTTGTTAAAGAAATTCACTGGGAAGAAGAAATTGTGCTTAATTTCTTAGAAAATAAAAAGCATATGGTAGAAATTGATGTTGCTTCTTCCCCTCCTCCAGATCCCCTGCCGAGGAGAGCACATCTCAGGATCACCTGTCAGCCACATCAAGCAGGTGGGGCCAGGATGGTGATGGCCAGACAAAACTTTGTAGTCTCCCATCTGCCTCCTATCCTGCGGTCTGCTTGACAGGTGAGTTTAGGGACATGGAAAAGGACTTTGAACATGTGTTTGCTAGAGAAAGAAAGGAACACCACCTCCCATCACCTTCAGGTGGTCCTTCTTCCCTCATCCTGGGCCAGGGCTTCCGTTAATCCATGTGGGCCTAATTCATCATCTCAAGGACGGGTGTTGCCACTCAAGCCCTGATCCCTAGGCCCACAGAGCAGCTGTTTGCAGGGGACAGGGCAATATCCACACTGTGTACAAGGACCCAGTGAGAGGCAGAATAATGCCACCTCCAAAGATGTCCACATCCTGATCCTCAGAACCTGTGAATATGGTACCTTACATGGCAAAGAGGACTTTCCAGATGCAATTAAATCACAGATCTTGAGATGGGAAGACTAGCCTGGATTATCCAGCTGGGCCCAATATAATTAGGAAAGTCCTTCCATGTGATAGAGGAGAGGCAGGAGAGTTGGAAAGAGTGCGAAGGTACAGTGTTGCTGGTTTTGAAGGTGGAAGGAAGGGCCATGAGCAGAGGAATACTGGCAGCCTCTGGAGGCTGGAAGAGGAAAGGGAATGGGTTCCCGCCTAGAGCCGCAGAAGGAGTGCTGCCCTGCCAGCACCACGAGTTTAGCCCAGTGAAACCCAAGCCAGACTCCTGACCTCCAGAAGTATAAGAGAATAAATCTGTGTTGTTTCAAATCGCTAAGTCGGTGGTAATTTACTATAGCAGGGATAGAAAACTCATGCATCCCCTCAAGGTGCCAGACAGAGCCAGGAGTGGGAAAAGAAGGCGGTTGGCAAAAGGGGTCGTAGACACAGAACAGGGCCAGAGCCTTCTACCAAATTGTGACAAGATGGGGGAATCCATGGTCCTGAATTTGAACATGACCTCCCAGGTTGTTACAAAGGTACCTGTGTCAAGATAGGAAGTGAACACATTTTATGTAACAGTTTGTTAGCTTGACTTTTAAATATTTAGACATATGGTTCATAGGCCACCATGTGCTCTCTTGCCCCAGGCCCTGAAATTGTGTGCAAGAGTCCCTTTGAGGAAAGGCTGAGGATTAACTCCCTCATGGTCATTTGCATGTAGGCCACCACCTTCTATTAAAAAGCAAATGCTCAGCACCAACACTGTGTCGTTAGCTACCAATGACCGCATGAGAGAATGCCTTTGACACTCAGAAGGCTAAGGCTGCCTGGACAGGGTATAATGTCATAGCCACCCTAAACTCTAGTCAGGCAAAATGCATATGCCATGAATTTATTACCATCTCTGGGATTCATGGTAATTAGGCACAAATGGTGGTGTTTGGTTGTATTTTTCTTGTATTTATATAGCTATGCCCCTTCTTATAGTTTATACCTTCTTACTTTGCTGCATCTCCTTTATTTATAACTGGCATTGAAGGAGATGGTATTTTCTCATACTAAATGTAATAGAATCCTCATCCTATACTGATATTCACATATATTAAAAGATATTTCTCCTTTCCATTTTCACAGTAGCCATGATTTCCTGCATCTTTCATGCCTCCTTCCTCCCAGCCCCACCATCTGTCATGGCCAAGTCCTGATATTCCCAGGCTCTCTACCTCTCCTGCCCAGGTCTCAAGTCCTTCCATCTCCCTGGCCACCTGCTCCTGCTCCCCACCTCCCACCTTGAGGGCCTGGCTTCCAGACAACAGGAGGCAGGGTAAAGGCTAAGGCCTTCAAGGGGGTCCAGAACAGCAGCAGCAATGTAACGACTATAGGGAGAGGTAGGGCCACTTCCCAGGATGCCTTCCCCTTCTGTTCCATCTTCTTCTCTCTTGATGAGTTCCTTATCTGCCCAGGACCTTCTGGGTTCTCCACGGCTGTCTGTGCTTTGCCCTAAAAATGATATCAGTTAGTATTTACTGAGCACTTTCTATATGCCGAGTAGCTTTCACATACACTGTATCTTTTGATCTTTACAGTAAGCCCGTGTAGTGGGTCTTATTACATTCACTTCCCAGGTCTGAGGAGGATATGCCCTTCCCCACACATCTGATCAATTGCTATCAGATACCTATTCAGATGAATCTGCCTTCCATCCAGTCAGCTCCCCACTACTTATTAACTGACCAAAGACTCATCATGAAATTTCAGGCTGCAGGTGGATAAAGCATTCCGGGGCTCAGAAAGGTCTTAGAGGCCTACTGCAAATATAGCTCCTTCCCATGCCCTGTGAATATCTACTAAGGGCAGCTTGTGCTGAAGGCTCTTACCAAGGCTGTCCACGAGAAGAAGACCCGTCCAGGCTACTGTCAGACCCCAGGTAATGTTACCAATCTTGTAAATAAAAATACAAAATGTCCAGTTACGTTTGAATTTCAGACAAGCAATGAATGACTTTTTTGTACTTCTGCTAAAAAACCATTCATTGCTTACCTGGACTTCAGCTGTAACTGGGCATCCTCTATTTTGTTTGGCCACCTGAGGCCCAGTCCACTCAGGTGTGGACTTCAACATGACAAGTGGAGAGAAAGCGCAGTTGCAGTTCCCTTCACTCACCACAGGTGGGCAAAGAAGGCCTGAAAAGGCCAGGAGCCTGCGCTGCTCGGGAGAGAAAACCAGAAGCCCATTTACTCAGAGCTGCCCTTCTCTCCCCTGCTGATTCCTTGTGCCCTAGGTCACCTCCTGCCCCTTCTCCTTCTCTCTGTCCTTCTTCCAAGCCACCACACCCACCATTGCCCACAAAGCTGCCACAGCCAAATGGGCTCTTCTTTGCTGACCCCAGCATGCCCAGGTCTGTGATCCAGATAATGCAGGTCAACCCGGGCCACCTTCATCTGCGACCTGAGGGGCAGAAGTGGGAAGGTGGCCAGGTCCCCAGGCCAATGCACACTCCTTCCAATACTGGAAGATACCTCCATGGCTCACCAGATCCTGGCCCTGAGAAACTGAGGGCTGTCCCTTGTTGGTAGAAGGCTCTGGATCAGAAGTCAGGACAGGCAGGCCAGAGGCCCTGACCTCACTGCTGGTCTCCCATTCTTTCCACCTTGGTCCCTGGGGAATGGAGGTTCAGGGGTGAGGGGACACAGGACATTTCCTATTTCTCAAAGGAAACTGTGAGCAGATAAAAGCAAGTATTTTTTATGTTTGTCTTCCTTGAATAAATCTTTACATTAAAGGAGGGTCCAGTTAATTATCACTTTGGCTTAAACATTAGGTCAGCAGATGGTTGAGGGAGATAAGAAAGGTTTGCGGAGGGACTGGGGCAAATAGTGAAAGGCCAAGGGCAAGAGGCTATCCAGAAGCCCCCAGAGGTGCCCACTGGAGGAAATGACCCAAGAGTATAGCCTGGCTGGGCCAAACTCCCATAGCTTCTGGGGTTATAAATCAAGGCCAGCAGCATGTCACTTGCATGGCTATGGTGAGGATCACGTGTAATAATGCGGGGGAGCGGGTAGTAGGATGTAGATGCCACAGATGTTATCATTGGAGGACAACCTCTCGGTTTACCAACTGTGTGGCCTGAGGTAGGGTACTCAACCTCTCTGAGCCTCTTGTAAAACTCTAACATGTGGATCAGATTTTCTTTTGAAAGAGCAGGATCTAGCACACAGGCTTGTTGAGAGGATGGAAGAAAGTGGTACGTGGAAGGCACTTAGCCCAGTGTCTGGCACATTGTAAACTACAGTAATCAGCTGCTATCCAGTGAGACCTCTTCGTATTGTCCCAGATCAGAGTTGTGAGTACAGCAGGAGCCTCCTATCAATTGCTGCTATTAAACCATATGAACAGTTGCTGCCTGGCTGGCTCTGTAAGAAACCTCTTTCCTAGACCTCAGGCTGCTCAACCTATGTCCACTCAAGCTGACCACAACAGCGACCAACTCCTGCTGAGTCCCTGGACCACGTGACAGCTCCCAAACACAGGGACAGAAAACCACACCCCACACCCTGACAGTGAAGCCTAGTGGTGGAGCACATGGGCTCAGACCCAGACTGCCTGGAATTAAATTCCAGCTATGTCATTACTAGCTGTGTGAGTTTGGGTCATTTATTTAACCTATTTGTGCCTCAGTTTCTTCATGTACTAAACAGGGCTCATAAGGCTGTTGTGGGAATTTAAAAAGTTAACAGATGTAGTAATTTTAGAGCAGTTCGGTAAACAAATATTTATCAAATGCCTACTCTGTGCCAAGTACTAGGAGTCTAGCAGACAAAACAGGGAAAAATGCCTGCCCTCATGGTATAAACAATTACAAGATAAATGCACTAGTGGTAAGTGCTAAGGGATCAATAGAGCAGCAGGAGAGAGACAGGCTAGAGTGGGGGCTGCAATTTTGAGTAAGTAGCCAGGGATGGCCCTGACAGAAGTGGGCTAGGCAGACATCTGGAGGACAAGCATTCCAAACAGGGAAGAGCAAGTGCAAAGGCCTTGAGGTGAAAGGATGCAGCAGTATCTAAGGAACAGCAAGGAGGCCATTATGGAACAGAGTGAGCAAGGGGGAGAGTGCTGGAAAGGAGAAGTAATGGGGCTGGGAAACATAAGGCCCCAGCATCATTGAAAGGACCTTGACCTGCACTCTGAGTGATGTGGGAGCCATTTGAGAGTTTTGAGCAGAGGAGACATGAGTTCTGTTTTTACAGGATCACTTTGGCTCTTGTTTGGAGAATTTACTTCAGGGGAATTGAGAGCAAATTGCAGAGAGACCAGTTGGGAAGTTACTGGAATAATTGAAGTGAATGTTTATAATGGTTTGAACTAAGGTGGGACAGCAGAAGTGTCAGGATGAGGACACATTCTGGCTATATTTTACAGGTCAACCAATATGACTTGCTACAGATCAGATGTAGAAAGTGAGAGAAAAGAGGATTCAAGGAGCGCACCAAAATCTTTGGTCTGGGCAACTGAAAAAAATAGAGTTGCTGTTTACTGACATTGTGGAGATACCAAGAGAAGCGGGTTTGATAGGGGGTATCAGAAGATTTGTTGTGGAGGCCAGCCGCGGTGGCTCTCACACCTGTAATCCCAGCACTTTGGGAGGCTGAAACAGGCAGATCATTTGAGGTCAAGAGTTCAAGATCAGCCTGGCCAACATGGTGAAACCACATCTCTACTAAAAGCACAACAATTAGCCGGGCATGGTGGAGCACGCCTGTAATCCCAGCTACTTTGGAGGGTGAGGCATGAAAATCACTTGAAACCAGGAGGTGGAGGTTGCAGTGAGTGGAGATTGTACCACTGCACTCCAGCATGGGCATCCCTGAAGATTGTGATGGGGTACATGTTGAAATAGCCCTATGCTAAGGTAACCCTCCAGGTACAAAGCCAACAAATCTGTCTGCACCAGGCAAGATATAGATCAAATGTCCCAAAAATCCATGTGCAATCACCTGGAAGATGACAGGATGTGACAAGATCACTAACACATCCTGGAGGGAGAGCAGACACTGCAAGACCAAATTCAACAACCTCCTAGTCCAAGAAGACAGATGGAGTGAGACTCCGTCTGAAAAAAAAAAAAAAAGAGAGAGAGAGAGATTTGTTGTGGAAAAGAGATTTAAGATGCCTGTTAGACATCTAAGTGGAGACACGAGGTCAACTGTGAGATACACAAGCCTGGAGTTCAGGAGAGAAGCCTGCACTGAGATAGTTTTGAAGTTGTGAGCATGTAGAAGATATTTAAAGCTGAATGAGATAACCAAGGGAGCAAACATAGATAGAAAAGAGGTCAAGGGCTGTGCTCTGGCCCACTCCAACATTAAATTCAGGAAAGCTGGGAGCACCCAGCAAAGGAGACTGAGAAGGAGTAGCCAGCACGGTCAGCACGATCCAGATGTCTGTAGCTGTTATTGTCTGTTGTTGTTGTTGGTATTGTCACTGACTGCATCAATGCAGCACTGGTCCTCAGGTCAGAGGGGTGCTGTCTAAAGCTAAAACAGAGTGGTCAAAGGATCTGAAAATCAGAAATTGTCCCAGACAAATTTTGTCTTTAGACCAGAAGACCAGAACCAAAGAAACACAAACTCGGTATGTGATAAAAGCTGGTGCAAGAAGGAGAAAGGATCTTTCCAGGGAAAAGTAGAAACAGGAAGACATATTACCCATGTATAAAAGGGAAAAGAGGAAGAAGGGGGGAAGTCATACCACTTCCACCCCCTGCAGCCGCCCCCTTCCATCCAGCTGACTGACAGCATAACAGGAGACAATGAGAAGACAAGCATTTTTCAAACTGCTGTCTTCATTTTAAAAGATCAGCTATAATCATATAATTGGGTGCCTTGTTTGATGGAAGAATAAAAAGTCACATTTGACTGGGGCAAGAAATAATTAAAGAGGCCTTTTAGGAACGGTGTTTCATAACTAGCTGGCCCCTTTGACTTGTCCCCTGAAGGCACAGAGGAAATTGTGAATGTTTGCCAAAGGTGTGAGGGATTGTATTTAGATTCGCAGAGGATGGAAGACATCCCTGAAGATTGTGATGGGGTACATGTTGAAACAGTCATATGCTAAGGTAACCCTCCAGGTACAAAGCCAACAAATCTGTCTGCACCAGGCAAGATATAGATCAAATGTCCCAAAAATCCATGTGCAGACACCTGGAAGATGACAAGATGTGACAAGATCACTAACACATCCTGGAGGGGGACCAGAAACTGCAAGACCAAATTCAACAAACTCCTAGTCCAAGAAGACAGGAGGGAGATGACAGATAGCATGGATCTTAAATTACCTGATTCATGTTCTTGAACAAGTCACATGTTGTATATATATCAGAGAGCCACCTTTTATTGAGCACTCATGGACACTGAACTAAACTGCATAAACTCTCTTAGGAAGATAGTTCCAACTTAATAAGAGTATTCCAACAACAACATTGTGAGTGTATTTTGGCTTAGGAGGGGTCAACTGACCTGCCCAAGATCACCTAGCTATTAAGCAGCTAAGTTGGGCCTTGAGCCTGGGACTGGCTGTCTCTAAAGTACATACTCATAATCTTTACAACTGCCTCCTTTCTTGGGGTTTCCAGGCAATCATCTTCCTGTTCTCTCCCAGCCATGCTCCACCACCTTCTTTATGGCCACTCCTGCCCACTGAAGCCCTCACTGCCAGTAAGCCCTCAGCTCCTACATACCTCATGATCAAGGCACAATGATAGGCATATGATAGATGCTCAACAAACACTTCCCGAATTAAATATCTGGGATCAACTTGAATTGGATTCTCCAACATGAAGAGTGAGGAAGCTCAATCCCAAAAGATTGAACCAAAGCCATTGATGAGCACAGAGGAATGCTGAAGTGGGACACTTTTCCACAAGGCTCTGAGGAACACTGAAATAGAGCCACAGTTGCTCTTGGGCCATCACTGGTCTGCCAGCATCAGAAAACTGATTCATTAACTGTATGACAACCCCCATTCTGTCACCACTATTGTGTCAATACAGTGTCAAAGAAACAGGCCAAGTAAGTGTGTTGGGGTTGGGGGAATGATCACCGAGGCCCTCAGTGCAGTGGAGACAAACAAATCTCGCTTGTCTTATGTTTTATCCATTTTAACTCTTCTGTGATGTTGGGCAGGCATGACCCATGCAGAAATACTCTTTTGCTTTCTTGTCCTGAATATTGGGGGCTCACATCATAACCTAGGCATACCCTCTAGTCATGAACGTTTTTGTTTTAATGAGAAAGGAAGAATCCTGGAAAATTGTAAAGCTTCATCCAGAGGGTTTATAATCTCAACACAAGGCATATCAAACAGACTACACCTGTACCAAAGCCATATTCTCACAGCCAAAACCTAGACACATGGTTGGAAAAAAAGATTTTTAAACTACTTCCAGAACCAAGACACACCCTGGGGATGTAATATAAATGACACAATATAGATGACACAATGGACATTACAGTGATTTATGGAAACATGTGATAGCATATTTGAAATTGGAACAGTACCCATAAATCCAGGATATATACGGTCATGCCATCAAAACACAGACTATTGATGAAAGACATTTTGCCAAACCATCCTGCAGGCCTGGAGTTACAGCTCAAATTTTTTAACAATAGGTTTATGAAAAATCTTCAACCCTAAGTTAATAGACTGCTTATTAGAGCGATATTTTTGGACCTAAGTCTTACAAGTTGTCCAAAAATTCAATGGCATCCCATTCTGTGACACTGATTCTTCTTTCCTGAAGCTAACCAGTGGACAATGAGGCAACACCCAACATCTCAGCACCAAGGACAGAGCTCAGTTAATCAGGAAGTGATGTCCAGTTTCTCAACTCTGCAGTCAAGAAATTTTTGTTTTGTTTTTGTTTTTTGTTTTGAGACGGAGTCTCACTCTATCACCCAGGCTGGAGTGCAGTGGCGCAATCTCAGCTCACTGCAGCCTCCGCCCCCAGGGTTCTAGCAATTCTCTTGCCTCAGCCTCCCAAGTAGCTGGGATTACAGGTGCCCACCACCATGCCTGGCTAATTTTTGTATTTTTAGTAAAGACGGGGTTTCACCATATTGGCCAGGCTGGTCTCGAACTCCTGGCCTCAGGTTATCCACCCTCTTCAGCCTCCCAAAATGCTGGGATTACTGGTGTGAGCCACCACACCCAGCCATCGATAAATTTTTGTAAGTTCAAAATGAAACCACAGAATATTAGTGCTAAGGGCAAATGAATAACTCAACATTTTCATTTTACAGATAAGGAATCTGGGTCCCAAAGAAATCTAATGGGCTATTTAACATCCCAGAGCCAGGGCACTGGACCTCAGGCCTTCTAGCTCCCAGCTCTGCACTCTTTCTCTGTACCATATTGAGACCTGGAATCACATTGAGATCATTCCATTGCCCCTAAAGCTTCCCAGAGCTGTGAGGACTCAGTTCACATTAGGTGCCAAGAGTGAACATATTTTGGAGGAGGGAGAGAGGTAGAAAATACAAAGGAAAGAAATCTCCACGGCTCCCCAATCAGGAAAGCTTTTCTTATTACATTCTGGGAGTGTGACCAGTTGGAAAGACAGTGCAGGTAATGAAGCACAAATAAGTGGATTTCTCCTGCCAAGATCACAGCTTGAGAGAATGGATGGCAGAAGGGAAGCCCCAACCAGCCAAACCCAGGACTGAGGAACAGGGTTTACAGACCATTCCCCAATCCCAAATCTCAGCCAGCAGCACATGCTGAGACCCCAATGGGCATACACAGCACCAGGCTCTTGGTGCTAAACACAGGCATGGCACCTGCCCTGAGGATGTACTGAGGCTATTGGCTATTCCACAGTGAGAATGAATCTGTGGCTCTCCTGTGTGGAGGATTCAGGGGCTGTGTGAGTTTGGACAACTTATGTAAACTCTCTAAGCCTGAGTGTCCATGTCTATAAGGTAAGAAGGTTGGAGTAGATAGTCTTGAAAGACGCTTTCTGAAACAACATCCTAGTATTGTCTTTCTAAGTGAGATATAGAGGACTGGAAAGGTACCATTAGATAGCGTGTCTTTGAATATGTGGGTAAAGCTTAGTGCCTCCCCCCTCCAGTTTTTTTTACTAACCATGAGCAGTCACTCCCCTGATCTCACCCAAGACTTGCATATGCCTGGATAACAACATTAACCATAGAAATGCAAAGAAAGGTGGATATTAATTCAGAGGCTACATGAGGCCAGCTGGCTGGACATCAGAAAGCAGCTTTTATTCTGATGAGCTCGTTGCCAACAAGGTTTTAGCTCTCATCCTTGCAGACTCATAAACTCAAACTCTATCAGGATCCCGAATCAAATTTGATCAGATTTGGGAATACTGATGCACACTAACACGGCTGCGATGAAGACCAATAAATAAGACCAGAATGTCAATTAAATCACAAAGAGAAATATAACTGTCAAATGGATTGGAAACTTATTCAAGCTGATCACAATCTCTCCATGGGAGCCACATTATAGAAACATTGAAGAATTGACCAAGATGAGTTAATTAAAGCACTTGATTGCCTAATGCTATTGGGCTTTTCTAGCCTGCCATGTGCATGTTAGGGCTTACTCATCAACAGACTGGCTCCTCCTAACATTTGCCAGATGAGCTCCATCCAGACAGGAGTGAGATAGGCTCAGCTGATTTTACCTGACTAATTCTCCTTTCTTCTGCTTCAATTTCCAACTAATTTCTCTTCTGACTGATACAGTATTCGTGTATGTGTAAACCCTGTATTCATTTACCATTGAGTGTTTTTGGTCTTGTTCACATTCGCTTTCTTTTACCTTTGTGTCTCTGCTCTGATCCATCATATATTAATCATGTAGCTTGACTATTACCTTCTTGCCCAGTTTGGGAATTGGAGGACAGATATTATATCAGTTAGATATTGTAACATTACAGACCACCCCCAAACTCAGTGGTTAAAACCACAATCATTTATTTTTCATGCACCTGTAGGTCAGCTGATGTTGGCCAGGTTTGCTCCTATATCTGAGGGTCTGCTGGGAGTCAGCTGATCTATGCTACAAGGGAGGTTGAGAAATAAGGTCTTTCTTCTTGCAACTTTACGCCTAACCAAAAGTTATGGGGTTTTTTGCATTGTTTTGTCCTGTTAGATTTTTTTTTCTTGGAGACAGGGCATCGCTGTCAACAAGGCTGGATTTGAGTGCAGCAGCGCAATCATAGTTAACTGCAGCCTCAAACTCCTGGGTTCAAGCCTCCTGGGTAGCTGGGACTACAGGCATGCACCACTTTGCCCAGCTATGTTTTTTTGGATTTTTATAGAGAAGGAATCTCACTTTATTGCCCAGGCTGGTCTCAAACTCCTGGCTTCAGGCAGTCCTCTTGCCTCAGCCTCCCAAAGTGCTCGGATTACAGGCCCAAAAATTATGTTAATAAGAAAGAAAGGAGAACCAATACTTAGGGACAACAAGTCACATATACCATGAAGGGAATTTCAGTTTTGTCCTATAGCAGATGTTGAGTCACTGAAGAATTTTGAGGAGGGGAGTGACAGATCTGATTTGGATACTGGAATAACTCCATGGGCTGCTGTGTGGAGAAAAGACTGAAATAGATTACTAAATCTCTGGCCTCAGAAAAGACCCTAAATTAATAGTCTTTCCTACAGGGCAAGATGACCTTCTATGTAGCCATCGTTCTTCTCCCCTCTCCCTTCCCGCAGACTCAAACTGTCACTCTTGACAGTTTGAGTAAGGAATCAGTGTCCTGGCCCTGCTCAAGTGGGGCACTGCCAGTGCCGGGTTACCTAACAAAGTAAAGAGAGTGACCCAAATGGATCTGGGTTCTTCTGCCTATTCACAAAGACCTTGCAGGGCCCACCCAGAACAGGCAAGCAGTTCTCATATTGAACCATTGTCTACCAAGGGCCACCTTTGGGATGGGAAATACTGGATCAAGGGGTTTGCTTTGTGGGTCAAGGGGTGGGCAGGTGGGTGTGGGGTTGGCATCACTTGCTCACAGAATGTGGAGTGGGGACTTGTCCAACCCCCAACCCAGCCAAGTCAGCCATATTTAAAATAAATGTTAAGAAATGACTCAAGTTGTTGAGAACACTGTGGTTGTTTTTTTAATACTCTTCTACTTTTTTACAATTTTTCTATTGTGACTATGTATTTCTTTTTAGATAGGAGGAAAATAAAAAACAAAAGACTCAAAATACTGGCCTGATGCAGCTCTGATGGAAAGGAGGACCCCTGGCCAGAGAGGAAGATTCCTAAGGCTCATCAACCAACCACTGCAGGGAGCTTTCAGATTTAGAGGAGAAGCCCCACTCCCCCTACTAAACCTCTCCAACTGGAGCTGACAGTCTTTGCCATTGGCCTGTGAATGTTCCCTTCCTCCTATTGGTCAGCCTGGGGCCCTGACCCACCCCACACTCCAAAATTCTGTTAATTTCATCCAGCATTGTTCAGGTGGCTCCTGTGCACCAGGCCGTGAGGATACAAAGATGACTAAGCCTTGGCCGGCATCCTGGAGGAGCTCACACGGAGAGACCTATTAGGACTGGCCTGCACTAGCGGTAGGAATCTGGCTGGAGCTGAACGTTCACACTCTTTTGGCAGATGGAGATGGAGGGTTCCAGGCCAGAAGGGAACGCCTGCAGCGACAGAGCTGAGAAGGGAGCTCGGATTTTATGTGACCACCCCCACCTCCTGGGAGAAGCCAAACTACAGAAACAGAGTCCTGGCCTTGCCCTGAGGACAAAGACCCAAAATGTGCCTGTACCTAAAGCACCCTCCCCTTTCCACCATAGGACTCAGGGGCGGGAGGGAGGGAGGGGGCTGCCTCCAACCTTGCTCACTGCTCCGTTGTTAGAAGAGGGATCTACAAATGACGGAGGCAAGGGTTTGCCCTGCATGACTGCTGGACTGTGTGGGCATTTTTCATTACCAGGCTCCTTCAAGATGCTGATGAGAATACACCCCCATAATTACACCCCTCCCCATCTTACAGCTTCCTCAGGGATGGGTCTCCCCATCCCCATCCTGTCACTCTTGACAGGTTGCCATGTGGTCAGTGGGTTTCTTTGTGAGGGTCAGAGAGGGAGGCCTGGGCCTGCTGAGAGGACTGAGCTCCCATCTGCCTTCATCAGACTGGAAACTGAGCCATTCAGAACCTCATCCAATGTGTTTTTTTCCAACCCAGTTTGATTAAAGTCAGTATCACCTGAAACCCAAGACTAATGTATGTCGACAAGGACTCCCAGGTGGCCCCCTCGGCCAGGACAACTCTCCCTCCCTGCAGCCCTTTGGAAACAAACTCAACAGGCAGGAGGCGCCATTACCACGGGGCCAGGAGCCGGGCCCTTGCTGAGTGAGACCGAGACGCCACTCTGGAAAGTCTCAGGGCATCAATATTTCATGCCGCTGGAGCTGTCTTTGTTTTTATGCAAATTGCTCAGGCTGCCAGATGGGCAAAGGCTGGCAGCGTCATCCATCACCAGGCTGTTCCCTCGTCAGCAACCTCACCGGCTGCCAGGGCCCTGCAGGCTGGCCTCAGCTGCGGCCCGTCCTCTCAGTCGGTCTGCACAGCGGGACACAGCCCCATCCTAGACACTGTGGGAGACGCAGGGGAAGCCAGAGTCCTTGCTCCAGGGGACTCACAGATGGACGACTCATAATGAGATAGGAGGCAGCTCGTCACTTCAGTGTGAATCTGCATACCTTTCATTTTAACCCACAAACCTCCACCTGTGTGGAGGGCATAGCAGGGTATGATCCCCCAGTTTACAGATGGAAAATCAAGGCTCAGAGAGGCTAAAAGAATTACCAGAGGTTACCCAGCAAGTTGAGTAGTATAGCTGGTCCAGGATGCACTCCAGTACTCCAAGGTCTCATCTCTCACCTAATTCTGCTGTGAACTGTGATCTCTGCCCAATAGGGCCCTGCTGGACTGAATGAGTCAATCTGAGACAGAGGGGCTGGGATCAGAAGGCCCTGCCCCTTCTTTCTCAGCCTGCCTATGGTCTGCATGATTCCCAGGGTCTGTGGCTTCCTTTCCCCATAGCTGGACTGCCTGACCCTAGTAGCACCTCAGTCAGGCACAACTAACCATTCCCTGGTTCCCAGGGCCTGAGCCCACATCTGGAAAGCCAGCCAGTGGCTGGTTCCTCCTGCAGGAGGCTTAGGGCTCTGCTTTGCCCTTGCCAGTGACTGCCCATCAGGATCTAGTATGAGAGATACCCCAGTGTTGATGCCTGGTTGTTCCATTATGCCAGGACTCCATGGGGTCTCTGGGCTCTGCCATGTGGGAATACCTTGCTACCTGTGCCCAGCCTCCAGCACTGCCTTCTTAGCTGAAGCTGCACACCTTTCAGATTCCTCAGTGTGATACCCTTCCTAAAACTACTGCCAGCCTATCCCAACCCCATCAGTGGGTTCAGTCCCACCAGCCTGCTCCAGTCTACCCCTTCTGCACCAGTCTCCCTGACCATACAGGGACAAGGCCTCAGTCACAGCACTCAGTTCAGCCTGGTCCATCCCATATCGCCAGAATTCCAGGTTAGTAATGATGATAGGAGTGACACACAGTGGAGGACTCTCCAAGGACAAAGCCATACATCCCAGGAGTAGAGCCTGCAGGGATTGGCCAATTCCCCTGTGATGTCACTAGGCTGCAGCCAGCTAAGCCAAAGGCTGCTGTAGAACAGCCCTGCCAAGGGAAATCAGAAGACCTGCCAGTAACTCACTTGGGTGACCTTGGGCAAATCACAGTCCTCTGTACCTGTACAAGTCAGGAGTAGGATCAGCAGCTTCTGAGGCCCTACTAAGACTCTGCATCCATGGGCCAGTGGTCACTATTCCTAATTGCTCTCTTCCCCCTTTTACCTCTCCCCTAGGACATAGCGAGAGTGGGATGCCATAAATGACTGAAGTCAAGGTTGTAATGGTCCAGCAACATTTGCAGAATCCTGAAATGGTGCACAGAATCCTGAAATGGACAATCACCTGGAAGCACTGCTGTAGAGGGACTTCCGCATTGAGAGGGGACTGGAGCCAACTACTCCCAACACCTCCTTTCCAGAATTCCAAGTCTCAGGTTCTGTTCCTCCTAGAGAAACCAGGAGCAAAGTTCCATGGGCCATGTCCTGTGACTGCATGGGTTCATTTCACTCTTGCATCACAACACTCTAGCAAAGTAGACAGCAAACTCCCCTTTTGAGTTGAGGAATTGAGACTCAGAAAGGTTAAGAAATGCACCAGGGCCACAGAACTTTGGTCTGTCTGAGTCTAAAGCAACTCTCCATTATACAATGTTGTGTTGAAGGGTTCCTGATGTCGTGTAGGCCAGAGCCTTCAAGCTTGGAGTTTGCCAGATAAACCTGGCTGACACTCACATCCCTGCCTTCTTTTGCACGTGCCTGGAAGGCTCTTCTCCATATCCTTCTTCCACTCTACAAACAAATCTCTTCTCTGCTTTGGGAGATTCCATTTATTCTATATGACTCAGCTCCAGCTGCTCCTGAGAGATAAGATCTTCCCCTCTTCCCTTTGCTTAGCTCCATCCTCCACCCCAGTTGAAGTGCACCCTCCTCTGTGATCCCATAGCAAATACTTCTATTAGTTTCCTGTTTATTTCACAGCTCTGTTTATTGAAAGCTTGCCAGGCAGTAGGCTTAGAGCTAGGTGCATATACATGCGATATTCATCCAGTCCCCTCAGCATTCTAAGAGGTGGCTCTTGATATTTCCATCTGACAGTCCTAGATCTACATGTCTTTTTGCTTTTTGTTCCCCTCTCTCCCAACTACATCTCTGTCTTCAACACTGAGCACAGTGCCGGAGTATACATTAGCAATCATGTGCTTGTATGAAGAGAATCTGCTTGCACCACTAATGTCCTCAGGTGCTGGGAGACAGTTTGGAGCGGGTCCACGCTGACCTGGGGCAGTGAAAATGAATCTGCGACCCTGAGCATTCAGGCCTGATGGCAGTTTGTTCCCTGACCTTGCAGAAAACAGCTTCTTGTTCACCTGCCCCTTTTGACTCACTCTCTCCCTGCCTTTGGGTAGCCTCTCTCTCTCTCCTTTCCAAGTCTAGTCCCAGCTCGTGCTGTTGGGGTGATTGAAGGGTCCCTGAGGTGTACACAGCCCTGCTCATCCTTTTGCCCCAGCAACCGGAGGACAGGAGCTTGGGTCAGAAGGGCAAGCCTAGTCCGAAGCCTGAGAGGCCCCAGGATCTGATAGGGGAGTTCGTTTTTCATGGCTTAGTGTCCAATTGGTCAGGTAGAGGCCCTGGGCCTTTGGCCCTGCTCCAGAGCTGATGTTGGTAAAAGACCCAGAGGTCAGAGTAGAGAGCAAGGAGATCAGTTTCTTGAGCAGGGACCAAATTGGGCTGTGTCACTTGGCCTGCATGCTGGAGAGAAGGGGGCCAGAAGATATATCCAGTGGGGTCAGAGCAACTGGACCTCTACTAGGCAGCATTGGAAACATTAACAACTATAGCCACTAAGGACCAGACTGCTGTGGAGAGCTAGGGAGGTCGAAGGAGCAGGGAATAAAGGGACCTAGCAGTCGGGGTTCAGGGCCCTGCCCCACCCCTAATTCAAGCAGAGCAGCTTCTCTTTTGTTAGTTTTATTTCAGATTTTCATGCAAAATTTCCTTGGAATAAAGAATAATAATGATGATGGTGGTGATGATGATGATGATGATAAGAACTCCCCCTGCCTTGGATTGTAAATGCCCTGGGTCTCAAACCTCAGCTCCTTTTTCATCCTTGGTCATCCAGCCTCAGGCTTAGCCAGGTGAGGAAGCTAGCAGCGGGCACCCCAGTCAGTGAACAGACCACACTATCAGTTTTCACCCGGTTGTGGCCTGTATGGATGCTACCTAACCTAGAGGCCTCTCTTGCTGAGAACCTCACACTCCAGTCATAAGAGACTCGCTCCTCTGGCCTGCCATTGCACTCAAAAATCCTCCTCTCTTAAGCCTGGAACCCTGACTTTGAAAAAAAAATCTTCCTCTCCTTGAATGCCTTTATCACCTGCACCTTTTTCCTTAGCCTGGAGTACTTTTCCTTCAGCTCAAATGCCACATCCTGGGGAAGCTCTCACCGACCCTTAGGCAGGGTTAGCCCCCCACCCACTATACTCACTGCTGCCCTGCCCATGGTACACACCTTTTAACACAGTTTAGATTCACATTTTGGCACTGCCATCTCAGGAGCTCCCTGACCTTGAGCAAACCTCCCTCCCTGGTGACTCAGTTTCCCCATCTGTAAAATTGAGATCATCATAATACCCGCTCCTATTGTTGGGGAGTTTAAATGAAGTCACATAAGTAAAGCACTAGGCTCTGTACCTGGCACATTTTACATGCTCAAAAAATGTTAGCTGCTATGAATATTGTTATTCAGTGAATTTTGGTAACCAATTTTGGGCTCTGTTTCCTGCACCTTTTCCCTGTCATGGCTTTAGCACACACAGCTCAAATGCATTTGCATTTTCTTCTCAATTGACTCTTCTGACAAGGATGGCAGGTTCCTGTGACAATAAGAGTAGAGAAGCAACGTCAGGAAGAGGAAAAGAAAGGAGAAAAGTGGGGTTTTTTCTAACCATAGAAAGCCTTCTCACCCTGCCTTATGGCACTGTGTTATTAAGCTGCGATCCCCACCAGTGCCTGCCGTCTTTGGTCAGGGAGCACAGACCTCTCTGAGAGCATCCTAGCCATCTTCCTGCACACAGCAGGATGCAGTTAGGTCCCCCTACCCTGCGGTCCCTGGAGCTTGTCTGATCTCCTCATGGTGAGTGTGCCGTTCATTGCCTTCTTGTTGGGCTGCCTTCTGGACCATAAGCACCTCAAAGGCATCTGCATTTGTTCCCCCTATAACCCAAGCACCCAGCAGTTTCTTTGCCCAAAAACTGGTTGTTGATTAATCGGAAAATTAACCAATTAATAAGTCACTGGAGGTGCTGAGAATCCTAGGGCCCCTACTCCTCATTTCTCTTGGATTTAGGTCTCTGGAGCTACTTCTCAGAGCCTCCAAGATAAGAGCAGCTGAGCCCCAGCCAGGTTGAGCCCAGCTACCCGGATGAAAAGGAGGTACCCTGAGCCACTACCCAGGTGAGCCACTCCTGTACCAGGACTCAGAGCTGGGAGAAAGGAAGGGTACCCAGGCACCAAATGGAATGATGTACAAAGTCTGTCAGGAGCCTGGGTTAGAGTGGTGAGGACTGTTTGCTCTCTGTGTTTATTCACAGCTGGAACTGACACTACAGTGCCCACCAGCGGCAGCTCAGCTGCCCTGGCATCTGGAGCCAGGTGTGAGCCAGGTGTTCACATCTCTCCCAGGCCCAAACAAACCCCTTAGATGCCAGGAAGCTGGACAAGGCCTTTTCTCTGGCCACAGCTATGCTCCAGGATGGCAGCCTGGAGGTCAAAGGTAATGACTAGCTGATAAACCTTGACAGTTATCTTGTAAAGGACGATATACCACTGGCTCAAAGGAAAACAATTTTTAGCTGTGGTTATTTACAAAGCACCCCCACCAATTTCTGTTTGTCTCTAGGGTTCCTGTGCATGTCCACCTGTTTTCTCCTCAACAAAACAAAACAAAAAACTTCCCAAGAACCCAAGAGCATCCTGGTGGGATTCTGGAAGATTGGGCCAATCCAAGATTCTTTGCAGATGCTGGACATTTAACTCTATCAAACTGGTAGGAGTCATTCCACTCCTACATATTTGCTCAAAGGAAATGAAAGCATAACCCCACACAAAGACTAAGGCATGAATGTTCACGGCAGCTTTCCAAAAACTGCAACCAACCCAAAAGTCCAGCAGCAAATGAAAAGATAAACAACTTGTGTTATATCCATTCAGTGGAATACTACACAACAATAAAAAGGAATGAACTATTGATACATTCAACAACATTAATGAATCATAAAATATTTCTTCTGAATGAAAGGTACCAGACAAAAAAAGAATACATGCTGTATGATTCCACTCATATAAAATCCTAGAAAATTTTATCCAATCTGTAGAAAGCAGATCTGTAGTGAACTGAGAATTGGAATGAGGGAGAAGTGACAGGTATTATAAAGGGACTTGAGAAAGCTTTTCAGGGTGATAGGGATGTCCACTGTCTTGATTGGTGTGGTGGCTTCATGGGTATATACTTATGTCAAAACTTATCAAATTGTACACTTTTAATATGTACAGTTTATTGTATGTCAATTTTATCTAAGTAAAGCTATTCCTACAAATCAGGTCGGAGTAACAATTGCAAAGTTATGTCCAGGGCACAGCCTCAGTTATGCCAATGGGTTCCACTCTGTATCCCAGCACCCAGCACAGTGCCAGGCACACAGGGGCACAACAAATGTTGCTGAACCTAGTAAATAAATCGATATTGTCCTATTTGACTCATTTGGCCCAGGAGAAACCTTTCCTCCTGGCTTGATCACATCCACTGAGATGTCTGAAGAGCACTCACAGCTTTAGGATGATTAAACGGATCCATGTTAACTACCTAAGCGGAACTGTGAGCAGAGTGCACCTCAACCCACTGCTTCTTCCTCCCTTCTTCTCCTGCTGGCAGCCCCTTCAGATGCTCACTCCTCAGAGAACCCCAATATAGGTCCCAAGCAAAGAGGTAACCTAGATCAGTGCCAGAACTCTCTCTCCCCTGGCACATACATGTCCCTGCTAAGAAGGGCCTCCCTGGGGCAAGGAAGACAGGCACAGTCCCTGGGCACAGCCTCCTGCCTCTGGGCAGTGGCAGTGTGCCAGGCGTTCTGGCTCCCTTGCCCCTGGGATCTAGTCTCTTATCCACCCCTCATAGGACATGACCAACCAAGTAACCCTGAGGGGGAAGCAACAGCAAACAGGAGTCACAAGAGGGGAAAAAAAAAAAAAAAAAGAGAAAGACCAAGGGAGCAGGGAGGGCATTGCTCACGGGAAGACAGTGCACCATTTACTAATGGACTCATCAGCTATTGATAGGAAAGGCCTTTGTGCCACCCTATTGCCTGGCCTGGGGAGCTGTGCTGTGATGGGATCTGAGCAATCATGGTGGGCCACAAACAATTCCTGAGCCAGAATTTAGACCTCAACTCAAGGAATTAGTGGGGTGGTCACCAGGCTTTCTGGGGTACTACCCCTTCTCTAAGACAGAGGCTGCCCTGTGCATAGGAAAATGGGCTGGGAACAGCAAAAGTTTCCTTCATGAGGAACAGCAAAATGTTTCTCATCCCAACATGGCCCAAAACACCTGCCATTAGAGCCCCTTCTGCAGAAAAGGCACTGTGCATCTCCAGGTTCCCGAGAAAAAACCCACAATTTCCATGGGATCAGCTGATCCTCACCCAGCAGCTGCAGGGCCCTGGGACGCCAGACTGGATAGTTTTACAAAGGAAATAAGGGGAAGGGATGGGGTCTGATGATAGAGCAGTACCAGAGGAAGAGCCCCAGGGCTACCCAGTGAGGAGCAGGGAGCTCTTAACACATGGGGAGGCCCTGAAGGTGCAGCCTGTGCTCCCCAAAGACAGTTTTACCTATTTTTAATAGCAACATTTGTCCCTAAATCTCTTCAGCACTTTATAGTTTACAAAGCACTTTAAGTCCATTATCTAATAATGGTCTCTTGACTATGAAAGTAGACGGAGAACATATAGAGGTCATTGACTCAAAAATATGACAGCTATGTTTACCGAGTGATTTCACCAGGCCAGGCATTGTTCTAAGTGTTTTATATGTATTAATTCAGTTAAACCTCACACAACACTTTGAGGGATGTACTATTATTCTCATTCCCACTTTATAGATAAGAAAATGGAGCCTCAGAGAGGTTAGGTAATTTGTCCAAGGTCATGCAGCTAGTAGCTGAGCCTGGATCTGGACCCAGACAATCACCTCCAGAGCCTATGTGCTGAACCATTGTGCTGTACTGCCACAGAGAGATTAAGGGATGTGCTCAAGGTCACCAGCAATTAAATGCTATAAACTCAATGCCAGGTCTTCTAGCTCTCATACAGTCTTATCCCACCTCTCTGCCTCGCCTTCATACTATCACCCAAATACACCCCCTCAGGATGGTAAGGTCAGACAGCCGGGGCAGTGTCCTTCCTCTCCACCCCCAAGGATCTGGGACACAGGACTAGACAGTTTTATGAAGGAAGTAAGTGGGGAGGGGTCCTCTCCCTGAGGAGGGAGCCCTTCCCAACATTGTCTCTCCTCCAGGCCGCAGCCCTCCCAGGGAACCGGAAGGGGTCTGGCTAGAGTTGGAGAAAGCTCTGTATATCAGCTCAGTCAGGCCAAGGTTCCAGCCCTCAGGTCCCATGGGACTGAACCAAGCATCCTTTTTTATCCTCTACCCTGACCCTTCCCGCAGCAGGTGGGCGGAGGCCCATCGTAAACTCTTCAGTGCCAGGCAGGGGCCAGTCACTGAGGAGACCAGGAAAGCGATGCCTGACTTGATCAGCCAGTCACGCAAGGTCTCCTATGAGCAGGGGTAATGATTGGGAGACACAAGCCCACCACCACCACCACCCTCTGCTGCCTGCATGTTATCACTGGCTTTAGGAAACACCCTTAGTCAGTAGCTAACTCAAACCCTGAGTGCATCAGTATCTGACCTGTGCACCTTAAGCCCTGACGTTGGAGGTTGTACTTTCCTGAGTTCACTTTGCCCAGTTGTCCCTGGAGCCCTGCCACCCTGTATCCTGCCCACTGACCACGACTGGATCCTCTCTCCAGCTTCCTCCAGAGACAGAGACAGCCAGGGAGATCCTGTTTCACAGAAGGATAGGATTTCTGAATCCCAGGCACCAGCTGGGCAGGCTCCTTCTTGCCAATCCTCCTCTTTACCTCGAGAACAGCAGATTCCCCATGGAGAGCTGACCCAGCCAGAGCACCCATGGCTCACTCAGGCTGAAGAAGACACACCTTCCCTTCTATTGCTCCTGCTGGTGAGTTCTTGGACACGTTTTTTTTCCTTTGCCCCACACTTCAATCTCCGCACCTGGATCTTAACCACCATATCTAAGGGCCCCAAATATCTTTCTCCTGGAGTTCCTGGAGCATCCTGCAGAAATTTGATTGCATGCATGGCAATAAGCAAACGCTAGCCAGATCGGCTCATCTCCCAGCACACTCTCAGGGAGACACATTATTCTACAGCCCACATTCCTAGTTTAGTCCTGAGCCTTCTAAGAACACCAGTTTCAGTTCCCCACCTATGTCTGGACTTTGTCTTTCCACAAGAAGAAAGCAGAGCTGCCCCCACAACCGCAAGCACCATGCCCCTTTCTGCTCCAGAAATTCTGGAGCCTTCTTGGGATTTAAGGAGGCCCACTATCAGTCCTCTGCTCAAAGCCCCATGTAAGACCCAACAGAAGAACAGGCTTAGAAGCCAACAGCAGAACTTTAGCCAGGAGAATAGAGAATGGCCTCCATGGTATTTTGTCAGGCACACAGGCAGCCTCACTGCCCACCCCACCCACCACAGGCAAATGCCTGCAATTCCACCATGGATGCTTTGTTCTGTAGCTCATGCCTTTGTGCACCAATCAATGAATTATTCGACAAATATTTTCAGATGTTCTTCTATGTGCAAGGCAACATATTAGGTACTGGGGTGATACAAAGATATGAATCTTTCCCCCAAATCTCTCTGTACTCATTATTATTTCCCCCACTTTATGGATGAGGAATTGAGACACAAAGAGGTTAAGCAGCATGCTCAAGCTCATGCAGCTTAATTAATCCTGGAACGTAGCTACAGTGTAGTTCTTAAGGGAGGTAACCCCAAGAAAATAACTCAAGATTGGGGTGCTCACAATAAAGGAGAGGCTGGCATTTGGCATTTTATTGGTCAGTGTCAACACTTAGCCACAGGGCTTGCTTGCCTCACCCTGGGCTGGCTGTTCAGGGAAAGAAAGGCAAGGAAGAAAGTATGGTGGGCAACAGCCAGGTGGAGTAGGGGCCAAGTCCACTCCCCACTCCAGTTCCCTGGTGGATGCTACATGTGTCCACAGATGCTAAAGTTGGCTGCAGACAGCAGATGAGGCCAAGGTCCCACCACAACCTGGGAGACAGAGACACACACAGGATGTGTGCCAGGCTGGGTGTGGAGGGAATCACTGGAAGCCTTTCGCAGGAGTGACTTAACCCACCCTGGCTGTGCGGAGGAGCACTCTGGTAGCCACATAGGGAGGACAAAAAGAACTGAGGAGGCCATGGCAGCAATCCAGGCAAGGAGTGACATCTGCACAATGGCTGGCAACAGGACGGAGAAAGGGGAGAGGTGGGGCAGAGATGGGACCTCATGGAGGCAGATCCCACAGGTTTTGGAAACTGATGGGTGTGAAGGTCTGGGAGAAAGAGGCCTTTACCTGAGCAGAGAACCAGACCAGGGCACACCCTGGGGACAGGAGAAGACACTGTGAGCTCAGATAATCACAGGGGCGCCAAAGGAAGGCTCCACTTATGCTTTCACAGCCTGGCCCAGGCAAGGCAGCTGTTCCCCAGGGCAGCCAGGCCTGGGCTCCTACACACACTGTAACCAGCTTTTACATCGTGCTCGCCATGTGTCTGGTGCTGTTGTGTTTTACATTCACCCCTTTAATTATCTTGACAGCCCTATGATATAGGTATTCTCATTTTACAGATGAAGAAACTGAGGCACAAAGATTAAGTGTCTTGCACAGGGCCACAGGACTAGCTGGTTATAGAGCTGATATTGCAAACCCTGCTGTCTCCAGAGTCAATGTTTGTTAACACCGTGCTAAATAAACTGCCTCCTGGGAGGGTGAAGGGAGGATGTTGGGAAGGGATGAGGCAAGTTTAGGTAAATTTATCAGTGGTGAATTGCAGCATGTTATTGAGAAAAATCAGAGAAGCACCTTGGTTCAGAAAGGCTCCTCATCAGTGGGCAAACCTGGCTCAGGGCTGGTGAATCTATCCCCTGTGTTTTCATGAGCATTCTGACATCTGTTATCTCACATGGGCTTCAGACCTATTCATTCAACACAGATGTTTTTAAGAACCTTCCATACAGAGTATCAGGGGATAGTCTGCAGGGCAGATGTTTCCATGACTGTTTTAAAGATGAAGGAACTAAGATCTAGCAAGCTAACGTGACTCCCCTAAAGCTACACAGCCGGCAAGAAGCAGAGGCAAACCTGAACTCATGTCCACAGACTCCACATCCCATGCTCTCCAGCTGATAAACTGGCTTCATGAAAACTGGTGGCTGAGGGCCAGGTGGCAAGAGTGGAGTGTTAATTAGAAATGTCCCCTACCTTACAGTTTCATCTAAAATAATTCCTTCTTACATTCCTGGGAATGGGTAAAAACAAACCCATATTTCAGGGGATGGGAAGGAGAGGTTTCACAGGAACAAAAACCCCAGCACACTACTGCTAATCTGCCCTTCCCCATCCCATACCCCACAGCTGAGCTGAGCTGGTCAAGAAGGAAGCTTGGTGGGGCTCTGTCGAAGCCCCCTCAGGGAGCAGCAGCTGGATACAGGGTGAGAGGCTGAAACTGGGACCTAGTTGAGGACAGGGCATGGTGAGTGTATGGAGAGTGTTCAGCTCAGCCCCAGCTCTCTGCAGTGTCCCTCCTGGCTCCACACCTCCCCAAGGACCTGCTTAGCAAGGCTGACACCCAGAACTCTGCAGAAGGCCAGCCCAAAACTGCAATGAGCTTCCCACTTTCCAAAGTCCGAAGGGTAAATACCCACGATAGACTTGAGCAGAAGCTGCATTGCTGAAGGTGCAGGTACTGATGGAACCAGCCCCTCAGCTACCAACCACCATGTATAGACAGAACCTGTAGGAAGTTCTTCAGGCTTCCAGACCCATTACTTCTTTGTTGTCTCTCCCAGTATCCAGAAACTGCATTTATTACCATCAGAGGCAGATGCTCCCTTCTCTCCAGAGCAAACAAGAAGGCAATATGGGGACTTGATGGTGCACAAAATCAAGAGGTCCAGGAAAAAGAACCCAGGAGTCCTGCCTCCCAGTTGGCTTCCAGAGCAAAAGTATTTCACCCAGTGTTGGGAGGCAGCTGTTCCAGTCTCCATGGTTCATAGCAGTTAAATTGTAAGCTCTTACATTCCTGCAGGAATGAATTCTTCCGTGATTGTTCTTTTCAGCATCGCTGCTGCTGCTCGGGTTTTAAATGAAAGAACTCTTGCTTGCATCATTTCATCCCTTTAGGAAGATAGATTTGTCCTTGAGCAGTCCCTGCAGGGAGAGAGACAGACTGCCCACACTGTGCCCATCGACACTCTAACAAGGAAGAGAGTCACGTGACCAGCTTTCTGTGCCCCCTCCAGCCCTCCTTGTCTTCTTTCAATTGCTCCAAGTAACAGAACATTCTCCTGTTCTGAGAGGCAGAGAGACTAGATGGGAGAAGGGGGTGTCAGGGCACACCTGGAACAGAAACATCTGTGCAACGTGGGTGGTACTGGGGAGTGCAAATTTGTGCATGGGAACCCTCTCATGCGTGCCTGCATATTTACGCCAGCACGTGTCTATCTCTGTCTTCAGGTATCTTGGTAATTGTATGTGCAGCATGGATATGTCCGTGACTGTGTGAGAAGACTCACATAGCCATGCTGGTGTGTGCCTGAGTGTGTCTGTTGTGGCTATTTGTGTGTCTGTATGTTTGTGTTGCATGTGTGTCTCCATGTCTCTGTGTATGTGTGTGGGCACTGCCCCTGGCTGAATGACAGTAGGCCACACGTGGTAGTGGATCTGCTGTTGTGGGACTGTGACAGAAACGTGAGTTTGAGTCACAGCTTTATAACGTAGTGACTGAAGGACTGTGAGCCAATCACACAGCTTTCTGGACCTCAGTTGTCTTATTTGCTAAATGGGGGTAATAATCGCCACCTTCCTTAGGGCGCATCGTGAGGCTCACATCCTGTGTGGAACTGTGTGGTCAGCAGGAGTGTAGGTAACCGAGTGACCACCTCACCCCTCACAGCAGGACAGGAGGAAGCAGCTTCACCACAGACAGAGGGGCTTAGAGCACGGGCCGTACAAGTTCTACCCAGCCTCTGATGGCCCAGGCACATCGGTCCCCGAGGCCTTCCCCTTACTGACCATGCCTGTCCCAGCAGGCTCAGCATCAGCATGGACAGCCTCTGAAAGGGCCTGGCTGCCATACTAGTAAGGGTGAAACTCACCCATTTTACCGTTGGCAGGACAGGAAAAGGAGGAATGGCCATCCCCACCCCCATGGTCCCTGACCGGGCCCAACTGATAGCAGCTGCCAGCATTTGCTGAGTGCCTACTGCACGCTGCGTGCTTTCTATGTGACATCACTTTCCCACCACACCCTTTCCAGGGAGGTGCTAGCAAGGCTACTGTAAAGACGAAGAACCCTAAGTGAAGGGAGCATAAGTAACTTGTTCTCTGTCACGCAGACACTAAGTGGCCAAGCCAGGATTGGGAGCTGGCCCTCCTGTCTGCCCCCAGAGCCTGTGCTCCTGACCAGGATGGAGAGCCTGCCTCAGGCTGGATGAGGGGCAGCCCCCACACCCAGCCTGCTGACCTCCCCACTGAATTCAGGTCTCCTGACGGACGCTGCTCTCAGTTTCCAGCTCTACCCTTTCCATGGCCCTAAGGCTGACATCGCCACCTCTGCTTTCCACTCAGAAAGGCTGGAGGAGCTGGGCACTCGAGGGACCAGAGGGGCTACAGTGAGCAGCAGAGCCAGCGAGTCTTGCCTAAGACCCCATCTTACCATTCCCTGGTTGGGGAAACTGAGGTTCTTGGAGAGTGAGGCAACATAATCCCGACCACGTGAGACAGAGAGGTACAGAATCCACACTCTTCCGGCCGGGCCGTGGTTCAGCATGAGCCGAAGAGATGGGGCTTGGCTCTAAGAGGGGCAGAGACCAGAAAGGGTGAGGTTTGAGAGCCACTCACTGGGGAGAATCTGCAAGACCTGAGGCCTGGCCGACCCTAAAGTGAAAGAAAAGCGGCATCAAAGAGGTAAGTAAAGGGTCCTCGGAATGGCCCAGGGATTGCTTCCAGCAGGACAGCAGCGCCCTCTTCTGTCCAGTCACAAGAGGTGTCACGGTTTGCGTTTCACCCCCACCTTCCTTCAGTCCTTCACTCATTTGCTCAAGGACCGGAGAGCCAGGCCCACCTGCCCACCCCCTCATCCTCCTACCTGCTTCCAGCCCTGCGACATCTGAGCTCCCTGTCACCGGGGCCTTGGGGCCCTGAGATGCAGTACACACTGTTGTCTTTGCATGATTACTTATTTCAACCATTCTCTGACTAAGGAACAGCTGCTGCCTCACCTGAATGTGTAGGAGGTGTTGGAGTTGCTAGGCAACCAAAGTTGACCCATGGGGAAAGGCCATGGAATGGGTTCTGGATACTGCCTGCTTGGTATAGCTCTGTGACCTTGAAAAGCCAGGTCCACAGCCCTGACATTAGCCACAGATGTCTGCAGGTCTGTTCTGGGAGAAGCACAGGGCTGAGCCCCTCCCCATGCCCTGCCTGCAGGAAGTGCCTGGTCCAGTCAGAGAAGAGGTTACCTGAACCATAAAGCCTCATCCTCAGTCTGGCTGCCAACATGAAGAGCTACAGGGCTCAGGAGGGGCAGTTGGGATGGCTGAGGTCTGTGTCACGTGGGCAGGGAAAGCTTCCCAAAAAAGATCAGCTCCCATCTATGGGATGCCTACTGCATGCCAGGCAAAGTTCTATACACTATCTCATTCTTTCCCCCAAGAATCCAAAAGAAAGGTATGATTAGACCCAGTTAGAGGGGAAGAAAGCAGAGTTCACAGAGGTGGTGATGTGCCTAAGGTCACATACCTAGTGGGTAAAAAGATGGGATTCAAACCCAAGCCTGTCTGGCTGTTAGGGAAGGGCAATGAGCAGAGGTCAGAAGATGGGAAAGCATAGGGGTCTCCGGGACAGTGAGGGGGCCAGCCTGTTCCCACATGCCAGATGCTGAGGGACCCAAAGATGACAAAGTTCTAGGAGATAAAACATGAATCAAATAAAATGCCGAGAAGGAAATGTAGACAACTTCCAGGGGGTGCTCAGAAGGGCAAGAGTGCCTTCACCTGGAGTCCTTAGAGAAAGCTTCACCTTCAGGTGAGGTTAGAAGTGAAGTATGCAGGTGGCAGGACCTGCCCACATGGTGGCCTGGAGGGAGGAAAGTACAAGTATGTTCAGCAAGGAAAAGAGATCTGTTTCAGCCAGGTGCACTGTCTCAGCACTGTGCCAGGCAAGCACAGAGATTACATGTAGAATCGGACGTTATGGAAGACTCTTGAACGTCATGATCATTTCAGCTATGGGTGAGAGTTCAGCCTGGTGTAATGGCAATTCCATCAAGGCCCTGGATCACTGGGCAGATCAAAAGATCTAAGACTCAAAGGGTGTCACGCAGAGCAGACTCCAGGCCCCTGCCTGTTGCAATGGGAGCCAGTCCCCAAATAACCCCAGCTCTGAAGTTACAGCTTCATCAAGTGACTCACCCCACCCAAGGCGTCCGTCTCCTTCCAGAGTGTGGGACAGAGTGGGGGCAGCCCAGACTGTGAGTCCAAGGGGCAGAAACAACTCTGATCTTGACTCTTATGAAATACTAATTATAGTACAAAAGCCTATTGAAAGAGTGAAACCCTTCCAGAGAAGCAGATATTTTCCAGTGCAAATAGAGGCTTCTCTCCCACCACTAAACAGACAAAATGCCCAGCACCAAGCTGAGAGAGCCAGCCTGCCATGGCCCGGGGCGTCCTTGACATTGTGCACATCTCTGAGAGAGGGTAAAGTGCCCACAGCCTGATCTGCAGGGATACAGCACTGCTGGGTGGTCTCTGGGCACCAAGACTGACCCTGGGCTCCAGGGTACATTCATTCTTTCTAAACAGTTTTCTGAGCTCTTGCAACATGAGCAGACATGGTGCTGGGCACCGTAGTGAGCACTATGCAAGAGTAATCCCCTCTTTCCACATGACCCATGCAGTTTACAGAGCATCATACCATCCCCTTTGGTCCTTGCCGAAATCTTGAGGAATCATTGGCAAACCATGCACTTTTATTTCTTTTGTTTGTGTGATTGCCTTTTTTTTTTACAGATTTGTTGAAATACAATGACGCACACTAAACTTAGAGTGTGCTACTTGATAAGTTTTGACTAGTGTATAGACTTGTGAAGCCATCACAAAATCAAGATAAGAAGCATAAACTTCACCCCTACAATCTTGAGCCCCTTTGTAACTCTGCCCTCACCCTCTCCATCCTTATCCCCAGGCAATTGCTGATCTGCTTCCTGTCATTCTAGATTAGTTTGCATTTTCTAGAATTTCATATAAATAGAATTATTCTATATGTGTATCCTTTTTATCTAGCTCCTTTGACTCTGCATATTTTCTTATTACAGATGAAAAAATGGAGTCTGGATGAGGTAATGCAAGCAGTCAGTAATCACAGAACTGTAGAGGCAATGCAGGTGTCCTGGCCCTGAGCCCATGCACCAACCGCCACCCCTCATTCATTCATCACTCATTCATTCACTCACTCACCAGAGATGAATTGCGCACATAGGTGGGCTAGCCAAGTGGTGCATAAGACAGACATGTTCCCTGCCTTCATGAGCTTACAACTCTTCATTCATTCATCCATTCACCTACTTAGCAAGCAGGTGCTTAACAAATAATCACTCTACATCCACAGGATACACTGTTTGAAACTGGCACTGCCCCACTACCTCCAACACCACCCTGACCCTCATCAGCCACCCTCCTATATGCAACTTTGAGCTGGACACTGGGGTGACGCAGGTGGGATTGTAGGGGAATCCTGTCCTCCAAGACCAAGCAGGCTGATAGGAAAAGCTCTGCAAAACACAGTCATGCATCCTGAAAACTTACAAGAGAGCTGAAGAGTGAAGGCTGATCCCCTGGAAGCTGGTGCTCCAAACTGAGGACAAAAGTGAGCATCTACACAAGCAGGCTAGCAGCACAGGGAGACAGAGGGCTCTCTCAGACACTGGCCAGGGCAGGCTCCTGGGACAAGGTAGGATCTGAATAGTTCCCAGATGGGCAGGGAGGAATAGATGATGGAGGAAGGGAGGGGGAGTAAAAAGCATATGAGAAGCAAGAGCAAAACAAGGATGAAGGCATGGAGTCAGGACTGGGCTGAGCAGAAGGGGAGAATAGTGAGCTGAGAATTCCTCCTGCAGTTCTTTACGTGAAACATGCTTTCTACAAGCATGTTATATTGGGTTTATGTGTGGAGCAGAGGGGAGGAAAACGTAAAGGGAGATTTTTGTCATTTTACAATTTACAATTACAATTTACAAAGTGCTTTCACTGTTACTACCTTATTTAGTTCTCAGTATAATCTTTGAGATGGGAATTACTATTATTTTTACCCATTTTATAGATTAGAAAGCTGAGTCATAAAATCCAATGATTTGCTTTAAAATATACACTCCTAAGTGGTGGGGCAGAGCCTCACACCAGGTCCTTGTCCTCAAGACGGTTCTCTTTTCTCTTTGTTTTAATGATTAACATTTGCTACTAATGGGGCAGGTGGAGCCGCCTGCACAGCACACTTCTGTAGACCACGGAATATGCTGTTTGACCTTGGCACTGTCTGCCACCTCCTCACCATCAGACCCTCATCAAACACCCTCCTACCTGTCACTTGACCTGGGGGTGGAAGTGACAAAGAGGAACCTAGGAGGCAGGGAGAAGGGAAATGGCCTGGCTCCCAAAAAAGGAAGTTAATTATTTGGCCAAAGAAGCTCTCCCTAATCCCCAAATGCTTTCTGCTGCTGGCCTCCAGAGAAGTTCCTGATAAGGGTCACTCTAGCCTTGGCTAGAACCATGGAAGTGGTTCCCAAACCTTGCCCAAAGCTCACTGATGGTACTCATTCCTCTCAGAAAGCGGGACTGATTCACACCTGGAAGATAATCATCAGGGAGCACCATCTGCGGTCCAAGACCCCAAAGGAGAAAATGGTGCTCCGAAGACATGAGATCAACACAGAGCTGGAGTCCCCCACCCACAGCCATCCAGCTGCCAAGCAGTTCAGGACAAGGCCCCCAAATCATCATGCGAATTACTGTGAAGCTACATTTCTCCAGGGCTTTACCATGTACAGAGCCAGGATTTGAACTCGGGTGGACTGATTCTATTCTCAGATTCCATCCTGCCTCCCAGCCATCCTACTGCTCACCGAGCCTTGCAGAGCAGGCTGGCACCTGGCATGCTTGGCAGTGGGTACATCCTTCCTCATTCCACAACTGAGGAAGCAGCAGCTCCGTGAAATTAGGCCGTTTGCAATGGCCACATACTCCTGAGAGGTAGAATGGGTACTCTACCAGTGCTGACCAACCAGACTTGAGCTCATCATTCAACACATGGCACCTGAACTGAGAAAAGGGGTCATGGGATGGAAAGAGCTCTGGACCCCTGACAATTCTGTGGCCCTAGCCTACAGCTCCCCACAAGGCTCAGCTCCTATATAGGGACTCCATGGTCTAGTGGGAAAGGCCCTGGGCCAGAAGGCCATGGCCAGGTTTAGGTCAGGACTCTGTAGCACTAGTTATGTGACCTTAGGAAGTCACTTTGTCCCTGTGACTTGGTTTCCGCATCTGCAAAACAGAGATAACATCTAACCTCACGTGATTATTGTCATCTAGTGAGATAAGTGAATGTGGAATCACTTTGAAAAGACTACAACACTACACTGCAGGATAGCCTTGTCGCCTGTAAAGGAAACCTCTCCAAGGCTGTGACCACTACAGATTTTGCCTGAGGTTAAGTCCCTTACTTCTCTCCCACTCCCACCCCCAGCCTGCCTGGGTTCAGTGTTCTTAAATTGAAACTGAAGCTAGAATGAACCTGAGGAAAGAAATATTAGTCTATGTGTATAGATGTCCAAGCCCACTGGGCATGATTTCCTAACCCCACCTCCAGCGTGCGCGCGCACACACACACACACACACACACATATACACACACACACACAGACACACACAATTATTTACTTCCTTCCCACCTAAAATGATTTCTCAAAATGAAATTACTTCCTATGGACACCTTGGACTCAGGCCAAAAAAAATTCCAATTGCTGGTAGTTTCTAAAGTGCTTGTTATGTGGGAAAGTTGACAAAAAACAATAGCTATAATATAGTGATCTTTCTTTCCACCAAGCATTCCATACGTGTTATCTCATTTGAGGTACCTTCAAAACAACTCTAGGAGTTATTTCCAGGTGAGGGGTCATTTAGAGGACATTGTCGATTGGCCAACCCAGCGTCTTGTTTTTCCTTCCCTAAAGAATCCCCATTGGGTTCATAGATCTGGTTCCACCCTTCACCACTTGGTCCAGAAGCAGGGGTGGAAGTGATGCAAAATGGTTGAATTCTAGATATATTTTGAAGACATGACCAAAAGGATGTGTGAGGGACTGGCTGTTGGTGTGAAAGAGAGGCATTACGAATGAGATTGGGCATGGAGACGTGTTTGGTGAGACAGAAGGCTTCATGCAAATACAAGATCATGCTTTTTATTATTAAGGAATGTTAACTTCCTCTTTTAGTATGGCCCCTCTGCCATCACATATGGAGACCATCCTTTGCTGGGGAGAATCTCCCCTTCTTTGCCAGGATCCTTTTTTTGCAATTTCTCCTAGTTATTAGTTTATGCAAACTCAGGGGTACAAAATGATTTTAAGGGAAGCATGCTGCCAAAATAACCATGACGTTCCTTCCCAAGCTACAAATAAGTCATTGATTAGCCCATTGGTGTACCTTACCTCAATAAACAAGGGCCAGTTGTATTCTGCCCTGGATCTTGTATAATGAACTTCTTCTTCTCCATAGCTCACAGCAGGCAGTGAAGGCTGAGGATCTTCATGCTTCTTCCCTGGCTCCCCTAGAATGGATGTGTGTGGCTGGAAAGAAATGGAGGTTGCGCTGGTCAATTTTGATAATTCAGATGAAATCCAAGAAGAGCCAGGCTATGCCACAGACTTCGACTCAACCAGCCCAAAAGGCCGGCCTGGGGGCAGCTCCTTCTCCAACGGGAAGATCCTCATCAGCGAAAGCACCAACCATGAGACGGCCTTCTCCAAGCTTCCGGGAGACTATGCTGACCCCCCAGGGCCTGAGCCAGTGGTCCTAAATGAAGGAAACCAGCGGGTGATCATCAACATTGCTGGGCTGAGATTTGAGACCCAGCTCAGAACCCTTAGTCAGTTCCCAGAGACTCTCCTGGGAGACCGGGAAAAAAGGATGCAGTTCTTTGACTCCATGAGAAATGAGTATTTCTTTGATCGGAACCGGCCCAGTTTTGATGGAATCCTATATTATTACCAATCTGGTGGGAAAATTCGGCGCCCAGCCAATGTTCCCATTGATATCTTTGCTGATGAAATCTCCTTCTATGAGCTGGGTAGTGAGGCCATGGACCAGTTCCGGGAGGATGAAGGCTTCATCAAAGACCCTGAAACACTGCTACCCACCAATGACATCCACCGTCAGTTCTGGCTCCTCTTTGAGTACCCTGAAAGTTCCAGCGCTGCCCGTGCTGTGGCCGTGGTCTCGGTGTTGGTTGTGGTCATCTCCATCACCATCTTCTGCCTGGAGACACTGCCAGAGTTCCGGGAGGATAGGGAGCTAAAGGTGGTCAGAGACCCCAATCTCAACATGAGCAAGACAGTCCTCTCCCAGACCATGTTCACCGACCCTTTCTTCATGGTGGAGTCTACCTGCATCGTGTGGTTCACCTTCGAGCTGGTGCTCCGGTTCGTGGTCTGCCCCAGCAAGACTGACTTCTTCAGGAACATCATGAACATCATTGACATCATCTCCATTATCCCCTACTTTGCAACTCTCATCACAGAGCTAGTCCAGGAGACAGAGCCGAGTGCCCAACAGAACATGTCCCTGGCCATCCTGAGGATCATCCGCCTGGTGAGGGTCTTCCGCATCTTCAAGCTCTCGCGCCACTCCAAGGGGCTGCAGATCCTCGGGCAAACACTGAAGGCGTCCATGCGGGAGTTGGGGTTGCTCATCTTCTTTCTCTTCATTGGAGTCATCCTCTTCTCCAGTGCAGTCTACTTTGCTGAGGTGGATGAGCCAGAGTCCCATTTCTCTAGCATTCCTGATGGCTTCTGGTGGGCAGTGGTCACCATGACAACTGTAGGCTATGGGGACATGTGCCCGACCACCCCAGGGGGGAAGATTGTGGGCACTCTGTGTGCCATTGCAGGGGTCCTCACCATTGCCCTCCCTGTGCCTGTCATTGTCTCCAACTTCAATTACTTCTACCACCGGGAGACTGAGAATGAAGAAAAGCAGAACATCCCAGGAGAAATTGAAAGAATCCTCAACAGTGTAGGCTCAAGAATGGGCAGCACAGACTCTCTTAATAAGACCAATGGTGGCTGTTCCACAGAGAAGTCTAGGAAATGATCAGTCCAGGGCTTCTTGGGTCCATCCTGTCTCTCTTCTCTCTTCTCTCTCTCTCTCTCTCGCTTTCTCCCCTCCTCTCTCTCTTCCTTCTGCCTTCCCTTCCTCCCTTCATTCCTTCCTCTTTCCCTCTCCCTTCTCTCATTTCATCTTTCCAAAGATCAAAATGTATCTTTTGTGATCAATAACTATCTTTGACTACAAGCTATTTTAATAAGCCCATACTTCTACTGTATTTTCTAAACTGTTTCTTTTCAATACATTATAGAAAGATTTGGATCTCTTTTCCTATGAAGGGATAGTTCAGGTCCCCAGACCAGAAATACTGGTATCACCCGGGAGGATGAAAATGCAGAATCTAGGCCTACTCTGACCTACTGAATCAGAATCTGCAGTTTAACAAGATCCCAAGTGATTCGTTTGCATATTAAAGATTTAAAAGCACTGGTTTTGGTCTTCCTACGAGGAAGCATATGAAAAGACCAAGGGTTGCTGTGAGCAAAGAGGAAGAGCTCAGAGTTATTCAATTACAATAATAATAATACCTTGTACTTGTGTAGCACTGCATAAATTTTCCAAAAACACTTTCACCTACATTATCTCACTGCATCTTAGAATAATCAGATTTGATTATTATTTGATTTGATTATTATTCCCACATTACAGGTGAACAAACCAGGGGAGAGCAACTTACCTAAGGTCACCCAGAAACAGTGATATAGTCAATGCTGTCAAATCTCCTACCTACTAGCCCAGTGCCCTTTCCACTAATGAAGAAGATGTGTCAGAATTGGGGGAAAGGTGAGAGGAGTTTGAGGGGACTTTCAGAGGGTCCAGGCAGCAAACCTCTGGGCAGAGACACCCTTCCCCGGATGCTTCAGGATCTCCTCACAGCCTGGGAAGGCAGCATCTCCCTGACCCCTTGCTCCTCAGCCCCTTTTCTGGATAGTGGACAAGCAGAAACATCCCTCGATGTTTTCACCTGGCTCATCTCCATGGAGTTACACAAAGACTGGGGATCCTGAGTGTGGGAACTGTGGGCCCTAGAGAACTGCTCCAGGAAAGTGCACTTGTCCACCTGCCTCGAGGTTCAGCTCCCATTGAGTCATCAGGAATTGGCCAATAGCCTGTGGAGCTGCTGGGAAGGGAAGAGCAGGCTTCCACGTCATGTGCCCAGGCCCCAGGCTTACTCAAGGAGGATGGTTGTAGCAGGCCGGCCTAAGGACTGCCCTCCTAGGAAAGGAGGCTGCTCAGTCCTCCAAACTCCCAGAATGAGGGAGTAGAATTGGGATTCCCCAAAGGACAGGGAAAGAAGCCTCCACTCTGTCCCTCCCCCATCTACCCGGTCAAATAAGGAGGCCTTGTGCTGTCCTCAGTCCCAGCACCCAACATGTGGCCACTCAAAGATGTGTCAACACCAGAACAATGCCCCTGGGCCACAGCTCCACCTCACACAACTCCCAACACACTGTCCTGGCTGTGTCTGTCAGGGTTCTCCAGAGAAACAGAGCCAATAGGGTGTGTGTGTGCGTGTGTGTGTGTGCATGTGTGTATATTTATATGTGTACATATATATACAGAGAGAGAGAGATTTCTTGTAGGGAACCGGCTCACGCATTTATGAAGGCTGAAAAGTCCCATGTCCGCAGGGTGAGTCAGCAAGCTGGAGATTCAGGAGCACCATGGTGCAGTTCTGGTAGGAAGGCCAGCAGGCTCAAGCCCCAGGAAGAGCCAATGTTTCATTTCAAGTCAGAAGGCAAGAAGAAAACAATGTCCCAGCTCAAAGGCAGTCAGTAAGAAGGAATGGCCCCTTGCTTGGGGTAGAGAATCAGCCTTTTTGTTCTATGCAGGCCTTCAACTGATTGGATGGGGCCCACACACATTAGGAAGGGCTGCCTGCTTTACTTAGTCTACTGATTTAAAGGTTAATCTCATTCAGAAACACCCCCACAGACACACCCAGAATAATGTTTGACAAATATCTGGGCACCCTGTGGCCCAGTCAAGTTGACACATAAAATTAGTCATCACACAGACAGCCACCCAGCTCCACACAATCCTGCAAGACACAGTGCTGCAACCTCAGATGCCTCCACACAACTTCCACTTCATGATAAGCCAGCTGATGTGGGTGAAAGCCTCTTCTCTTTTCTTTTGTCTTTATCTCCTAAAAAGCTGAATTTAGTAATCTTTAAATCTCCTTTCCATCCTAATAATCTCAAATCGCTTCTTGCACTTTAACCCCAAGCTTTGATTAAGCACCAGTCATGCAAAGATCCAGCCTGGGCTTCACACAAGGCATTATTGCCCTTTGACCTAGGTAAGCAGGCTCCTGTCCCAGCCCATGAGCCTGAGGGTTCCAGACTTCAGAAAGTCTTCCCCACAATTTTCTAAGTTCCCTTCCCATTTTTCCCCTTCAGTGTCCTTTCAGGGCACTCTCCAGTTCTCCACCCACCCCTCTCGCCCAAGTGAGTAGGGCTGACCAGATGCCCCATGGAGCTCCAGGCCTCAAACCTATGGAGTCCTCTGAGGCCTTATGCCAGGCTCTGGTTCCAGGATGGTGGCCTGGTGAGCAGATTGTCCTCACTGGTCAGTTTACAGAGTCACACAAACTTGGGTGCCAGAATGACGATAACATTTTGATTTAGGGTGATGCAAACGTGTATCTGTACAATGCCCTTACAAAACCTACTTGCCCAAGACCTCAAGTACCTGAGGGGCGGCCTTAACACAGAAGCCCACATGCCTACATACAAGCCTCTGGCAGGCATATGCCATCACAATCCTTTACACCAAAACCTCTCCCCTGTGCCCCTCACATCAGCCCTCTGAGGTAAATATTAGCACCCCCACTTTGCCATGTGAGGAACTGGTTTAGAGAGATCCAAGGGCACACAGCCAGGAAGCAATAGAGAAGGGATTTGAATCTAGGTCTCTTTGATGCCAAAATGTGTCTCTTCATGCTTCCTAACCAGAGTGGTCTCCACTGGGGCAAGCAAGCTGCAGCTGTGGTCATGCAGACAGGCTTGATTCTCTCCTGGGATCAGGGAGGCTGCTTCTCCAGGGGCCTCTGGCTTCTCCTTCCCACTGACTCTGTGTTCAGCAGCAGGGCCACATGCTGGCCCTACACCATCTCATGTTGCAAACACAGTGGAATAATCAGACCCCAGGACAGGCTGGGCCAGTGACCCCAGAGGCCAAGATGGAGTCCCAGGGCCTGCAGCCCTAGCCTTTCTCTTCCTGAGGCCCTGCCAGGAAGAGTACAGGCAGAGCAGGGCGGAGAGGAGCCACTTCTTCTTTGGCTAATCTAGTTACCCTCACAGCCTTAGAAGGCCCAATCATAAGATTCTGATACCCAGGAAGCAGGCCCTGCCTTCAGGCTGGTGCCAGTGACTGCAGCTGCAGAGGCAAGCCCTCCATTCCCAGTGGGGTAGGTGTCACTGTCTCTGTGCACCGACACTAGGTCATCGGTTTCTTAGCCACCCAGAGCAGGAGAAGAGCTATGGGAGCCCCTCCCATCATACATCTGCCCAGCCTCCTGTCTGCAGTGAGATCTGTTGTCTGTAGAGGAGCACCCAGATGACTCACTGACAGAGAAAAAGGAGAGAGGCGGGGAAGGCAGAGCGGGGCTGCGAGGGGCAGTGTGGAGCACAGAGAGGAAGATGTTCCCTCGACCCATGAGGACCCTCGACCCATGCGGAGAAAGGACTTGTCAGCAGCCAGGCTGGGGCAGCCCTGCCTTTAGGAGGAGCAGAGCAAGGCCTGAGGCCTTCATTCAGTGAGTTAAGATTTACTGAGCTCCTACTGTGGGGCAGGCACTTTATAGCCCCTGAATAAAGATGCTGGATAGAGCAAAAGGGCCCTTTTTAATTTTCACAGTAAAAATAAGCAAATAACGTGAGAGAAACAAGAAGACATTTTCAAGGGGTGGTACAATTAGCAAAGGGCTTTCAAAGCTTGTGTTTTCTTTTCCATCATAATATGCCAGCTGTCTTTGCAGAGAACTGTGCAATTTAGAATTAACAGTTGTGCTATGCTCATCATTCTCTCTCTCTCTTTTTTTTTTTTTCTTTTTTTTTTTTTGAGACGGAGTCTCGCTCTGTCTCCCAGGCTGGAGTGCAGTGGCACAATCTCGGCTCACTGCGAGCTCTGCCTCCCGGGTTCACACCATTCTCCTGCCTCAGCCTCCCGAGTAGCTGGGACTACAGGCACCCTCCACCACGCTCGGCTAATTTTTTTGTATTTTTGGTAGAGACAGGGTTTCACTGTGTTAGCCAGGATAGTCTCCATCTCCTGACCTCGTGATCCACCTGCCTCAGCCTCCCAAAGTGCTGGGATTACAGGCGTGAGCCACCACGCCTGGCCTCATCATTCCCTTTTCAAAAGTTTTATAAACCATAAAGCATTTTGAAACTTAAGGGTAAAACCTTCTAAACTTGGAGTCAAAGGACCTGGCTAAGTTCATATTAGTTGTATGACTTGGGCAGCAATGAGCTTCAGTTTCCTTAAGTAGAAAATAGAGATTTAAAATTACCTAACCAGCAGCAAACA
This sequence comes from Homo sapiens, assembly GCF_000001405.40. Classification (NCBI taxonomy): domain Eukaryota; kingdom Metazoa; phylum Chordata; class Mammalia; order Primates; family Hominidae; genus Homo; species Homo sapiens. The sequence continues at coordinate 110,512,703 of NC_000001.11, read as the reverse complement.
TGGTAATGTTCTCCCCACCCACTCCACCCCAACAAGGAGCAGGCTCCGGGCCCCACCGGTTGTCCTCCCTCACCCAACCTGCATAATAGGGATCACAGGCCCTCCACAGCCCACCAGAGTGGCTGCTCAGGACCCACCCTCTGCTGGAATTCCTATTTCTCTGATTCTTATACTTGTGCTCAACCTCCTTGAGCTTACTTCCGAATCTGAAAAATGGACAAAATTACATCTGCCTCACAGGCTGAGGACTCAGTGATGGAGTTTTACTAAAAGCAATTTAGGGCTGTAAAGCACTACACAAATGAAAGGAACTATGATTCTTTAAAAGCTTTCCTGAGGACCAATTAACACTACCCAAACAAGTATAGGGCTTACCTTTGCAATCTGAGTCAGGGAATGACCCTAAGCAGAAGGCAGCTGATTTCAAAGACAGTATAAATATAGAATTAATAGGCCGGGCACGGTGGCTCATGCCCATAATCCCAGCACTTTGGGAGGCCGAGGCGGGCGGATCATGAGGTCAGAAGATCGAGAGCATCCTGGCTAACGCGGTGAAACCCCATCTCTACTAAAAATACAAAAAATTAGCCAGGCATGGTGGCGGGCACCTGTAGTCCCAGCTACTCAGGAGGCTGAGGCAGGAGAATGGCATGAACCTGGGAGGCGGAGTTGCAGTGAGCCGAGATCACACCAGTGCAGTCCAGCCTGGGAGACAGTGAGACACCGTCTCAAAAAAAAAAAAAAACAGATAGATAGATAGATAGATAGATAGATAGATAGATAGATAGATAGATAGATACAGATAGAGAGAGAGAGAGAGTTAATAAACATAGGCAGGCTGGTCACAGTGGCTGACTCCTATAATCCCAGCACTTCTGAAGGCCAAGGCAGGCAGATCATTTGAGCTCAGAAGTTTGAGAGCAGCCTGGGCAACATGGCGAAAACCCATCTCTACAAAAAGTACAAAAATTAGCCAGGCATGGTGGCGGGCATCTGTAGTCCCAGCTACTCGGGAAGCTGAGGTGGGAGGATTGCTTAAGCCTGGGAAGCGGAGGTCGCCATGAACCAAGATTGCGCCACTGCACTCCAGCCTAGACAACAGAGTGAAACCCCTTCTCAAAAAAAAAAAAAAAAAAAAGATTTAATAAATTAATAATGTGGGGCATAGACAGAAGTAGTGGTGAGGATAACATCATATTTAATAAACAATTACAACATTCTAAATGCTTTACACATTTTTCATTTCATCTTAACAACCACTATAAAGTAAGGATTATTTCCATTAGCAGATAAGAAAACCAAAGCTTCAAAAAGTTAGGTAACATTTCTTTGTGGCATATTGTGGGTGTATTAATCTGTTCTCACACTGCCAATAAAGACACACCAGAGACTGGGTAATTTATAAAGGAAAAAGGTTTAATGAACTCACAATTCCACATGGCTGGGGAGGCCCCACAGTCATGGTGGAAGGCAAATAAGGAGCAAAGTCACATCTTAGTGGCAGCAGGCAAGAGAGCGTGTGCAGGAGAACTCCCCTTTATAAAACCATCAGATCTCATGAGACGTATTCACTATCATGAGAACAGTATGGGAAAAACCCACCCCCATGATTCAATTACCTCCCACAGGGTCTCTCCCATGACACGTGGGAATTATGGGAGCTACAATTCAAGATGCGATTTGGGTGGGGACGCAGCCAAACCATATCAGTGGGGAAGTCATCCTAGGAACCCCAAATGGAGGGGGCACAAAACTGAGGTGATGATTATACATAGATGGTTCCCTAATTGTCCTATGCCCCACCTTCTTGGTCAAGAACCTAACCTTTATATTGTCACCCTCAATTCACCTTCACTCACAGCCAAACCAAAGATGCTGATACCATAAAACAGGCCAGCATCATTCCCTGAGGTTCTGGGACAGCAGAGTGGCTGAGGTTTGAGCCACCCCTCACTGTATAAGCTTTTTCTGGCACACACTACGCAGAGGCCACTTAGAGGAGTTAAGCCACTTGAGGTGGAAGGCTCAGCAGGACCTCTGAGGCAACCTTGTGGGCACAGACCTGCCAATGCAATGTGGCCTGGAGCCTTGGCCGCCCAAAATGCTGCTCACACACAAGGTTCCCTTGCGCTGCTCTCACAGGCTGGCCAGCAGCTGGTCTGATGGGCTTGCATAGCCCTCACTCTGCTTTGCAGGAATTCCCTCCCCACACTCCCTCAGGCACTCACTGAGGATGTACACTCTGGTGCAAGAATATATTAGGGAGGACGCATTCGGTTGCAGGTCAAAGAAATCCAACTCAAACTGAAACAGAAGAGAGGACCTTATTGGCTCACATGACTGAGAAATGCAGCAGAGCCAGTCATCATCCTAGGTCCAGTGAGTCTGGAGATCCAAACTCCACCTTCAGAGCTCACAGCGTCACCTCTCTCCACTGTCCTCAGCTTGCCTCTGCTGGTCAGCCTTTGTGCCCCTGGAGGCAGGCATCCTCCATGCGGCAGGTATGTATATATACACACATACACATACACACACACACACACACACACACACACACACACACACACACACGTTTATGGGTTGGGTATGCCTTATCCAAAATGCTTGGGACCAGAAATGTTTCTGATTTGGGTATTTTGTTTGTTTGTTTGTTTGTTTCAGATTTTGGAATATTTGCATTACCCTAAGGGCATCATACAGGCCTTTTTGACATTTTCAACAATATCTTTACACAGAGCAGAGAATAAACAAAACAACACAGTGAGTAATGCACGTAAATCTTGGCCTCATGTGGGGCATTGTGGGGAACCTGCCATTGGCATGTCTGGCCTGCGCACGTGCCATTTTATTACGCTGTGGGCATCCGTGCATCTGAAAAGGGGCACAAAAGATGTGTTGCAGGTGAAGGGTCTTTTTTGCTTTGAGGACACTGAATCCACTGTGTGTCGTGCACCTGCATTTTTATGGTGACCAGTCACATGGGGTCAAGTATGAAATTTTATTCTTGAGGCATCATGTTCTGAATCAAAAACTTTAAGATTTTGGATTTCAGATTTTTAGATTTGGGATGCTCAACCTGTAGGAATATATAAACACACACACACACACACACACACACACACACACACATACACATAATCACTTTTGTATCTAATTATCTATAATTTCTTATAAAAATGTTAACTCCAAAAGATAGGGATTTTTTGTCTGTCCGCTTCTATATTCCCAGAACCCGTCATAGCTCATAGTAGGTGCACAATAAATATCTTTTGAATTAAAGAATAGCGCCTCTAAGCTCTCCCTCCCTATACCCTAAAGAGACAAAATTAAGCCACCGATATGCCTAGTAAGATTTCACTCTGCCCCACCCCTAGTCTCCCATCCCTATTCCCCTTTCAAGAGAAGTGTGACTGCAGTGACCCTTGGAGGCTTTATGGGCATGGGCCCTGAAGCCTGGGGCATAGCTGGGATGGGGCATGGGGGAGGCCTGGCCCAGGGCCCCCATACGCTCCTGGCCCACAGTAGAAACCCAGCTCCCCTGAGCAGCATTGCCTGCAGCTGCCCCCAGGATGAAACTCACATGTGCTTTCCAAAATTTTGAGCCAACATTTAAAAGCCTGGAGAGTTCTCATTTTTTTAATCTTATTTTTTAAAGAGATAGATGAAACAAGGGCAGCAAAATCTTGATAATCATCGAATCCAGGTAGTGGGGTCTATGGGGGCTCACTTTACTATTCTCTCCACTTTTATGTATGCTTGAAATTTTTCATCACAGAAATTTTGTAAAATGTATTTCTGACTTCCGTTGGAAAATCAGAAGATTTGGCCAACCTGGATGACCACAATAGCAGAGGCTGCTCTCCAGGTCACCATCCTCTTTGCCCTCCCTCTGGTGTCCCTGACACTTGGCCTGCCAGCTCCAGAAGGCATCTGGGCTTGTGACCATTGCCCTCCTAAGGGTGACAAACCAGCGCTGAGGCCTGCCAGCCTGCCGGGAGGTCAGGGAATATATGGGGGTGGGAGGAGAATCTGATTTTGTATTAGGAGCTTTGGTTTGTTTAGTGATCTGCTGAGATCTGGTCTGTTGCCGTCTTCTCCCCAACGTCCATCTGAGAAGCGAGGGGGATGGTTTTCTGACAGGGGAAGAAGCCCTCAGGGCTGTCCCTCTCCAGCTCAGGAGAAAGCTGCCTGCCTTCCTCCCTGCAGGCTGCTCTTCCTGGTGGGCAGGGCTCCCGGAGGGCAAAGAGACCCAAGACGCCTTCCTCTGGGAAACCCCAGCTCTGAAGGTCTCTCAGAAGGCTCTGTCTCAGTTCCAGTGGAGCAACTGAACCTTCAAGGCAGCTCTTCTGGACATTCAATGGGGAAGCCCCTCCCCACCACACCCTGACTCTGCTGGGCCTCCCCACCTCAGCAGGCCCCTCACCAGAGAGCGACGACAGAGTGGAGGCTTCCTTCTCAGTCCTTTGGGGAAGTCCTGCTCAGGCCCAGCTCCACCAGCTGCTGAGGAAGGAATGCGGCCCCTCCTGCCTGTGACAAGGCCGGCCTCCCCAGCCCCGCCCAGGAGCCTGAGATTTCATGCCCTCCCTCCTTACTGAGTCCTGGAGATGGGGAAGGGAAGGAGAGCCCAAGGTGCCCCTGCCCTTCTCGGCAGCTGATTCCAGCCTCCTAAAAAATGAAATACATTCTGTTCAGCCCATGGGGTGGAGCGTTCCAAAGCCCCTTTGAAGTAAGAGGAAGAAAGATGGCCTGGTCTCCCCCGGGAAAGCTATGTTTGCTCTGGCCAGCCCAACCTCGAGACAGAAGAACAGTTGCCCTCAAACGCAGGGATGAAAGGGAACTGGGGGTGGTAGGGAGCTGGGGAGATGGGTAAAAGGAAGATCAGACAATCTTTTGTTATCACATCTCAGGGGAAGCGGAGGTAAAAAGCTGCCTGCGAAATGTCACCAGATAATAAATGCTATTTCACTCCCATCACTGAGGTGCCAGTCAGATGCCTGGGGAGAGAATGGCTGCCATCATTGGGAATTTTAGATGGGATCTTCTGCTCTTCTGAACTCAGGGTGTGGCTATGCCATCTCCTTCTCATCCCCCATGTCTCCCACCCCTACCTGTTGTTCTATGGTTAACAGCAACAATAAATAATACCAGGCTTCCAAGATTATTGTGGAAATTAAATAAAATAACACCTGAGATGCCTTAGCAAACTGTAAAAGGTGCTACACAAAGTAGGATGCAGGTAGACAGTGGCCTGACCCTTCCACAGCAGATTTCTGCTCAGCCCACACTCTTTGAAAGGATAAAGCCAGGATACACCCACCTGAAGGCTGTGAACCCTGCCAGAGCCATGGCTGTGCCCTTTAATATTACAGTCCCAGCACAGTGTCTGGTGCTTAATAGATGCTCAACAAATGAAGCAAGAAACAGAAAAAGGGAAAGAAAGACGGACGACCCAAGGGAGAACCGAGGCCACCGGAGAGCCAAATCAGAGGCTCCCCTGACTTCCCTCACATGCCCTACAATGACAATAATTGCGACCTATCTACCTGGAGAGTTTGGGCTGAAGTAATTTCTTGGCACGGAATTTTCTGTGCAGACCTGAATCATTCTGTTTTTTTCTGAGACTCCACGCAGGAGGAGATAACTAACATTCACCGTGCACTGGATGATTAACTTTCTCAGGGTATAGATGATGCTCTTGTTCTTTCCTCAAATATTCACCATGTTTCTGCCGTGGGCCAGATGCCAAAGCTGGCTCTGGGGATACAGAGCCAACTAAGAGGGCTCTCTGCCCTTGAGGAGTGGAAATGGGCTTCTCAGATCAGCCAGAAACCCTCGCCCTCCTTGTGGGTGGGTCTGAGGCCTGCCTCAGCTTAAACCCTCCAACTCCGTGATTTCTCCTTCTGAGTTAATAGCAAGCCAACCCTCGCACTCCCCGGCTTATTCAAGCCCAAGATAAACTGGCCCTGTGTGGGCAGTCTCTGACCAGTCATGGGACAGAGCCTGAGTGCTGAGGGCTTGATTAAAGAAGTTCATTTTCCACCTTAGTGTTCTGCTCCACTTGGAGATGTTGTCACATTCAACTGGAAAAGAATTAGCAGCCCAGAAGGGAAGTCAGTCCAGCATTGGACACAAATTCAAGTCAGGGAGGCAGTTCTGGCCAGAGAGAGACAAGGCATCTCCCTATTGATCAGAAGAACAAAGCGCCAAGATGCTTCCCTTTGGAGAGGGGGCAGGGGGCATCTGACTTCATTGTCGAGAAAGTAGAAACCTTGTTGCATTGTGGAGAAAGAAGCAAGGCTCTATGGCTCTCTTCCTCGTCTTTGGGATAACACACCAAAGAATAGAAGGCAAGTGGCCAGGGGACCTGAGGTCAAGCACATTGGAAATGGAAGGGGCTTCTCTAAAAAGCTTGAATGAGGCTGGGCGCGGTGGCTCAGGCCTGTAACCCCAGCACTTTGGGAGGCAGAGGCGGGTGGATCACTCGAGGTCAGGAGTTGGAGACCAGTCTGGCCAACATGGCAAAACCCCATCTCTACTAAAGATACAAAAATTAGCCAGCATGGTGGTGCACACCTATATTCCCAGCCACTTGGGAGGCTGAGACAGAAGAATCCCTTGAACCCAGGAGGCGGAAACTGCAGTGAGCTGAGATCACACCATTGCACTCCAGCCTGGATGAAACTCCGTCTCAAAAAAAAAAAAAAACTGTCAAATATGAAGCCCACTTCATAGAACAGGCACTAAATAAATAGTATTTTTCCTACATATGGCATCTCAAGAAAAAGGTTCAAAATGTAAGCAGGCTTCCTGTTGCCACTTGGTAGCAGCATACCTGAACCCAAGGTGAGGCAGTACTAGCAACACTTGTGAGCAAGGCTACTGGCCTTCTGCCACCGTGGGCCCCTTAGGGCAGCATCGAATTCCTAGCAAAGCAGGAATGTCTGTTCCCAAGCTCGTCTGTGACACCTCTCTGTCAATCTCAGAATTCTCTCCTATGACAGAAACAGCTGCCACAGAAATTAATGCAATGTGGTTTATAAAATGATTTCATGTATATGGTTATCTCATTTGAACCACACAGCCACCCTGCAAGTTGTTCAGGGAGGTTTCATATTTGCCCCAGGTTAGAGTTGATAAAACAGAAATTCTGAAAAGGTCAATGCCTGCCCCAGCACACCGTCTACTCAGTGCTGGAGCAGAGACCCGAGCCTGAGGCCTTTCCCTGACACCACAGCTGCCTCCCGCTGAGCAGGACCTGGCCAAGAACAGCTTCTCAGAAACTGAGAAAATGGGGGCAGGACAGGAGAAGGACCCCTCCCTGCCACCCCAAGGAACATTAGTCTTTCCTATGGGCCGGATGTTGTATTCCTGTGTTGGCTCGCTAGAGCTGCCATAACACAGTACCACAGACTGGGTGGGTTCAACAGTAGAAATGTATTGTCTCCCAGTTCTGGAAACTGAAAGTTCAAGAGCAAGGTGCCAGCAGGGTTGGCTCCTTGTTTTGTAGATGGCCATCTTCTCCCTGTATCTCTTCACACCATTTTCCCTCTATATGTGTCTGTTTCTCTGTCCAAATTTCTTTCTTTCTTTCTCTTTCTTTCTTTCTTTCTTTCTTTCTTTCTTTCTTTCTTTCTTTCTTTCTTTCTTTCTTTCTTTTTTGAGACAGAGTCTTGCTCTGTCACTCAGGCTGGAATGCAGTGGCGCGACCTCAGTTCACTGGTTCACTGCAACCTCCGCCTCCCGGGTTCAAGCGATTCTTCTGCCTCCGCCTCCCGGGTTCAAGCGATTCTTCTGCCTCCGCCTCCTGAGTAGCTGGGACTACAGGCATGCACCACCACACCTGGCTAATTTTTTGTATTTTTAGTAGAGACGGGGTTTCACCATGTTGGCCAAGATGGTCTCGATCTCCTGACCTCGTGACCCATCCACCTCGGCCTCTCAAAGTGCTGGGATTAAAGGCGTGGCAAATTTCTACTTTTTATAAGAACACCTATCATATTGGATTAGGGCCCACTGTAATGTCCTCATTTTAACTTCATTACCTCTGTAAAGACCCTGTCTCTAAATGAGATCACATTCTGAGGTACTGGGGGTTAGGACTCCAGTGCATCTTTTTTGGAGGGGGCATGGGGTGTAAATTTAACCCACAGCATTAGTATCGTCCCTGTCCAAATGAGGAAACTGGCTCAGAGACGTTGTCATATGCCTGAAGTCATGCAGCTAGGAAAAGCAGCAGCCACCAGCACTGTCAGAGCCTGTGTGGGCCCCACGACATCATGTTCCCTGGCTTAGCAGCAGCGACTCCTCAGTGGAACCCACCACCGCCCATGGGCATAGAGGGCACCCCACCACAGAGCTGTCCTATGACGGTGGCAGAGGTTAGAGTGGGGAGCAGAAGCCGGGCTCCCAGCCAGCCTCCCTGACCTCCCCCTGTCTCCCTGCAATGAGGACAGAGGGGAAGACATGGCAGGCAAGGAGTGGGTGGGCAGAGCAGGGTTGGGGGTGGTGGTGTTGGGCAGGCCTCACAAGTCTCCAGCACTGGGGTCTACTCCCCTCCCTCTCTCCCCTCTTCCAGCTGGTTGGTTTTCAATCAGGAGAGCACCTGGGTAGGTTCTGGAATGGCTCCCACTGGTGATTTATAAAATGAAGCTGCTTTTATTCAACTGCTTGAGTCACCTTTTAGAATTTCTTAATGTCCTGATTCCTGCTTTGCACTCTCAGAAAAGGACTCCTGAAGTCAAGAACTAAATCCCCACCACACGACATGCACACCCTCTTCGCCATCCTCCACCCTTCCTCCACGCCCTGTGGTGCCTTCCACCATGCAGGGGGATGATGGACATGGATTGGACAAACACGTCCATCTGGAGAAAGGACTTCACTGGAATCTGGAAGTCAGATTGCCACCCTCTGAGACTAAAAATGTCTTCTTACAGTGGCATCTTGTTTAACTTTAAAATGGATTATTGATGCCTCAGAATTCTGAAATGGTTTGAATTCCAAGTCCAGAACCAGCGGGCAGCCCAGCCAGACACCGGCACCCCAGGAGGCCCCCATTTGGGGAATCAGACCTCCCTGCCTGGTGGACCTGAATCCTCCACAAGGTATCTGTCTCACCCTCAGCCTGTTTAAAAGAACTGTTGACATCGTGGGAAATATTTGTGTCTAATTTGCCACCAAAGGCTTCATGACCTTGGACAATTATTTTACCCACTCTACACTTCGGTTCCTCCATTTGTTAATAGCAACGACAAACAATACCAAGCTCCCAATATGACTGTGAGAATTAAATAAGATAATACATGATATTTCTTAGCAAACTGTAAAAGGTGCTGTGCAAAGTAGAATGCAGGTAGACGGTGGCCTGATCCTTCCACGGAAGATTTCTGCTCAGCCCACACTCTGTGAAAGGTGGCTAAAGCCTAGGATAAAAACCCGCCTGAAGGTGGTGAACCCTTTGAGAGTCATGGTTGTGTCTCTTTAATGTGATAATCCCCACACAGTGTCTGGTGCATAATCCCACTACGGTGTCTGCTGCTCAACAAGTATTTGTGGAATAAAGGAAGGAAAGGAAGAAGAAAAAGAAAAAGGGATGATACAAAGATCAGATTGTGCCCCTTGAAAAAATACCAGTAACATATTTATTGCATGCCATGCGCTATTCTAAAATAGTTAATGTAAATGAACTAACTTAGTCTCATGACACCTTGTGGGGCAGGATTTATAATTAGCTCCATTTCACAGATGAGGCAATGGAGTCGCAAAGCAGTCAAAGTAATTTCCCAAGATGCTACAACTAGCAACTTGGCAGAGCCAGGATTCGAACTGAGGGTTTTGGCTGCAGGTCTCCATGCTCCTCCGCCAGAAGCCACCTCCACTAGCAGTGCTGTCTCAGGAGAGCCAGGATGGTTGAGCCCAGGTAACTTTACCCAGGCAGGTAAAGGTTATGGGGTCCCCCTTCCTTTCTATGGCCCCCCGCCTCCACATGCCACAGGTCCCACACTAGCCTGACCATTCTGTTCTATTTCACCATTGCTTGCAAGCTGTGTAAAGATGCAGCTTCCCAATTTTGCCTAGTGCTAACCTCATGCAGAAAAGAGGAACTGAATCTGTCCAACTTTTTCTCATCTGTGATCAGCTCAGTGTCACATGTTTGAAAACGCTTTGCACCACCCACATTTCTTCCCGCATGGAATACCCTTCACCTTATTTCTGCCTTTTGAAATCCTATTCATCCCTCAAGATACCCCAAACACCCCTTCCTGCATGAGGCTTGCTCTGCTTCCTCCGCTCTTCACTTTGCCCATTTGGTGTCTACCTGCCCTCTGTGAGATCTTGGAGGCTGGGGTCTTGCCTCGTTCATCGTCATGGCCTCAGAACCCCAAGGCACCATGTGCTTGGCACAGAGCTGATATTCAGTTGTATTTAGTAAACTGAGATTGTAATGATGCTGCAGTTCCTTAATGTCAAATGACACTTTACAGTGTGCATTAGTTATCTATCACCATGTAACAAATTACTCCTACACTTAATAGCTTAAAACAACACACATTTACAACTCACAGTTTCTGTGAATCAGGAGTGAATACAGTTTCTGTGAATTGGGAGTGAATACAGGCACAGGTTAGCTGGTTCCTAGAGCTCTCGGCCTCTCTGCAATCCAAATGTTGGGTAGGGTTTCTGTCACCTCAAGACTCCACTGCAGCGGGAGAGGGGAGATTCTGAGCTCACTCACATGGTTGTTGGCAGGATTTGGTCTCTCCTGGACTATTGGACTGGAGGCGGAGGAAATTCCTCTTTGGCTGTTGGCTGAAAGTCATCCTCAGGTCCTTGCTCCAGGGACCTCTTCATAGAGCCACTCACAACATGGCAGCTTGCTTCCTTACAGCAAGCAAGAGAGAGTACAAGCAAGACAGAATCCACGGGCTTTGCAAACCAAACGCATTGCTTTGGTGTCTTCTATTTGTTACAAGCAAGTCACAAAATCCAGTCCACACTCAAGACGAGAGGGTTACACAAGGGCATGCTGACCAGGAAGCAGGGATTACTGGAGGCCATTTTGGAAGGTTATCAACCACAGGGGGTAATGCATGTTATAGGATGTGATCTCAATTTGCCAGTGTGGAGCTGGACCAGCAGAGGGCATGGGTGAAATGAAAGGGGCACATTGGAATAGAGCTGTGAGCCTTTTCACACATGAAAATATAAGGTCTCCCACACTGGGTCAACCCCTGGACCACCCAGCCTAGTTTCCTACCACCAAGGTACAGGCTGTAGGGAGGTACAATTGTCCTCCCTGGCCCGCCCTCCCAGGTGCTGAATGTTTCTCAGCACGCTCACATTCCTCTAATAATAATACTACTCCTGCGTAGCATATCTTGTACAAAGCACTTTCACACTCATTATCTCACTCCTTGTGACAGTCCTCTGGGGGAAGTTCTTGTGTATTCTAATTTAAGTTGAGGAAACTGAGACCCAGAAAGTCCAAGGTCACGTGGCCTAATGAGTGACAGGGCTGGAAAAGAACCCAGTCTGACATCCTGAAATTTATCTAAACTTTTATTTATTTATTTATTTATTTAGAGACAGAGTCTCACTCTGTCGCCTAGGCTGGAGTGGTTCAAGAGAGTCCTGCCTCAGCCTCCCAAGTAGTTGGAACTACAGGCACCCACCACCACACCCAGCTAATTTTTTTTATTTTTAGTTAAGACAGGGTTTCGCCATGTTGGCCAGGCTGGCCTCAAACTCCTGACCTCAGGTGATCCACCTGCCTTGGCCTCCCAAAGTGCTGGGATTACAGGTGTGAGCCACTGTGCCCAGCCTATCTAAATTTTTAGAAACTTATTTCCATATCCAGACTACCACTACATCCAGACAAGAGTTCCATACAACTACCACCTACAGCAAGGACAAAACATTTTTACTTATTTGTCTAAAACTTAGTGTCAAGGCAGTGCCATCCTCCCCAGACAACTGGGTTTGATGACCAGACACCCCCTGCCCATGTGGAATCAAGCCCCCAGGGTGGACTCAGATGCCAGTGCTGGGACTCCAGGGCCACCACCGGCTTGGACAGTTCCAGTTTTTGAAGGTGACTCTTTCCTTCTCTTGCCCTCTCCCTGGCTTAGATATCTAAAAGCCAAATATTCTCTCTCCTTTTGTACAAACAATTCTCAGTAAAGGAAATGGTGAGGCTTGGTGGGCAGGTCATGGGATTTTGTGGGGAGGAGGAGTGTCTAGTTGTGATGGCCTAGCTTCCAATCTTGGCTCTCTGGCTTTTGTGAGGAGATCAGCCTGCTGTGGTTTGGGGTGAGTACTGATGATGGGGGTACTGGGTGGTATTCTAATGAACTTGTCCCACAGCAGCCACAGAGAAAGGGCACCCCCTGAGGATGAGGAAAGGGGGTGCTGTGAATGAAATGGATGCTTGGTGTCAGTCATCCAAGGAAAGGAGCCTGGGGCAGATGGAGGGGAGCACCTGTCTTACCTGAACCTCCCTCTCTCAGATCTAGATCTCAAAGAGGTAAACTGCCTGCAGATAAGCTTCATGGCAAAGTGCATTAATGCTGAATAATAAGGCTGAATATTGCCCCCCAAAGATGTCCAGATCCTAATCCCCAGAACCTTGAGATGGGGAGGTTAATCTGGATTATCTGGATGGGTCCCCTATAGTCACAGGGGTATTTATAAGAAGATGGTGGGAGGACAGAGTCAGGAGCTACGACCACAGAAGCAGAGGTCGAGTGTTGGGGCCACAAGCCGGGGAATGCAGGTGGCCTGTAGAAACTGGAAAAGGCAATGAAACAGATTATCTCCTGGAGCTCTGTAAGGAATGCAGCCTTGTACATTCTGGCCCAGTAAGACTGATTTTGGACTTCCAACCTCCAGAACCATAAGATAATAAATGTGTGGTGTTTTGAGCCACGAAGTTTGTGGTAATTTGTTACAGTAGCAATAGGAAACTAATACAGATGATGTCTGTCATAAAGAAATTAGCCAGGAGATGGACTGGGTCAACACCACAGCTCTTAAGCAGGACCATCTGGGGGCATGTTTTTTTCCCCTTTGGGTCATCCATAGCCTATGCACTCAAGAATGACAGTAAGAGTTGTGCACTCACATTAGAACCAGAGAGTTAGAGAGTTAAAGGTAGCAGCACCCCTCAAGGGACCTCATGGTGATGGCAGCAGTGATTAATCAGAGACCCTCCAAGAGGACGTGACCTGCCTGCGAGTTTCAGCCTCTGCTGTCCAATGAGAGAGCTTCTGAGCATTGCCTGCCCTGGAGGATCAGGTCTTATGTCATTAAGGAAAGAAGTCATGGCCTTTAGGCATCCCCCCACCACCACCACCTGACATCCTCTGCAATGGCCAGGAGGCCTGATAGGAGAGTCCTTGGCCCCAGGGCTGCAGACATTGGGGCTGCCCACCAATCAACCTAAGGAGATGGTCAGAGCTGCCAAAACCTTCAAGAGCAAATCCCAGGGATGGTGACTCTCTCCCACCTCCCTCATCCAGATTCAGATGGGAGCCCTGCTGAGCCTCTGTTTCCATCAGCCTGCAGCAACTTCCCTGTCTCAGTCCACCCAGGCTGCCATGACAGAAGGCCACAGGCCATGTGGCTCAAAGGATAGTTGTGGAGGCTGGAAGTCCAAGATCGAGGTGCCATCAGAGCTGGTTTCTGGTGAGGCCTCTTTCCCTGGCTTGCAGAAGGCCACCTTCCCACTGCATCCTCCCATGGCCTTTCCTCTGTGCATGCACATCGCTGGCATCTCTTCCTCTCCTTCTAAGGACACCAGTCACATCAGATGAGGGCCTACCTATATGACCCAGTTAACCTTAATTACTTTTTCAAAAGCCCCATCTCTAAACACAGCCACTTTCGGGGTTGGGGCTTTAGCATGTGAATTTGAGGAGACACAATTCAGTCCATAACATCCCCCTTCCTACCAGTTTCCATCACCTCACAGCTGTGGACTGCCTCTGGCTTCAGCTCTCACATCCTCCAGCAAACCTCGCTGACATGAGAAAGGTCACATCCTGTTATCCAGGGAGACTTTGTAGGTTGTTAGGAGACTGGTGAAGTCCAGGTGGCCTGTCTGGAGCAGTAGACAGAGGAGTGGGTCACAGGCCCTGCCCTGACCTGGGGAAGGAGAGGCTTTCACAAACAGGAGGAGAGCACACTTGGGCTTTCCAGGCACGGGGCCGCAGCTGCTTCTCTCTTTTCCATTCAAATCCCTGCTCTACGTCAGGGGCTTGGAAGCCCCGGCTGAATGGGAATCACACCTTCTGGACTAAAAACTGGGACGTGAGGCCTAACAAAAGATTTTTGTGATGTTTGCTGGCGTAAGTAACAGTCTGACTGATGCAGTGTGATTTCAGGATTACCAGCTTTTTTTAGGACACTGCAATCAGTTGAGGGAACTATGGGACAGAATATTGAAAATCCAAATCCAAAATATGGTCCCTCCCAATAAATCTCACCAAGACCAAACTCCCAATAACTCTTACCTCCATAAAGCTCTATGAGGATGAAGAGCATGTTTTGCTCACCATCGTGGCTTCAGCACCTGGTGATAGGGATGCTCTGTAAATATTTGATGAGAGAGAAAGAAAGACAATTCATTTGACAAGGCACACGCCCAACACATTTGTCTCTCCGACCCCAGGCCAGAGCTGCCAGCTGTGTGAGAAAAAAAGACAGTCCCCTGTGTCATCCTCTTTCATCTTCCTAGCTCAGGCACCTCCAGTGGGGCCAGTGATTTTCCAGTGTCCCTCTGCTCCTGTTGGAGAGACACATCAAGTCCCACCTAGTACCTGCACCCCTTGGGGCCTCACTAGTCCCCAAGCTGGGGTGTTCCCAAGGCCGGGGCAACTCCAGCCCTGGGAAAGAGCTACTTTTAGGGCCTGGGGAAGGTAAGGACTAATGGGAACCAGGGCAGCATGGGGATGACAGAGAGGAAGAGAAGACACCACTCTTAGGACGCTGCTTAAGGCTAGAAGGAAGATCCAGATCTAAGTGGTCAAAGGAGAGAAGGTGGCTTGGGAGACATATGCACAAGTGCCCACTGCCCTTTGCCAGGAAGCACTCCGTGGGATGCAGAAAGCCATTTTTCTCCCTCTTGGGTCCAAATAAAATCTTTGAAGCCCAGTCCAAATCCATACCCAGGCTGCCACCCAGTGATAGAGTGTCCACGGGGCACTTTCTGCACCAGCCGTAATCAGTTCATTCATCAGACTTTCAAGCCGAAGAATAATTTCTGAAGATTCTTGGATTCCCAGTCCACTCTCACCCTGACTGGTCTGCGTCTGGGACTCCCAGGAAAAGCGCGGACTCAGGAAAGCACTTGGAGATTCTCTACTCTTTGCGTATCATCCACTCTACAAGGGGCATGAGCCCAGGTGGTGGAAGTCAAGCCAAAGCATCCCTTCAGCTTGAGGCCACCTACCTTCCTAACTCAGGAGCTGAGGCCAAGAGACTGGCCACCAGCATAACTCGGGAGGTCCCAGGGCACTGACTTAAGCCTAGGCATCTGGACAGCCAGTTTGCCCACAGCCACCTCATTGCATAAGAGCTATGCTCTCGATGAGAAATGTGCACCCCAGGGAGCAGATATGGGGGTGTGGCTGAGATTTGGCACTGGACTTCCAAAGCTGCAGGAGGTGTGGCTGGCACCTGTGGGCCCAGGACCCTCCCTGACACATGGGAGGCCTGTCTCCAGAGGCTCCTTATTCCCTCTTACAGGCCCTAAAAATAAAGCTACCAGGACACAGTTATTCTGGCCTCAGTGTTAAACAGAGCCCTGGGAAAGAAAGGGGCTCTCGAGTTTCATGGATGGGGTCAGAGGAGAGGGCAAGGACAAAAGGTGGTGGAGGCTTAGTGCCCAGGAATGGAGCTTCAGCTTTGGCTTTGAGGATACCAAGGCCACCAGCACAGAGAAGGTGGCCAGGGCCATGAGAAGTCCTTAAAAAGGAAGCACAATTCCACCAGCCAGAATGGGGTGACAAGTTTGGTCTGCATGTTATCCAGCCAGCATCAGCCTCAGCTCTGAAACTCCATGGAGTGCCTAGTGGACCAGATCCTAGCTGTCTTCCACCCCTCCACTACTACGGAATGATGGGCTAATTTGCTGACCTGGAAAGCTAATGCTATTCCCAAGCCCCTCAGGCACACACAGCATGCACATCCTCACCCAGCCAGCCCTAGCTCAAAATGTAATTCCAGTATTACAGATGATCCAGAAAGATCAGAAAGGGGGGATTATCGGAGAGCAAAGGTTGAGAAGGAAATGGTTAACCAGAGAGATGTCCAGTGAGTGAGGGATTTGAGGGCAGGGACCATATATCCTGAGTCTGCGTGCTTCGTGTAGAAGCTGCCACTGTGCCCTGCACATAGGAGACACTTAGTTAATTCTATTGATTGGTTGGCCACTGTCCCTAAGTTCTCCTGGGGTGGGAAGGAGAAATGTTACAGGATATAAACAAGATGTACAAAGCTGGCATCTGAGATTTGGTCACTAGAGGGCGCTCCAGGACAAGAGCTGGCTCCTGGGCAGCCCTCACCATGGCTAAGGGGTTTAGAGGGAGACAGTTTGGAGCTTGTTTGTTCGTTCAACATACGTCTACTGAACAGTTATTCCGTGTCAAACACTAAGTGCTATAAAGGATGCTAAACAATTGAGATGCAACTTATCTTTCATTAGAAAGATAACTGGCATAAGCAAAAAATAATGTATCCATATGTATCCACCTGTAGCTTCTCTTTATTAAATGCTGATGTGTTTAGTCTTTACACACCATCCCTGCCCCTATATCTGCATGGCTGACCCATCTTTCATGTCTTTGCTCAAATGTCACCTTCTCACTGAGCCTGCCCTTCCTACCTCATTTCAAAGCAAAGCGTGTTCCCTCATTACTCCACTTTTCCCATGTGCTTATAACCACCCAGAAGCCACGTAACTTATGCATCTATGATCTCATTGTTTGTGTCCCCCCAGGACATAAGTCCCATGACGACGGAGGGTCTGTTTGTGTTCACCAATGGACACAGTGCCTAGAACAGCATTTTGCACACAGCAAGTATGCAATGCATATTTTTAATGAGTAAGATAGGCAACAATTCTAATTAGCCCCAAGTCAATCAAGGAGCTAGGGATCAGCCAATGAGTTCTCCTATGGTTTAGGGAGTTTGGGTGAAGCAGGCCTCATGTACAGTAGGAGTCTTCCCAGTGGAGATAACATATCAGCTGGTCTTGAAGGACGAAGAACAGTCTGCAGGTTAGAGAAGGTGGAGTCATATCAGGCAAAGGAACAGCATGCACAGAGGCTCAGAGATGAGCCCTGCAGGGTGTTGAGTATGGCAGCCTTGGCAGAAGGACGGGTCAGATGTCCCTCCTGGTCTTCAGAGACCCCACCTCCTCCAGACAGCCGTTGTATGCTCTGGCCAGTCGGGCCCCAGCCATGACCAAGGCTTCTGGACAGTAGCTAGGCCGTGTCCCTCTGCCTGCTTTGCAGTTTCCCCTCGCTCCATGGTCCCGGAGTGTTTCACCCGCACTCCTTGCCATCTGGGGCTTGCTGACATGGGCAGCCTCTGCCACTCTTGTCTCTGTTATACTCTCCCTTCTGCTGCAAGAAAGAAACAAACTGCACAGCTCGGAAAACAATCCATCATTTTGTCATAACATTTCCATTTCAAAGACTTCCTTTCCAAGCTTCTCTCTGCCCAAACGCTTCCTCTCATTAGCATAAGAACTGGCAAGGCGTTGAGTGACAGGGGAGGAGAGGGGCTGGGAATAGGGCTCTAGAACTGGGGCCTGGGTCTGTGTCTACTCAGGGGCAGGGCATGGGTGTGCATGTATGTACTTGTGTGCACACGTGTGTGTGCTTGTGCACACATCCACACCTGGTCTTTGTGAGTTCGCATCTCTCAGCACTCATTACTCGTGCTGCATCACAAAGCATAAGCCACCCTCGGGCATTGGCCGAGCCTCCACAGCATTCTAGGAACTCTGCTGGGCGCTGAGGATTCAGGGAGGAAGGACGCAGGCACTGTTCGTCAGCAGTTTAGTCAGAGAGACGAATGTGTCGGTGAACAACTATGACAGGATAAACGCAATGAGAAAGTGGAGGAGTGGGGACCCTAGAAGAGGTGACATTTAGGCTGGCCTTGAAGGAGAAGGAGCACTTCACAGATTAGAGAAGGTGGAAAGGCATAGCAGGCAAAGGGAACAGGGGTCACAAACTCCCAGAGGCGAACCCTGCAGGTGTTGGATGTGGCTGTGGCAGAAGGACAGACGGCAGGCAACACCTGCTGGGTGGACGTGAATGGCCACCAAGGCTTCCTCAGCTGCCCTCTCCCTGCCTGGACCTTATTGGCAGATAGGGCTGGTGGGATATCCAGAAACAAGTCAGCCCCGCCCTGCAAAGGGGCCCCTCTAGCCTTGCAGCTCCTCCCTGGCCTCCAGGTAGGCCCTCTTCATAAGCAAACCACGGATGTGCTGGTGGCCCCTTCCCAAAGCCTCCTCATTCACCACCTGGCACAGCCCTCAGAAGGCCTGACCACAGAGACCAATGTGGACCCCGTCCCAGAACCATAAATCCCTGGTGGCCATTTGTCCTTCTAACATGCACAGAGGAGTTCCAGGGGGACAGCAAGGGAATGGGGAGTGTTCTAGGCCAGCTAGGGGAGGGAGAAGACATGGGGAGTGGGCCTGAGTGTGTGCTGGGAAGGGGGGATATAAAGATCCAAGAGGAAAGAGGAGACAAAGAAAGCAGTGTGACTCTTGTGGACCTTACCAAGTGACTCATTCATTCATTCACCCTACAATACTTGATGGGACATTCCATGAATTGGGCACCTAAGATATCAAAATGAGAGGTGAGGCTGGGCATGGTGGCTCTTGCCTGGGAGGCTAAGGTGAGCGGATCACTCGTGGTCAGGAGTTCAAGACCAGCCTGGATAACACGGTGAAACCCCATCTCTACTAAAAATACAAAAATTAGCTGGGTGTGGTGGCACATACTTGTAATAACAGCTACTCAGGAGGCTGAGGCAGGATAATTACTTGAACCCAGGAGGCAGAGGTTGCAGCGAGCGGAGATTGCATCACTGCACTCCAGCCTGGGCAACAGAGCAAGACTCTGTCTCAAAAAAAAAAAAAAAGAAAAGAAAATGAGAAGTGCACAATGTCTGTGCTCAGTGAGCCCAGAGGCCATGAGGAAGACCAACAGGGAAATAAGTGGTATGACACTAAGCCCCCAGGCTCGTCAGAAGCATCCTGAAGAGATGTGGACTGAGTTGAGGTTTGAAGGTTGATTGAAAGTCAGAGGAGTTGGAGAGGAGTTGGAGAGTAGAGAACATTCCAGGCAGAGAGTTCTCTGCAGCCAGGAACATTGCTGAGGCCACAGGGGTGCTGTGTGGCAACACTGCGTTAGCCCCAGTGGGGAGCTGCCCTCGCTGTGCCCTCACTGCCCTCCCAGGACAGGGGTCACCACCAGGGCCAACTGGGCAGGGGGTGAGACAGGACCCATTTGGTCCAAACCTCACATTTGTGAAAGTCATCATATTTAGACTTTCTACATTATCTCCAGTTGGGATGTGGGTGTTTAAAATACAGTTGCTAAATGTAAACCATTGAAATCTATAACCATTTTTGTAGGCCTATTTGGCATTTTTTTTAATACACAAGAAGTGTAAAAATAATGAAAGTGGCCCAATTCTGTCTCGTTCTTGGCAAACAGGCAGTATTGGTCCTAGATAAGAACAGCGAGGCTTAGAGAAGCCTCCCAAAGCCAGACTGACTCCTTGGCACCTCGCTTACCTCGCTGGCCCAGTAAGATTCAAACGCCAAGGCCTGCCCATTGCTGGCACCACCCTCTGTCCTTGAAGTCCTGGGATGTTCTCCTGTGGCCTCTGCACCATCCCACACCAGTCTCCTTGGCTCACCCAGGAAAGGCAGCTTGAGCCTTCCTGCTCCATTTCACCCCCACAGCCCAGTCTCTTCCCTGCAGGAAGCCATGGGCTGCCTCTGCGGCCAAGCTGGCTGCACAGCCGCAAACCCAGACAGGCGCCACAGGCAGCATCTCCACTGACTGGGTCCCTCATCTCTTTTGTTCTTGGGTACCACTAAGAAAGGCCCCAGGAGATGCCCCCAGATGGCTTGTCGACCGGATCCCATTAGCAGCTGCCACTGGGAGAAAGAAGCCAGAGCCCACTCTGCTCCTGCCCCCCGCTTCACTCCTCATGAAGGACAGTCTCCTTTGTGAAGTGTCACTGCCAAACCTGCAGCTTCCGGTTCCTGGAGACATGGGCATTACTCACCTGCTCCAGCTGTTTGCAGGGCAGGCCCGTGGTCAGCCTGAGGTAGGGGCAGGGGCTAGATAGCAAGATGACCCCACCCCCTTCCCAAGGCCTTGTGAGGGTTGAACTACTATAAAGGTGTGACAAAGTCCGATCACTATATTTGGGGTGGGTGAAGCAGAGGGGACAAGGCTAGCTATGACATAGAAAACAAAGGCCTGGTCAATTGTCTTCCCCCGATGGGAAAAAGACTATCTAAGGCAGGGGGTGCAAAGAAAAAGGGAGGAGGGCTGGAGAGCAGACGCATGCAGCTCCCAGCAGAGCACTGTCCAAGGAGTCTGCCAAGAGGACTCCAAGCACTGTGATCTCCCCAAGAGCTGTCCACCTCCCTCCCAAGGTAGCTGAGGGGCCTTAGAGTAGCATCACTGAGAAAAACTTCCTAAAGCCACCTGAATCCCCTTGTGTGACCCGGTAATATTTGGATTTCCTGCGTGGCTCTCTCCCAGGAGAATGTGCAGGGCTCTGTGAGCCTGGGCACTCACAGGAACTCTGAACACTGGCATCTGGCTTTGACACATCAGCCTCTGAAAGCCAGGTTAACACGAACCTGCCATCGGCAATGGCACCGCTCTGACCACTGCCAGGGCCTGAGCCCCTGAGCCTGAGGATGGGAGTCTGGACTGTGGCTCTCCCCCAGGGTGGATGGCAGCCTAGGACTCAGATCTTTCCCCATGCTCCCTGCTCACTCTTTCATCTGGCTTCTTCCAACAGCACTGAGGCCCCTCTCTTAATACAGCAGAACCTTCCTCTCCAGGGGCCAAGTGTTCCCTTTACATCCCCACACCACCATGCCCTTACCTCTCATTCCCCAGGAACAAATGGGTCTTATCGTGCGAGGGTCTCCCCTCTTGTGCCCTTTGCCCAGAAAGCTCTAGAGTGAAGGACAGGTAGGTAAGGCACGCCTTGGTCTTCCCTGACCTGAGCTTGAAATAGTCATTGCCCTCCAGGTAGCCTCCACCCACCAACCCTTCCCACCATGTAGTTCCTGCTGTGCCCACACACCACCTGGCAGTCACATCCACCCCCACAACGGCGCAGAGCTTCAGCCCCAGTGACAACAAGGGAAGTCAGGCTTTGCAGAAATGCGGTGTTTATTGGGAACCATCTGCCTGCACATCTCATCTATGTGCGTGTGTGTGTTTGGTCACATTGAGGTCCATGGCCAGTGATGCAATCAGACAGCCTTCGCCAGCCCCACACGGTTATTGGTCCTGTCAAAGACACTGTAATACTCCCAGATGAAGACATTCCCCAGGATCCACTGCTGGGAACTATAGTCACCCTGGAAACCACTGGTGCAGAAGCCCTGGTCCTGGGGAAGGCAAGGCAGAGATGACGCTGGTCCCAATCCCATTTGCTGTGCCTAAAGATAGGCGTTTATACCTCACCCACAACTCCTCCTCTTCTGTGACGTCATTTTATCCTTGAAATGACCTTCCCAGATAAACAAGTATTGGATTCATCTCTCAACAGATGAAGAAATTCAGATTCAAAAAATAAAATGACATAATCTAGGATCACCGGGTGGGGTTCTGGCATCCTGAGTCCTGTCCTCTGCACTGGACTCCACTCCCCATCTCTCGTCCTCCCCAGCCCCTGCCTCCTGCTCTCAGCACCTACTGCCCTGATGACCAGCCAGAGCAGGCCTGGGGGGTGGAGGTCAGTGGTCAGTGGGGCCAAGGGCTGAGCCCCACAAAGCCCAGGCTAGCTAAGCAAACCCTGCACAGAGCTCTAGGCCCCGGGACTTAGAAGCTTGAGCAGCGGAGGGAGGTTCCCATAGGGAGATGTGGACCTGCCTACCCCACCCTCCCTGACACCTTGGCACACCGCCCCTCCTGTTCCCCATTTTTCCCAGGATGAGGCTGAAGTGGCCACAAATGAGGCCCCAGGACAACATGGCCCACTCAGAAAGGCCGGTTGGTCCAAACGCATGCCCCTCCATTCTCTGTGGAGTCCATACCACTTCTTATCACCACCATCACTGCCTCACCAGGGGCCCAACTGGGGGGTGGGGGAGGAAGCTGGTGAAGAAGAAGGAGGAGGAGGAGCCCGGGCTTCCCCTCTGAGACTCATACCTGGCTGGTATAGGCGGAGGGTGGCAGGGGGTACTTCTTGCCGTGGATCTCGAAGACAGCCGTGGGAATGCTGCTCAGGCGCCCGCAGTCGATGTCAAACTAAAGAACCAAGGGAGGCCCTCTTAGAAGCGGCGAGTAAGTAAGCTGACTGAAGGGGTTCCGGAAGGGCCCAGAACCCCTCCTGCCACCCCATGAGCCATGGGGTGGGGAGAGGGCCCTGCCTACACCTAGGACCACAGGGAGGCTCTCAGGGTGAGGCCTGGTCCTGAGACATGGTTCTCAAAAGAGTCATAGCTGTCATCAACCCAGGGACAGACCCAAGCTTGGGACCCAAGGGGGTTGCCTCTGTGTCTCCCCATCTAGGCCCAGCCAGAGCTCACAGGGATGCTGGGAGCATTTGGCTGTCAAGGGGAGAAGAACAGACTCGGGGGTGGAGGAGGAAGAAGGGGCACAGCACAGTCCAGCGCGTCAGGGAGGGCACCACTCCCAGAGGAACAGGAGGTCAGACGGCAGCCGCTACCTGAGGCATGGAGGCTCCCACGGCAATGAAGCCAAAGCCAAAGGCCCCAGCAGAGGCCTCCGGAGAAACCCCAACCTCGGCTGGGAAACGGGCTCCCTAACCACCCCTGCATCATCTCGTTTGTGTGAAGGGGCCCCCACTTCAAGGCAACCTTGTGGGGCGGTGGGGCCTGACCTCACCTCATTGTACTGGCCCGCAGTGGCTCCAATGGCCTGCTGGATGTTGAGGATGTTGCCGCCAGGCCCCACCAGCAGGGAGGTGCCGGTGTCCAGGATGGCCTGACAGCCACCGTCACAGGCCACCACCACGCCGTCAATGATGACACTTCCAAAGGTATGCAAGATGGCCTCATCCAGCCCTCCCTCCCCAGGTCCTTCCTACCCTCCCCTGCCAGGATCTGCAGTAGGGAGGGAAGGCCCCCAGCCCTCAGCCCCTTCCCTGGGGCCCCTTCCTGGAGGCCCCAGTACTTTCTGAGCCCAGAGAAAAAACCTAAAACCATTTTCTTCCAATTCAGTGGCTAAATTGAGGACATCCCACTTTCCATGGGACAGAAACTTCAATAAAACAACAAATTCACCCACATTAAGGAGTAGAGCGAGTAGCATACTGGTTGCCTGAGATCTGGTTTCAAGTTTTTGCTCTGCCATTTACTTGCTGTGTGTCTCCAGCAAGTTACCCAACCTTTGTGTACTCAGGCTTCCCTTCTACAAAATGGGTACATTAATAACCCCTTCTTTGACTTCCTCAAGAGGTGGTCCTGAGGTTCAAACTCAATGTTAGTCCATTATAAAGTGGGGTAATAGTAGCACCCACCTCATGGTGTCTCAGTGAGGAATAAATGAGACAGTCATATAATCGTTCAGCACAGCGCCTAGCAGGCAGTAGATGCCCCAGAAAGGCAGCTGGTCTTGTTCATAAAGCACAGGTAGAATATGTGGCACTAGCACCGACAAAGGTCACCAACCTTGGAAGTGTCTAGTTCAGCTTCTCATGGGTGGTCTTACCAGCTACTGTGCTGCAGTCCTCAGAGTGTGGTGGGCTGACGCCCGGGCCCTCACATCCCCACAGCTGGATCAGCCTCTGGCTGAGGCCCACACAGTGTGGCCGCTCACCCACCTGTCCACAGTGAACTGCCAGTATTCTTGCAGTCATGGGTATCCAGTGCAGGGAGCCTGTGTAGTACGACAGATCAATGGCCCTCAGCGTGAGCATGCTCCCCTGGTCATTCCTGAAACCAAGGCGCAGCGCGCTGTTTCAGCGAGGCTCAGAAAAGCGGTGCCCAGCCCCACCCTGGGGCAGACACCACTGAGATCCAGCCCACCCTCCTCCGCCCCACCCCTACCCCACGCTTCAGATGAGGTCTCCAGCCCCCTCTGGCTCCTCCTCCGCTGGGCTTTCTCTGAAGTCAGCGGCAGCATCCTTTCTCCTGAGCGCTGCAGCCCCCACCCCAACCCCAGAGGAAGTAACCCACCCCACAGGTCCTGGGACTGCCAGGCTGTGCCCCAGCCACCCTTGAGTGTGCCCAGCTGTCTCCCTAGGCTCCTACTCCCTGTCAGCCGCCACCCAGGGCTTTCTGCCTTTAGTAGGAAAGGGGGTCTTCAACAAAATCTACACTTTGGATTGAAACTGCCACCCAAACGCAAATCCCCTCTGTTCCTCGTGGGGCCGTGTCTCACACATGGCTGGGAAACACACACTGTACCCACCCACTTCCGGAGCACTGCCTTGGGCTCCTAGAACTCATCCAGCCCATCCCAGCTCCCGGCTCTGGTACACGCTTTCTCCCCAGACGGCACCCACTCCTCCCTCAGCAAAGACTGCCCTGGCTGCCCTCGGCTGGGCCTTCCCCTGTTACTCAGCCTCTGACACACCCAAATCTCCCCTGCTGCACCCTTATCACACTGTTTGATTACAATAGTGTATGTAATGGTGTGCTGTCTGCTTCTCCTGCTAAAATGTTAACTGCCAGTTTGTCTTATCTGCTGATGTGTCCCCATCTCTGGCAGAGCCTCTGCACATAGTAAGGGCCCAGTAAGTATCTACTGGGTGAATAAATGCATGAGTGAATGCACTAATTAGCCCCCTAACTGCATTCTCCTGCCTCGGCCATCCAGCAACTTCTCCTGGGGAGGGTCTCTTTCTCTCCTCCCTGCCATCCTCCCCTCTTTCTGAGCCAAGCTGCATCATCACGGGGTGCAGGGAGGTAGAGTAGGAAGCACAGGCCTGGGAGCAGGAGCCCCAGGCTCCAGGCCTGGCTCAGCCGCCACCACTCAGGGTGTTGGTCCCTCCCCAAGCCTCAGCTTCCTCCCTAGTGAAAGGAGTAGGTTGGACTCCTTTGGAGTCAGCTCTAAAAGTCTGTGCATCTCAGTGACATTAGCAAACGGTTATTGAGGCCCTGCCACTTTGGGAAAAAGAACTTGAAAGCCCCTGTGCAGAGGTGGAATCGGGCTTTGTTTTTTGAGTGCCAGAAAGGAAAGTCAAATTTTGATCCAGTGAACTCTGGCTGTACAAATGACTGTATCATGGGCCTTTGGACAAGAGGTTGGATGTGCCTGGAAAGGAGAAGGTTTGCTTGGATGCTGGTGACTACCCTTGAGTGTCCCCAAGGAGTGGACAGTCCTTACAAGGACATCAAACTTAGGCCCCGGCTGGGCACAGCTCTTACCTACTCATGTAGACTGAGAACAGGTCTTGGGCCACCAGGTGCCTCTGCATCGTGTTGTCAAACACTGGCACTGACTACTCAGAGGCAAGAGAGGGATAGGCCAGCCCCAGGATCCCATCAAACTCGGAGTAGGTGAAGACGTCGCCAGGTTCCTGGGTGCTCAGACCCACAGTCTGGTGGGGGTCCACAATGTTGGAGACCTGCAAGAGAATCATGACCTCCACTAGGTCCTGCAGCCAGAGACAGAAACATCCCAGGCATGAGGGCAGCCAGTCCCAGGTCAGGAGCCAGTATCGCAGTTCCAGTTCCTTTCCTCTTATAGGCAACATAGTTATTTGCCCTTAAGAGACAGAAAAAAACAAAAACAAAAAACAGCAACAAAAAAAACCCACCTCTCCTTTCCCGGCAGTTAGTGCAATGATCTTGAGGAATTGTTCTAATGAGGCAGGGGAGGAGGGGAACAGAGGACAAGGTGGACACAGACCCTGGTGCTCATTGTGCAAAAGTTGGGACTGAGCTCAAAGAAGGGGGCAGAATGAGGGATGCTCCAAGGCCCTCTGCAGGCCTGCAGCCCTCCCACCAGCTATGTCTGGAACACCTCCCAGCAAAAAGCCATAGAAGCAGCAGGAAGTCCAAAAAGAACATGCACACGCTTTATGTCTCCAAGACCCAGGTGTAGGCTCCTGTTCTGCCATGTGCTAACTGTGTGACCTTGGACAAGTACCTGCCCAACCTCAATCCCCTTATCTGTTTAAGGGAATAGTAATACCTACATCTCACATCTCAAGGCAGGGCTTTGACTAAATAATACTAACACTGAACATTTATTGACATTTACTAAGTGATTATTGAATATGGATCAGCACTATGCTAAGAAAGTGCTAACTCCAAAATATTTTCTTAATCTGCCCACTTCTTCAGATGCCCAATGTATCCACCAGCCTACTCTGACCACTACTGCCTCTTGTCCCAAAGTGGTCAGGACACCTCTCCTGCTTCCACATGAGACCCCTGAGGGAAGCTTTCCCCGACCCCCTGCCCAAGGTAGTGAGTGATAGCAGCCCACTGCAGCACTGCTGAGGTTCCAGGCACTGGGCCAGCTCTCCAGTGAAGATGCACTGAAAATAGCAGGGAAGAAAGTGAATGGCTCAGGCCAGCAGAGGAAATAGGACTGGGCAGGGGAATTGGCTGTCAAAGGCCTGACTGCTGGCCAGCTCAGCAAGCAGCCCTGAGGCCTCTGCTGTCTGGCATGGAATCCCGAGGAGGCCTGAGCAGAGCACCCTGGTGGGCACCTGCCCAGTGAGGAAAATACTGTCCACAGAGAAGGACTGTGCCCTTCTGGACTCAAAGCAAGAAAGGTTTCAGCCAGACCCAAGGAAGAGACCAAGGAAAGTCAAGGTGGTCAGCACTGAGAGACACCACCAGAGTTTTCACGTCAGATGGTGCATGCAGAAAGAAAGAAAGAGGCAAACATCCACTGGGTACCTACTATGTGCCCATCACTGTATTAGGTACTTTGGAGGCCAAAAAGAGTCAAGGGAAAGGGGAACCCTTATCCTAGAGGGACAGGTGCTCTCGGACCTGAAAGAAGATGCTGCTCTGACTTATAAAGCATGAGGTCAAACCAAGAGCACTGCCCTGAGAGCCAGAGGCGAGGTCCCACACTCAGCTCCCCCAGGCACCAGCTGTGTGACTTCAGGTAAGTTATCAACTACAAGCCTCGGTTTCCTCATTTGAACAACGAGGATAATGACATCTTCCTCAAAGGGCTGTTGGAAAAACAAAATTTAAAAACAAGACTATACATAGGACACTGAAGAGCTCAGTCCTGGCACCAGCTCAGAATTCGGAACTAACTGTGTCAAGGATGCATGGAAAAGGATCAGGGAGACGGGAACCTGGACCTGAGAGTGCCCTCAGGTGGGGCTCTGGGTGCTGCCACAGGAAGAAGAGGCGGGAGGAAGGGACAGCCGACAGCTGGCTGCTGGCTAAAATCCCTCTCCTTACCTCCTGAGCCACCAGGGCAGGCAGCACCTAAAGGGCTTCTCAGCACAGTGGAGGTGTGGCCCACCGGACCGTGTGGGCAGAGAGTGGCTGGTGGGAAAGGCACAGTGAGCACTGGCCGGCGCAGCACCACTTACGGTGACAGTGTCATAGCCCAGCAAGCCCCGCATGCTGCCTGTGCCATACTGGATGGACAGGGACTTGCCCATGTTCTGTGGGTGGAGGACTTGGACGGATCGAAGCGTTGGTGGTTTTCTGAAACACAGACCCAGAGTTAGTGGGGCCCTTAGAATCTTCTCACCACTCACGGTGCCAGCCAGGGCCGAACCCCTCAGCAGGCCTTGTAAGAATATGGCCTCAATACTGGCAATTCTCTCTATAGAGAATAAGCAGCCCATTCTTTCTAAAGCCTTGGTCCCACAGTTTAAAAAAGAACATGATTCTTTGTTGCTTGCCCTACCTCTCTGACTTTCAGTGCTACCTACGTAGCTTCTACACAAAAATGAAAGGGAAAAGCCCCGCTGAAGATTCCGTGGATGTTTTGCTTTTATCAGCTGAGTAATCTTAGCCAAGTCCCTTTTCCTCTTCAAACCTTAATTTCCCCATCTGTCAAATGGGGATAAAAAGAGCACCAATCTCCCAGGATTGGTGGAGAAATAAATAATTAATGTGTGTTAAGCATGTATTCATTATTTGTAATAGACCTTCTCACTTTACTCTCCCAGCACTCACTGGCACATCATAGCCCCATTTTATAGAAAGGAAAATTCAGCATCCAAAAGGGTAAGCAGGTTGCCTTGGCTCCCAGTAGAGACAAAAAATAAAATAAAGGTCCCTAATTTTTAACTAAAACCCGTGATTTTCAAATCTTCCCAGTCTGTGGCCAGTTGGGAGGATGAGTGAGGAGATCGACCACAACTAGGAGGCTGGGAAGGTCAGAGCCAGCTGTCCTGCCACCCCACGTTTCCCCCCAGCCACCCTGACCACCCTGGCCACTAGGCCAGGGCATCCAAGCATGAGGGGCTGGGTCAGGAGAGGGCGGTCACTCACGACAGGCATCACTGTTGCAGTAGACAGAGGGCACCCAGATATCCGGGGAGCCTGTATCAAACACCAAGGTGAACTTCTGGGGAAGGGTCCCGATGTAGATCTTCCCAAAGTACTGACACTGAAGACAGACGGCACTGGGTCAGAGGTGGGAGCATCAGGGGGCAGGAGGGTGTGGATTAACGGTGGGCGGGGAGCAGGGGCACTTGTGGAGCCCCTGTGCTTTCTGCCCAGAGACCTGGGTGTCTCAAGGAGGGGGAAGATACTGAAGAGGGTTCTTGACCTCCAGCCCTCACCTGGGCTCCCACCCCCAGACACACTTGGCCTCATCCTTCCACAAGTCCTACAACCACTGCTGGAATCAGCCTCAGAAGCAGACCTGGGTCCTAAACTTAAATCCTGCCTGGGTGGGACATGGGCCACCCCTGCCAGGGCAAAAAGAATCTGGACAGAGAGGTGGGGCATCAGCTAGGTGTGGGCTCCATGTTCCGGCCCAAGTGGCCCCTGCCACGCGCGCCTCCTCGCCAGCTCTCCCCACTGTCAGAGCAGAGGCTGGGGGCGGGTGGCGAAGATGACCTAGATAAGAAAATGAGAGCACAGAAGAGAAAAAAGGCTGGTTGTTTACTGGCAAGAGTGACGGCTGAGAGAAAGACAAGCTCCAGGAAAGAACAGGTACCAGGGGCGCTCCTGCCTGGGTCCTGGGTGGGAGGAAGAGCAAGCTGGCAGCCGCGTCCTGGGCAGCTGCAGAATGGCACCCGCTGTCTCCATCCCTGCTGAGCCAGACTAAGACAGAACTTCCCCAGCCCGGAAGGCAGGTGCAGGGTTGGGATGGTAGGCGGCGTTGGGGAGGGGGGCAGTTCATGCACTCTTGGGGGATGTTGTGTGAGGAAGGCGCCTGAGCTCAGACCCTCCTGGTGGTGGCATTCAGAGCTGGCAGGCAGGAGCACTGTCTTTTCTGGGTCGACCAGCCCCTCGTGGAGCTGACTGAGGGCAGGGAGACTGCCTCTACCACAGACTCCAAGATTTCTCGAAGAGAAACAGCTGTGGTGAGGCAGGGGCCGAGGGGCGCTTTCCACTTCGTTAGTGGAAAGGCTGGCAGAGCCACTCACATCCAGGTAGTTGGTCAGAGACTCGCTGGCCACCACCCCAGAGCTGGAGTGCTTCCTGCTGACTGCATAATGGTGATTCCTCAGGAAGTCCTCCAGGAGCCTGCGCTCCTTCAGGGCCCTCCTCAGCGACTTCCCTTTGTGCAGAGGAACCCTGAGGAGATGGGGAAGAATTTGTAAGGAGGGTGTGCATCTCCCGCAGGCTGCCCAGCCTCCCAGAAGTGGGCTCCATAAACCACTCGGTACACTCTGTTCCCAGCCAGCCTTCTGATCAATGGCCCACTGACCCCAGGTCAAGGGCTTTCAAACTTTTTTTAAATCATAACTCAAAGTAAGAAATGTATTTTATATCGGTTCAAAAATCAATGCCTATCCTTGCTAACTGCAATGCACTCTCATATTTTATATTGCTTTCTCTTTTTCTAATGCTGGTGGAGACCCATTAGAGGCATTTTGCAACCCACTAATAAGTTTCGAAACCCGTGGTTTGAAAAGCACTAAGCACATTATCACTCATTCAGTCACCAAATTCTTGCTGTGCCAGATACTGTACAGGGCACAGGGGACACAACACTGGAAAGGACACCGTCTCTGCCCGCCGGGAGCCCACTGTCTGCAGTGAAAAACGGTGTCTCCCACAAGCTGACAAATGCTACGACAATGATCCTGCCCTCTGTCAATACCCTTTCTCCGCTCTCTGGATAGCTTTTTCCCTAAGACGAGTGGAAAATTCTCAAACGGTTTCTCAGCACAGAGCCTGGTCTCACAGGGGCCTCCTGAGGGAGCTCGAGTTTTAGATGATGGAGGCAGATCAACAGTGAAGAGATCAAGAGAGGAAATGCAGAAACTGGTTCTAGACCTGGCACTGCCCTGTCTGTGTCAACTTGGGTGGCTCCCCAAAGCCCTCTGAGTTTCAACTCCCTTAGGTTAACCCCTTCCTTTCCAGCCATTCTCCTGGCCCTGCGTTTGACTAGCCCTATGGCTTAACCTCTCTGGTCCTTAGTTTCCTCTCCTATAGACAGAAGTAGAACTCAGTGATTCCCACAGTCCCTTTTACCTCTAAGAATCACGTGGTCCTCCTCTGTGAGACTGTTGAGATGTGCTTTGAGAGCCATAAATGGCAGCAGTGTTAAAACTCACAGAGAGAATGGATTTTCGCAGGCTGTTCACATCCCAAGTGCTGGGGCAGATAGCGCACCTGGGACCTGGAGGAACTTTATTTTCAGGACTGCCACAAAGATTCCGGGCCAGTTGAAAGCACCCTGACCCCTTTTCTGGGATCCAGCTTTCCCAGGGAGTAATCGGGGCTTCTCTGTGCTCAGGGCTTGACCAGACTCAAACCTGAGCACCTGTAGATTACCACGTGATGTGATGGCAAGAGTGCAAATCCACGGAGGCCAAGTCCTAGCTCCTCCATTACTAGCCATGCAGCCTCGGACAGCTCAGGGACCCTCCTTAGGAACCCTTCCTAAACAACAGTGTCTCATCTGTAAATTGCAAATGATAATATGTACTTAATCCATGAGGATTAGTGGCTTAGTGGAGTGCCTAGCACCTAGGAGCAAACAGCTCAATCAATGTCAGTTATTACTTTGGGAGGAGAACCTGAGATCTTCACCCACAAAGGATTAGTACAATAGGGAACTTTATTTTGTTTAACAAATGCATACATAGCTCTTACAGTGTGCATCGTTTGAAGCATTTTTTAAATATTAACTCCTATAATCCTCACAACATCCCTATGAGATGGACACTACCATTATTCAAATTTTATGAACAGAGGAGGAAACTGAGGCACAGAGAGTTAAGTTAGTGATGGAGCTGGGGATCAAACCCCAGGTAGTTTGACTCCAGAGCCATGCCCTATCCTCCCAGTTGCCCATCTGGCTCCCTGTTCTTTTCACCACACTGTGAAGTGCTGGGGTAAACAGAAGCAAAGGTCCCAGCATGCAAAGGCAAGACTGACAGGGAGCTGTTACCCTGGGAACTTGCAGCACTTCTCCCAAGACTCCCTGGGGGACCAATGGCTGGAAGACCAAGGACAGACCTCCCAGAGAGGACGATGAGATGCCCTTGCCCTCCCCTGGGCTCTGACACTCACCTGGTGATGGCATTGACCTCAGAGAGAGCAAAGACTGCAAGGAATACCACAAGGCCCCTCATCCTGGACTGCAGACTGGCCACTGCTCCAGCCAGAGCCCACTCCACAGCCTTTATAGAGGGAGCCAGGTGTCCTGTGGCTGGAAGCCCAGACTTCAGAGATAGCTCCTGACTGTAGGTCACTCCACAAATACAGTGAGACAACACTCAGGATACCTAAGACCCATGCTGATAAGGACCACTCACACCGAGTGAGGCCATCTGTGGCCCTTATCAGCATGGGGCTTAGGTATCCTGAGTGTTGTCTCAGAATATCTGTATTCCAGGGACTTCAAAGTTGAAGGATATACATGCCTGGTCTTCAGCCTGAGAAATGTCAACATAGGCCTCTCTGACCTGCTCCCCACTTGCAGACGGGACTTCTCGAGCCAACACAGGGGAGGCACTGCCAGAAATGTGTTCCATGTTCCACCTTATGCACTGTAAGAGGCCTGTTCCCCACAGATCCCACTCCAACCTTATCTGCCTCCCCTCCCGTGATCTGACTCCACTGGAAGCTGATAGCCTGCCCTATCCATGAATCTGCCCCCAGCCCAATTTTCTAGTGGCAGGGGTACTCGGTCTTCCCTCAAAGTGGCATCTGCGGCAGAGAGGAATTGTTCATTCTGTCATCCCCGTGAGTGGAGCTTGGGGTTTAGAGCACAGAGCAGGTGTGCCCTCCACTCCTACAGAGCACAGTCTAAGAGAGAAGGCAGGCCCAAGGCACATGCACCCCTAGGGACATAGGCCCTGTTCCACGGTGGAAGGGTGCTGAGGAGGGGAGGGGTAAATCGATGCCAGATCACACTGGCATTGGAAGAACGGGGCAGGGCTGAACCAGGAAGGCAGACAAGTGCCCCCACATAGAAGAAGAAGGGAAATATGGCAGTGATACGGTAGGGAACAGCTTAGGCCAGGACTCAGCCTCTGAGTCCCATTGGAGTGTACAGAGACAGCGCCTCAGAAGCACATGTGCAGGGGATGTGTTGAGTAGAGGCCCCTGGAGTCTAGGCCAGAGATTCTCTGAGGCTTGTAGCCAGAGAGAGAGTCAGGATAAGAAGGAAAACAAAGGATGTGGCCATGAAGCTGGTGGAGAAGATCATGTTCCAAGGACCAGGGGAGGCTAACGCTGGCAAATCAGGACTGTGTAAGGGTAAGGTGGGCAAAATAGGAAGGCAAGGGCTTCAGGTCCATGGGAGAGTGGGAGTGCCAGCTGCCCAATGCCTGGCAGGACAGATGTCCACGTGGAGAAGGAGGCCTGGTGGGGATGTAAGAAAGGGTAGGCAGGAGCAGCCAAAGAGGCTGGCATGTGGTGGCAGCAGAAACACCGGTGCCATGGAGAGGGACAGGCTCTGGAGTTGCATACATTTGATTTGCAGGGGCCTCAGGAGGGAACCTCAGGAGGGAGCCTCAGAAGGCCAGTAAAGAGAACTGATGTTTTGTAACAGAATGAGGAATGTGGTGAGATCTGATCCCCACCATGGCAATGCCTCCCACCCTGCCGCATCCCTTCACAAAGCCGAAGGCCAGGTCCCCAAAAGGCCAGGACACTGCCGCTCCTCATGCCCTGGGAAGTGGCCACAAACACATCCAGCTGTCTTGTGGCACCCACCCTCCCCAGATGCCGGGAGCAGAAATCAAAGTCAACGCTAAATAGCACAACTTGCTTCCTGATTTCTTCCCTGAGGTGGCCGCCCTGCCAGGCGCTGCGCCCTGCCCCATGCTGATGGCCCTGCCTCTGAGCAGTGCTTCCTGCCACACAGCACCAAGCGTAATGCATAGTAGGTGCTCAAGGAATGTTTGGTTAAGCAAATGAATGAGTGCATGGCCTTGCCACTACTTTTGAGAAGCAGCCAGAGAAGTAGCAAGTGACATCCTTATGATATCCTGCAGACAAGGAGATGGAGGCTCAGAGAGGTCAAAGGGTTGGCCTGTAATGAAGACAGAGCTTGGAACTATCCTGAGACTCCTAGTCTAACACAATGCACACTACACCACAGGGCCCAGTTGTTTACAAAATCAGGTGTGGAGGCAGCTCTGCTTCAAGCTCACTCCTCCCCACCTCTTGGCACCCCTCAGGATAGTAATATCCATGTGCAATGGGCCCTGTCTGCCGCATCTAGGGCTAGGGCTCTCTGGGATTAGCAAGATCAGGAGGAAGAAGGGCTGCACCACTTTGCCTCGTGTCACCAGTGATCCAACCTGAACCCAGCAACAAAGTCTCCTGAACAATGACCCTGGACATCAGGCTCAGCCAACTCTTCCACTGGAAGGTGACTCTCAAAGCCAAGAATCAAAGATCCCTTAGCACTGGTTGCTCTGTGTTTGTTCACAAGATTGGAGTCAGTCTAACAGCATTCAAGTACACACTATTAGGAACCCTGACCCAGAGGGCATGAAGCATTAGGAGAGCTTATCCCGGCAGGCCAAGAACTGCAAAAAGCTTTTAGGGTGGAGGGTAGGTCATGTGATAGAATTAAAAAGAGTCAAAGAGACCCAAGTTTATATTCCAGCTCCACTTTTTATTAGCTGGGTGCCTTGGAAACTTAGTTAAGCATTCTAAACTTCTGTTTGCTCACCTGTGAAATGGAGATTTTTAAAGGAGTAAATGCATAGTGTCTGACACTAAGTAAATATACCATAAATATTATAGATTTTTAGTGGGCTGAATAATATTCTGAGAGTGTTACGTATGTAGAAAGTCTGTTTTCTGCTTTCTCTTTATCTCATGAAAGGAAAAGCCTGCTCTGCCTTTCTTTGCCTCACAAAAGGTGTGTGCAGAGCAGAAACAGAAGTCACCTGCAGTGTTTTCAGGGCACTGTTGCCTGAAACCTAAGCCCATATGAGAACCCAAGGCTCCCTGGAGGATGCAGAAGGAAGAAGCAAGAGAGACAGGCAGGCCTCAAGTGGCAGGGCCTTGAGCCCTGCTCCCTGGTGGTAGCCCCGGGAAGTGGCAAGCCCAGAGAAGGGTGGCTGTGTGGCCTGTCTGGGGGAATATGACTAAGGCAGCTTCCAGAAGATTAGGTTGGCCCAGACAGGGCATGGAAGCAACGGGGGCTGGGGCAGGGACAAGAAAGACCTGGCATGCTGGAGAGTCACCTGGATCAAAGCACAACAATGGGGCATTGACAAAAATGACCAAGATTAATTTTCCTCTCAACCTTAGGGAGGAAGGCAGGGATAGGCAGGAGGGCCAGTGGGGGAGGAAGGGAGGGATGCACCACCAGCCTGACTCAGCAGCGAACTCTCCTGGACAATGGCCCTGGATGCCAGACTCAGCCACCTCTTTCTGTGCTCTTGAAAGATGGGGGCACACTGCAGAAATTCAACTGATTTACAGAAAACGAAAAGACCTGCTGCTCTGTGCACACCTGAGATTTGGACTAGCACCATGAGCTTGTAAATCTCACATTTTACAGATAAGGAAATAGAACCAGGGATTGAACTGAGTCATTCAGAGTCACACAACTGTAGTCATCTGTGAGTCACATTTGTAGAAAGCCAAACACATGCCAGCACTTGATACTCTTATCTTTGATCCTTACATGACCCTCTCAGTATCTCTGCCTCAAGCCTTTGGAAGAGGAAAATGAGACATGGAGAAGTAACTTGCTCAAGGTCACACCGCTTTGCAGTCAACCCAGGACTTGAGCCCAGGATGGTCACACATGCACTCCCAGGGGCTATACTCCCCTGCCACCTGGCCCCCTCCAGCATGCGGCATCATCCCTTTGGACTTCCTCCTGAAGTACTTTTCACAGTGGGGTCACACATTAGATCCTTCCATCTCCCATCCGATGGTGGGCTCCCTAGTCTCTGTGTCCATAGCAAATGCATAGAAGATGCTCAATAAATTGACTTGAATTATCTTTATTGATGCTCATATCTGAGTGGAGATCAGACGCTTATGTCAAGGTGTTACAGTAGGTAGCTAGCCATGTATGAGTACAGCAGAAGACTCTCCACACACACGTCAGGAGTGTTTGGTGACCATCAGGTGATGGTCAGGCGGTTGTTAACTGTCTCTCTAAAGTAATAATTGGTCACAGCCAGCACCAGCAAAAGGCAGTCTCCTAGTAGATAGAAAACACCTGGAACTGGTGATCAGCAGCTTCCCAATAAGATCTCAGGAGTCGGGAGAAATAATGCAAGATCCCAGAAGTATGCCAATGTATAAAACCCCGAGTCACGAGGTCAAGCCACGCACTTGGTCTCAAGTCGCCTGTTTGGCCCTCTTCCAAGAGTACTTTCCTTCCTTTCCTTACGGCACTAAAGCTTTTTAATAAACTTTCACTCCTACTCTAAAACTGCCTTGGTCTCTCCTTCTGCTCTTTTGCCCCTCACTTGAATTCTTTTTTCTGGGTAGACAAGAATTGAGGTTGCTGCAGACCTGTACAGATAACTACCACTGCTAACAAAACAGGGTGTCCCTGGGCACTGATTTGTTATAGCCACTTTGTGGGTCAGTCCCCAGGCTCAAGGAATCTAGACCAAGGGGAGTCATCCCCCTCCAGCACCAGGTAACCAGTGATGAAATCTTATCGTGGCTTTTCTAAACACTTTTTAGAATTTTTAGAATTCTGCAATTCAGCAAAAGATGACTGAATCATGTCCACACTTGAAAAGCCCCAGAGCCTGAAGAAGACTAAGGGGCCCTGGGGCATTTGCTGTAGGACAAATAGAGAGCAATTGCTCAAGTGGAAGAGACCCCAGGAGGTGGAGACCTAACAAACGTCGCCCCGCACATTTGTAGAAATCCCCACCCTTCTTCTTCCTCCCCACAAAATGGCCACTGTGCGTGGTGTAATGGCCCGTCCACGTGCTGAGGTCAGCAGAACATTTAGGTGAGAATAACTCCCAGCCTCCATACCTGCACAGTTATTTGTTCTGCATTAAGTGGCCTGAGTCCTGGAAACCTCTGCCCAATGCATGATGGAATTGCCAGGTCCTCTTGGGAGAAAGAATGGGGCGTGGGCCCCACCCTGCTCATGGAAGAGCATATTATTAGTTCTGAGAAACAGCAATAGTGAAACCTATTCCTGGTTCCTGAATGGGAAGGGAGAGGGGGATAGAAGGAAGGAGAAGAGGCAATTACCACAACTACCATGCAGGCCTCTGGGCAGGGAGGGCGGCACCCAGCAGACAGAAGCCCATAGGCTGGTCAACCAGGACCTCATCAGGCCACTCCCAGTTCAGGAGCCTTTACCAGCAGAGACCTGCAGACCAAGCTCCTGACCACCAGGAGTCTGGCCCCATCCACTTTCCCAGCCTCATCTCTGCAGCTTCCCAAACAGGAACCAGGCACAAACACTCACCATGCCTCAATCATGACATGCATGATCCTGTCTCCACACTCTGCTCAGTGCTTCATTGAGATTGGAACACCCTCCCCACCTCTCTCCATCTTGGAGAAACTTACCTAATACTTTTTGATGTGTTTCAACGTGACATGCAACTTCTCCCCTCACTGTGCTTTTACCTATGCTATACCTCTGCCCAAATGCCCTTCTCTCTATTTTCTGCCTACCCATCTTCTTCAAGATTCTGCTCAAAAGATATGTCCTATGGGCTGGGCATGGGCTCAGTGGCTCACATCTGTAATCCCAACAATTTGAGAGACTGAGGCAGGAGGATCACTTGAGCCCAGGAGTTCAAGACCAGCCTGAGAAATATAATGAGACCCCATCTCTGTTGTAAATAAATAAAGAAATAATTTTAGAAAATGATATGTCCTGTGTGAAGCCTTTTCTTATATCTCCTATGAGATCAATTAGGAATGGGTTTGGCTGCAAGTAATTGAAAATCTGACTACAGTGGTTTAAATAGCAGTTTATTTTTCTCACAAAACAAGAAGTCCAGAAAAATACAGAATTGGTTCAATGGACACCACTGCAATTCATTTGGCCTTTTCCTTATGGCTGCAAATGGCTGTTACAGCAGCAAACATCGCATCCCATCCCAAAGCAAGAAGAAGGGGAAGCGGGAAGAAGCAGTACCAGCAGACCGCTCATGCCTGATGAACTTCATTTTATAGCTCCCAGCTACAAGGTAGGCCGGAAAATTGAGGATTGCACTTTTTTGTCTGTATAGTGGAAGCAGACAATCAGGTTCTGTTGAGCCCACCCACATTGTCTGCAGTAACCACCCACTCCACCACCAGCGCAGTTTGCTCCTCGGTCTGGGATGTTCTCAGAGTGCTTATCTCACTGCTCAGTGATGGCTTACACATCAGCCTCCCTCTGGACTAAGAACTCTAGGGCAGGAATTTTGTCTGAATTTTCTCTGTAACTCTAAACACCTAGAACAATGCCTGACCTAAAATAAGCACTCAGTAAATGTTAAATTCATCCTCCCATTCACTCAACAGCTATATACAGAAGTAAGCAAATGAGGCCATGGGACTTCCTTCCCAAAAGAGGTCTCCAGTGGCTGAAATCAGGGAGTAAGTGCCCACGTGACCCACATATGGACAGTCAGTGGCCTGTGGCCCACCACAGCAACACCTCCTCCTCTGCCAATGAGGTCACCTGGCCCTTGTGCCAAGCACTGAGCATGTAGAGGTGAGTAAGCTCCTCTCCCTGCCCTCAGGGAGCTTGTAGTCCAGTGGAACACACAGACGTGTAGGCAACTAAGTATAATTCAATGCATGAGTCCTTTCCTTGGCTTACGGACCAGTGCTACTGGGGAAGGGAGAGTAGAGCACTCGCCTGTATGAGGAAAGGCAGGGAGCTTCATCCAGGGATGAGCTGGTATATTGATCATGTTCTCTGATTTTCCATATTCTTGATGCTCTGGCATCTGGGGCCTTGATCCTTGAGAGACTGCCCTCACAGGACTAGCTAATTCCTAGGCATGGCGAAAGACTCCCCTGTGAGCCTGTCTTTGATATACGAACCAACCCACCCACAGCCCACACCCCCAACCCTCTCCTTTATCAAACTCTCAAAAAGCAAGCCAATTTTCTCCCTGCCCTAAACCACCCCAGGGTCAAATACCACTCCTCCAGCCCAGAGTCCGCTGAAATTACTCAAACTATACAATTCTAAGCTTACTCAGAATACCTACCCTGTGTCACCCATTCCTTCATGTAATAATGCAATAAAGGCTCTATGTCACAATTTCCTTTCCCTTGACCACCCCAGACAACTCCCCCCCAACCTCCACCTCCTGACTGACCCCAGTGCTTCCCAATGTGGCCCTACATGCCTCCTATGTCTAGGGGTCTGTAAGTATAAACTTCTTCCTTCATGACAATCATGTCCATGTCTGCATGTCCTACCATACCTAATTAAAACAAACCCCAGGTATAAATTTCAGAACAGCTGGCTAGAAGGGATATAATGGGGCTAGTCCTGGGGAGCATCTAGCACATCCCTAGGCAGATCTAGCCGGGAAACTCAGCTGACAGGTGCTGCACTGATCAAGGTAACACTGAGATGCTGACTTAGATACAGAGTGAGAGATGAGATGA
The DNA here is from genome assembly GCF_000001405.40 of Homo sapiens. Lineage (NCBI taxonomy): Eukaryota > Metazoa > Chordata > Mammalia > Primates > Hominidae > Homo > Homo sapiens. Next base: position 110,473,318 of record NC_000001.11, on the reverse strand, counting down.
CCCCTGGGAGATCCTCCTCCCCCTAGTCTGGACCCTCTTTGATGCTCCCAACTAGAGGACTAGACATCAGTTTCATGATGCTCCTGCCACTAACATTTCAAGCTAATTTGGGAAGTGGTGAGGAGAGATCCAGCTGCCCCCTCAGCAAAGCATCAAGCTTGATCACATAACAATGAATGTTGGCAAGCATGGCCACTGACCAGGCAGCATCCTAAGCCCTTTACATGTATAAAATCACTTCTTCCCAGCCACACACCACCACAATCCTGTAAATGAGGTACTATCTGTCTCATTTTAAGGGAACCGAAGCACAGATCAGTTCAATAACCTGCCCAAGATCACACAGTCAGTAAGGGGCAGGCCCAGGATTCAGACTCAGGTAGCATGACTCTAGAATGAGGGCCCTGGATGGTGACAACACAAAGCCGGAGCTGACACTTGCATTTTTGTTGCTACAGTGCCCAGCAGGCACCGTGGAGATGGGGGCAGATGTCTGGAAGCAGAGAAGGTGCCGAGTGGAAAGCAGGGGATGAAGGCTACTTTCCTCCTGGGCAGCCGCCGGCGGGACCAGGCAGGCTTTTCTCTCTCGCCCAGGGTGCGGTGTAGAGCCTCCACTGGACTCCACCACGGGGAGGAAGACCGAGGCTACCCAGCCTCCTGGCTGCTGGCCATGGCTCTAGCCCACCCTTGCCTGTGTGTCAAGAGAGAATCCAAAACAATGTTCCTTTTGCTGTAAAGGGCATGATTAGGACAATTGGCAAAATAGTCTACATCAGATGATAGTATTGTTCTGATATTAATTTCCTGACTTCGATATTTGTACCAATTTTCATGTTAATATTTACAAGAAAATGTCCTTGATTTGGGGGGAATACTGAAGTAAAGAGTATTATGTCAGGCCGGGCACAGTGGCTCACGCCTGTAATCCCAGCACTTTAGGAGGCTGAGGCAGGTGGATCACTTGAGGTCAGGAGTTCAAGGCCAGCCTGGCCAACATGGTGAAACCCGGTCTCTACTAAAAATACAAAATTAGCCAGGCGTGGTGGTGGGTGCCTGTAATCCCAGCTACTTGGAAGGCTGAGGCAGGAGAATTGATTGAACCCAGGAGGTGGAGGTTGCAGTGAGCCGAGATCGCGCCATTGCACTCCAGCCTGGACAACAAGAGCAAAACTTCGTCTCAAAAAAAAAAAGAGTATTATGTCTGCAACTTGCTTCCTAAAAGATCCAGGGGAAGAAAAACATACATATATGTTCTATATAATTTATATAGCTATGTGTTTTCTTTATACTTATGTATTAAATATCAATAATTATATATTTTATATATATTTAAGTTTTATTTTTATACATAAAATATATAAATATATTACATATTATATAATATAATATATATTTTAATACCTAGAGAGAGTGAGAGAGAGAAAAGCAGAGGGGAAGGGGAGAGGGAGGAATAGCGGACAGAAAAATAATGCAAATGTGGTGAGGTGTCAACATTTCTGATATTTGGGTTAAGGTATGTAAGAACTCTTTCTGCAAGTTTGAAATTATGTCTAAATAAAAAGATTTTAAAGATTGAGATAATCCAAAGGCCTCTCCAAAACCATATTTATAAATTTGACACATGCCACCCCGCATGTCCAGAGGAAGAAGGTGGAAACTAGACAGGGAGAGAGCCGGTTACTCACAGCCTAGGGCCCTGCCCCGGGAAACAGGCAAATGGATCCAAATTCACTGGGGGCTGCAGGGAAGTGGGGTTAGCAGACAGGTCCTAAATCCCATTTCAGAGTATTTTTCAGGTAGGGAGGTAAAAAGAAGAGGAAAGCAGAGTGGGAGAGAGGAGGATGGGGTGAGAAGTTTCTCTGGTAGGAAACAGGTCCCTTCCAGCTCTGTCCCCACCACCACACAATACCTAGGCACCAAGACTGGACAGGGCAGTCCTAAAATGGGATGACGAAGATGGACATACAGAACACGAGCCCTCTGCAGGACAATGAGGCATTAGCACCAGGTCACACATCTTGAGATCGTGATTGATTTGCTTTGTAAATACAGTTTGTGCTGGGCACTGTGGCTCATACCTGTAATCCTACCACTTCCAGAGGCAGAGGCAGGTGGATCACTTGAGCCCAGGAGTTCAAGACCAGCCTGGGCAACATGGTGAGACCCTGTCTCCAGAAAAAAATACAAAAATTAGCCAGGGGTGGTGGTGCATGCCTGTAATCCCAGCTACTCAGGAGGCTGAGGCTGAGGGAGGATTGCTTGAGCCAGGGAAGTAGAGGCTGCAGTGAGCCAAGATAGCACCACTGCGCTCCAGCCTGGGCAACAGAGCAAGACCCTGTCTCGAAAGAAAGAAAGAAAGTTGTAAGGAATCGCTTAGTAGTTGGGAAGGAAAACTGGTTCAAAATTTAATGTTTAAGATCTTCATAATATTAGATTTGGTGAGGTCTCCTTGATATGACACCAAAAGCACAAGAAACAAAGGGAAAAATAGATAAATGGGACTACATCAAAACTTAAAACCTTTGTGCATGAAATGACACACATCAACGAAGTGAAAAGGCAACCCATGGAATGGGGGAAAATGTTTGCAAATCATATATCTGATAGGGGCTAATATCCAGAATATGTAAAGAACTTCTACAAAAAACAAATAACTTGATTTATTCTTTTTCCCTTTTTTTTTTTTTTTTTTTGAGACAGAGTCTTGCTCTATCGCCCAGGCTGGAGTGCAATGACGTGATCTCAACTCACTGCAACCTCCACCTCCCAGGTTCAAGTGATTCTCCTGCCTCAGCTTCCCGAGTAGCTGGGATTACAGGCACCCGCCACCACACTCGGCTCATTTTTGTATTTTTAGTAGACGGGGTTTCACCATCTTGGCCAGGCTGGTCTTGAACTCATGACCTCATGATCCACCCACCTCGGCCTCCCAAAGTGCTGGGATTACAGGCATGAGCCACCACGCCCAGCCATAACTTGATTTTTAAATGGGCCAATGACTTGAATAGAAGTGATTTCTTCAAAGAAGAGATACAAATGGCCAAGAAACGTATTAAAATATGCTCAACATCACTAATTATTAGGGAAATACAAATCAAGACTACAATGAGATATCACATCACACACATTAGGATGGCTGCTATCAAAAGAAGGGAATAGGGGAAGAAGGAAGGGAAGGGAGGAGGGAAGGAAGGAAAAGGAGGGAGGGAAGGAAGAAGGGAAGGAAGGAAGGGAGAGAAAACGAGTGTTAGCAAATACTTAGAGAAGCTGGAAACCTTGTATATTGCTGGTATGCATGTGAAATCGTGCAGCCACTATGGAAAACAGTATGGCAATTCCTCAAAAAATTAAAAGTAGAACACTGTATGATTCAATAATTCCACTTGTGGGATTCTTCAGTTCACTCAGATGAATTGAAAGCTGGGTTCCAAAAAGATATTTGTATACCCATGTTTGTAGCAGCATTATGCACAATAGCCAAAAGGTAGGATCAAGTGTCCATCCACAGAGGAATGGATAAACAAAATGTGGCATATGTGTGTATGTCTGTGTGTGTGTGTGTGTGTGTGTGTGTATATATATATATGAATATTATTCAGTCTTAAAAAGAAAGGACATTCTAACACGTGCTACAAAATTGATGAATCTTGAAGATGCTATGTTAAGTGAGATAAGCCAGTCACAAAAAGACAAATACTGTATGATTCCGCTTATGTGAAGCACACAGAGGAGTCAAATTCAGAGACAGAAAGTAGAATGGTGGTTTCCAGGAGCTGGGACCAGGGAGAGAATGGGGATTTATTGTTTAATGGGTACAGAGTTTCAGTTTGGGAAGATGAAAAATTTCTGGAAATGGATGGTGGTGATGTTTGCCCAAGAACATGAATTTACTCAATGCTGCTGAACCATACCCTTAAAAATGATTAAAATGGTAACTTCTATGTCACATATACAACACAGTAAAAAAATAGGTTTACTTGTAAATAAAAATCAGTATACTCTTATGAACCAAATATCATAAACTATAATCTAATGAATGGAATATGCACCTTTTGAAAACTCAGAATATAAAGAGGGACACCTTCAGGTTTTATGTTCTGTCTTTGAACATCTGCAAAACTCACTCCTCCCTGGCCTGGTCACTGTGAAAAGTAGAGGGACAGGGTCTCAATCATGGGGTTTTCAGGAGTAGAGGCGACCTTGGCAATGTCTCTTACACAGCCCTGGGTCCCTGAGTGCCCACTGTGTGCTCAGCGCCCCTGCTCTGCCCTTGTGACAGTCATCCCTCCCAGCCTCGGCGTCCTCATCTGGAAACATCTTCTACCTTGTAGGTTTTTTGTGATGATCAGTGAGGCCATGCAAGGTGCCTGGCAACAGCAGGCACTCGATGAATGCAAGCTCTTATTATTCTCCTCTCATCTAGTCATCACCAAGAGCATGCAGGGTGGTTGCTATTATCTATATTTTACAAATGAGAAAAATGAAGCTTAAAGAACTTAAGTCGTTACTCAGCTCCAAGATGAGAAGACAGTGTTGCCAGGATTTCAATCCAGGACCAGTTCAACTCCAGAATCCATGATCTTTCTACCCCAGCCTCTCAGGCCTCATTTAACAGATAAGAAACATGAGGCTCAGTGACATTGGCAAGGGTGAAAGCCCAGATGACCACAGGGGCCAGGCAGGTAATGGAGAAGAATATGTTAGCTGATGTAAAAAAAAAAAAAAAATCGCCTACCAGAGATTCTACCAAATTATATCTATTTTTACTAAACTAAGGAGTAGGCATGTAACATTTTATGGGCCTACAAAATACTAGAGATTGTGCTTCAAATTCTAAATTTAAAAATAAATGTTGAAAAATAATTTTAGGAGAAACCAGATCAAAAAAGAAAAAAATGCAATTAATTTAATTATCTTCCAAATTGCTTCATTTCAGATGTCTCACTATGTTGCCCAGGCTGGTCTCGAACTCCTGGCCTCAAGCAATCCTCCCACCTCAGCCTCCCAAAGTTCTGGGATAACAAGCATGAGCCACCAGGCCCAGTGTCCTTCCAATTTTTTTTTTTTTTTTTTTTTTGAGACAGAGTCTCACTCTGTCACCAGGCTGGAGTGCAGCGGCGCAATCTCGGCTCACTGCAACCTCGGCCTGCCAGGTTCAAGCGATTCTCCTGCCTCAGCCTCCTGAGTAGCTGGGATTACGGCGCACACCATCAGGCCTGGCTAATTTTTGTATTTTTAATAGAGACGGGGTTTCACCATGTTGGCCAGGATGGTCTCGATCTCCTGACCTCGTGATCCGCCTGCCTCGGCCTCCCAAACTGCTGGGATTGCAGGTGCGAGCCAACGCACCTGGCCCCAATTTATTTTTTAAGCATAATGCAGGCCAACACCTGCAGACCAAATTGTCTGCAGGTCAGATGCTAACCCCAGCCACCAGATGGCCACCCTGAGGAAGGTATAGTGGAGGCCAAGATCAATGGCGGGTTCAGGAACATTTGAAAAGAAAGATAATATCACAAGTTAGTGCCACTGTGGGAACCCACACTAGGGATGCCAGGATTTGCCATTTTCCAAGAGATACAGGAAATGTGGATGTGGGGAGAAATATACCAGCTTTGAAATAAGAGCAACCATTTGTTTTTGCACTGTGCAGACAAAATAGCAGAGGTCTATAGGGCAAGCCTCTCCTCCCACCCAGTGACAGTCTACAGGATGAGCCACTTCACATATTGGCAAAGCCCAGACTAAAGAAAAATCTCCAGACTCCCAGGCCGTGATGGAACCAACCAGTGTCTTCTCCAGCCTGGACCAGTCCAGAATGGGAGCAGGAGGTCCCGAGGGGAAAGGATGGAAGGGGGAAGGAGACTGGCGGATGCCCAACCCCGACAGTCCCAGCTGAAGGAGACAGGTGTACAGACACTGGGGCATCAAACTCTGACTCTGACTTCAGGGTTCAATTATTTTCTTCTGTCAGATTTTTGCCCAAAGCTATACCCAAAGATTTTCAGTAATCCCACGTCAGTGGAAGGACTGCACAACATCTAGCCACATTAATTAAAGAGGATTTTTTTCCTCTGAGACGAACGTGTGTTAAAAATATCAAATATTAATCACTGGCAACATTAATTTATAATAACGCTTGTCTCCCTCTCAGCTTCTAAGTTGACATCTGGCATGACTGCTTTGAAACTAACACCCGCTCCATTGCAGGAATTATAAATAGCCTGAGTTAAAATCTTCACCTTGAACTGAACAGACTGACTCCACGGGGTGGTTTACGAATGAAGAGGGCTGCAGCATGCAGTAAAATCCGGGGTGGGTCTACTTGGGGTAACAGTCAAAGAATTTTTTTAAGGCAGCAATCCTGAAGCAGGGAAGGGTCAGGGAGAGGGGTATGAGCACAGAGGGCCCTGCCCTGCTTCCTCCTCATGGGGCAGGGTGCCCAGGTGCAGGGCTGCAGGAGGCCAGCCTCACTCCCACTTGGCCCATTTCATGAGCCATCAGCGGAGGGGGTGGGCACAGGCTGTTCTATTCCACCCTGATTAAGTGCACAATCCAGTTTCTATACTTGAGTTTTGAGGATTGGTTGGTGCAGACACTGTCTTTTATTGAAGAGAGGGCAGAGCCCACTTTATATAAAGAGAAGAAAAAATTCATCTATCAGCCTACAAAGCACGTTCACTCCATAAGCCTATCTAGTAGTGATATTCACAGTTACTGTGGCTCCTCTCTGTGCCAGCCTGGGGCTTGCTCCTCGTATTTAGTCCTCACAACAACATCACAAGATAAGCTCTAATGGGAACCTATTTTACCAATGAGGAAATTGAGTTAGAGGAGCAAATTCCCCCAGGTCCTGTAGCTAGGCAGTTGGCGGGTGGAGCAGGATTCAAACCAAGAAGAGTGAGTGAATGGGGCCTTTTTGCTTCACTCCTTTCCAACATTTCTCAAGCTGCTAAAACTCTAGCTTGCCAGACTTCCTCTCCAGAAATCCAGATCCAGTGGCTCTGGGATGCGGCACAGGACCCTGGGTACTTCACAAGCACCCCAGGTGAGTTTAACCCTAGGGGAGTTTGGGGGAGCACTGCCGAGGGTGCCCTCGTGACAGCCTGTGGGCAGCCAGGGGTTACTGTTCCTGTTTACCAGACGTGGAAACAGACCCTGACTCCTCAGGGTGCTGAGATGAGACTTTTGGTCCCAGGACCGCCAAGAGGACCTCTGACCACCAGCCTGAAGGTCAGAGAGAGGACAGAGCAGGAAGACAGGGCGCCTTGTAGAGTGGGAAATAGTGGGGACAGAGTCTGAGAAATAGGGTGGGAGACGTTGGGGGCAGTATATGGTCCCACTTCTGATTGCATCCAGCTCCTCAAGGGCTCAGGGGACCTCTGGGGCAACCCAGAAAAGCCCCTTGTGGCCTACATGCTTTGCAGTTAGGCCACCTCCAGGGGACACTGGGGCCCCAACTTGTCCAACTAAGACTGCAACAGGGAGATAAGGCAAGAACCCTCTCTCTCATCTTTCCCTGGCTGGGGCCAAATTCCCGTGGGTGCTTAGCTCCCCTGAGACCCCTCACAGGCTCTTTCCTCTGACCCTACCTCCCTGGGCCTGCACCAGAGCCTCTTCTCAGGCCCCTTCTTGAAGGCTAATGAGACCAGGCATGGCCAGCCTGACACTGCAGGCTCTCAAATGTCTCATTGTCCTCCCCTCACGCTGACAGTAAGCTGCAGGCTGCCTCTGCCCATGGGGCTACTGCTACTAAGATACCACCCCCAGCAGCTCCTGCAGTGGGGCAGCTCCCAGGAGAGGGTCCTGGGCCCCGCCTTCTGTTGCCCTGACTCTCTGACACCCCCTGGAGACCCTGAGCATTGCATCTGGCAGCCCAGGTCCTTGTCTCATCCCTTCCCAGCTGAGCCCCAGATGGGTCCAGGGAGTGTGTATGTAGAACACATGTTGCCTCCTGGTCTGGGCCTCAGAGCAGCCAGCTCAGCCTCCTCACCTGCAAGGCTTTCCAGAGTCCAGGTGGGGGCCCAGCTGTTTGCCTTAAAGTGCACGGAAATGACTGCCTTTCAAGGGACCTCCTCTCTCTCCTGCGCAACTGCTCCTCTCTGTATTCTTTTTCCCCCTTTGCACTTTGATGACTCAGGTTTTCACAGGCACAATAGTTCCCCCTTTGAAACCTAATTCTGGATGGGCACAGACCCAGGTGCGCACACACACCCTTCTTCCTCCCTCTCCCGGGCTTGCTAGTCCTTGCTTTAGCATGAAGACTACCCTCTATCTTAGCTGGAACTTCTCCTAATGGAAACTAGCCTCTCTGCCACTTGGAAAGAAAAGTAGAATTTTCATTATTTGTTTAACTGATTTCCTTCAAAGGTTGGGGTGATGGGTTAGGGTAGTGTTTCTCTGGGAGTGGGAGGTACAAGGAGCACCTGCATCAGAGTCCAAGCTGTAGAGGGGCTTGTTGAAGGCCCCACAGAAGCAGAGTCTTCCTTTGGTGCTTGGCAGTAACGTCTTCCTTTGGTGCTTGGGAACTGGTGGTCTAGGGGGTGAGCAACATTCCCTAGCACTGCCTCCTTCTAGAAGGGAGTCGCAGCAACAGTGAGGCCTGTCTCAGGGAACACACATGGTTTGGGAGGTTTGATTTGGACACAATCTGAGAGGAGCCAGGACAGACTTCAAAGCCCACTCTCCTTATGCTTTTTCTACCAAAAAAAAAAAAAGAATAGCACAGTATTAAGATCATAGCCCATATTGAGCAAACATTCCATTTTACTGTGAAACAGTGACTCATATGTTTAAGCAAGGTATTAAGAAGTACTTAGATAAGATTTGTGTATCTGTGTTCCCAAATGGAGCTGTTATTGAGCTCTGCCTACATAAACCTGTGCTTCTAAACTTCAAGATAATAACAGAACATGATCTGAACAAACTGATTTCTTCCTACCATGTTCAGCTTCTGGGGAATTGAAGCACATCCGAGAAAAGATTGTTCGTTCCTTCCTGGACATCTTATTGGTTTACCTCACTGAAGAGATCCCTCCAGGTAATGCTAGTGTGGTGTGCTGGTTACAACACGTAGGTGCTATTTTTATTATTGCCATTGTACAGATGGGGAAACTGAGGTACTGAGAGGTTTAGTAACTTTGGGTCCAAAGTCTCTAGTAAGCATCCAAACTAGGGTTCGAACTCAGGCAGTCTGTGCAGTGAACCACTGTGCTAACCCCCCGTCAGGAAACATAAGGGAGCTTTGCCGCTAATTTGATGAGAAATGCCAATCGAGCAAAATGTAAAATAACAAGAACATGTCAAGCTGCCATTTGACATATTTGTTTACTTAATCTTTGGGGTTTAGCTTTGAGACAGAATTTCACAGGCTCCTCCATGACTCGTCTCCGTCAGAAATGTGCCCACGTCTTCTTACTCACACCAGTGTTTCTCTCTGTTTAGATCCAGTTAATCCTCCTCATTAATCTTCAGCTCCCAAATAAAGGCCCCTCTGTCCTCACTAGACCCAGAATATTTTCCTGCCCTGTACCAGGCCAGCCCCCGCAGGAGCTCCGAATCCTTTTGAGAACCACACTCGTGTTTTTCTCCCAAGGTACACAGAAACAAATATGTCTGTGACTGACGCGCAGCAGAGTCTATCGAGTAGGCAGGGGGCTGAGACAGGAAAGGATCTTTTGGACAAAAGGACCATAAATCATATCCTTCCTGTGACCTGGACCAAGTGGTCTTCCCAAGACCCAAGCACTGCCCCTCAGGTGAGCAGAGAACTGGGACAGGACACAGCAGAGTGGCAGGGACCTAGGGTGTGGCTGCAGACCATGGCTGTGTGCAGGCCCCAGCAGAGCCCTTTGTCATAAATATGGGATGGAAAACCTCAGCAGGGAAGCTGACTCTTTCGTTCACCTAAAGTTGTTCACCTCAGTGATTCTGTGGCTTTGGGCTTCTGAGTCTAGCCATGGCCCCAACCAGGGTTGGAGCAAGAGGTGGCAACCCATCTTTCAACCTTATTCCTTGTCAGGGTCAGCTGTCCAGGGTGTAGTTCTAAAGGGGGCACAAAACATCCCTGCAGTCAATAGAAGACTCAGAGCCAGTTAAGGCCTGTGCCAGATAACTCAGCCACTACATAGGGATCTCTCTGTTCCCACCAGGGTGGGCAGTGCCCTCCAGTGGAAAACAAAAATTCCTTGCACTCATCTTAAGATGCAGTCCCAGGAAACTGAAACCCCAGACTGCAGAGTGCACAGTATAGTGCTTTTGTTCTGCTCATAGGCAGTTTCTTTAATCATCTAAATTGAAAACAGTTTAGTATGCCATTGGTGTAAAAGATGTTTGGGGTAGAAAACCACATATAACAAATGCCTTATTTGGTACATTAGCAAAGAAATACACA